>NC_000005.10:151255563-151555880 GCF_000001405.40 Homo sapiens | reverse complement strand
AGTGACCTAGAGGGAATGAAATCAGAAGAGAAGCAGATCAGGTGGAAATCTAACTATTTCCCCTCCTGAGCTGTCCTTCACTGATGATCTCTTCTAGTTTTAAAAGTATCAGGAGGGGGGAATACATATTCCTCAGCAGGAAACAAATTTTGCCTTTGATACTTCCAGGCTCTGCACATTCTTTTTCCTTTGGTAAGAAACAGGTGTTATTAGCCAGGCACGGTGGCTCATGCCTGTAATCCCAGCACTTTGGGAGGCTGAGGCGGGCAGATCACTTGGGGTTAGGAGTTCAAGACCAGCCTGGCCAACATGATGAAACCCCATCTGTACTAAAAATACAAAAATTAGCCAGGTGTGGTGGCGGGTGCTTGTAATCCCAGCTACCGGGGAGGCTGAGGCGGAGAAGCACTTGAACCTGGGAGACGGAGGTTGCAGTGAGCTGAGATCGTGCCACTGAACTCCAGCCTGGGCGATAGAGCGAGACTCAGTCTCAAAAAAAAAAAAAAAAAAAAAGAAATATATTATTAGTAAGAAGTAGCTAAATGGCCTTCTAGAATTCCTAGGGACTGAAAGCATTCTCCACAGTTCAGTAACAGATATTTACCTTTAAACACCAAAGTGTTTTTTAAAATTCAGAACCATTTCAGGTGGAAATCTCCTGTCTGATGTGATGCCCTTGGGGCTATTGATGCATGTGATTATTTGCCTCTGCATTAAATAGCTACTGGTTCTGAAATGGTTTTGGGGCCTTTTCTCACTCTGGATTTCATTGCATGCATCAGGCCACGTGCACATGTCTGACTCAAAAAGTACCACTCATTCCCTCATCAACATTTTCTCATTTATTTTCTCTAATCGAGCAACTTAAGGAAACCAGAGAACTAAAATTATGAAAAACACAAGCAAGTAAAAAGTAGGTAGTCTCTGAGAAATGGCCCAGGGGTTGTCCCACATAAACAGCACCAGCTTTTGTCTAGAGACTCTGACTCTGTCTTCTTCCAGTTCTTTCTGCTTCCTTTCTCTGTTCTCACTGGCTTTCCCAGGGGCAAAGTTGCCAGAGAGCTGAGTTCCAAGTAGGTGAAGTTATGATAATAAAAAGTACAAGCTCATACCAAAGAACAAAGTGACTACTATTTCCAGGTTGTTAAAGCATAGTCACTAATTTGCAATTGTCAGCTCAGGTGCTCATGCTCAATTCTGCTCCCAGGTGACTGTGCTGGACAATGGGGAACCCTCACTGAAGTCCACCTCCAGGGTGGTGGTAGGCATCTTGGACGTCAATGACAATCCACCTATATTCTCCCACAAGCTCTTCAATGTCCGCCTTCCAGAGAGGCTGAGCCCTGTGTCCCCTGGGCCTGTGTACAGGCTGGTGGCTTCAGACCTGGATGAGGGTCTTAATGGCAGAGTCACCTACAGTATCGAGGACAGCGATGAGGAGGCCTTCAGTATCGACCTGGTCACAGGTGTGGTTTCATCCAGCAGCACTTTTACAGCTGGAGAGTACAACATCCTAACGGTGAGCAGACAGAAGGAAGCCACGGAGGGAGGAGTGGCATGCTGGTTAGTGGCCTTCTTTGAGAATTCAGGAGGAGGGAGACAGCCCACCAGCATAAGGGAAATGGTACTCTCCTTCCTGGCCTTCTCCCAGAGAAACTGGGAGTCTCAGCTTCAGCCAAAGGATCAAATTCTGGGTCCTTCTCTTTGAAGGCAATAAGGTCTTTGCCTGGGAAATCCCCTCTATTCTTAGAGAGAAGGATTTAGTGAGAGTAACAGGGGCTTTGGAACCAATAAGCCTGGGTTCCAACCCTAGTACTGCCATTTTACACCTGTGTGATGTTGGACAAGTCGTTTAACCTTTATCATTTGTAAAATGGAGATAAGAACGTCTTTCTTGTGAGAAGCCAATATATCAGGTAGCTAGCGCATGGGTGCTTACATCAGTCAGCCTGAATTCAACCCCAGTCTCATTGCTAGCCAAGCATTTCATCTGGCAGGTGAATCGACCACACTGAGCCTTAGTTTATTCTTGTAAAAGACAGATGATAACAGGACCTCTTCCAAGGTTATTGTGAGGATTAAATCAGATATTGCGCACAAAGCTCTTAGAACAAGGCCTGATAATAGTGAGTGCTCAATAAATTCTAGCTTGTTAGGTTTATGGTAGTTGGGAAAAGCAAAGGGCATATGTATGTAAAGTTCAATTTAGGAAGTAGCACACAGTAAGTCTTCAGTTAACAGTGGCATTTATTATTTTTATACTAACCATGAGGTTCTTGAGCACAGGTTATACGTTTTGTTCACCACCGTGCCTGCAGCAACTGGCAGGGTGCCTGTTTACAGCAAGCCTTCAAGTATGCATCAGATGAATGAATGACTGGATGAGAGGCCTGCTTGGTCAGAATCACAGGACGCTCTGGTTCCTGTCCTGGCTGCTTGGGTCTTCCTGTCTCTTGGCCCCAAACCTCAGTTTTGGTGTTGGCCTCCTTTCAGATCAAGGCAACAGACAGTGGGCAGCCACCACTCTCAGCCAGTGTCCGGCTACACATTGAGTGGATCCCTTGGCCCCGGCCGTCCTCCATCCCTCTGGCCTTTGATGAGACCTACTACAGCTTTACGGTCATGGAGACGGACCCTGTGAACCACATGGTGGGGGTCATCAGCGTAGAGGGCAGACCCGGACTCTTCTGGTTCAACATCTCAGGTGAGGCAAGGCCTAGGGCCCAACAAGGGCCAACCCCTCCCATCCTTATACACCAGCTCTAGTTTTCCTGCTACAGTCCTTCTGACTCTTCTCAAGGTCGGGCTCCTCGGCAGCCCCTCTTTCAGCCCGGAGTGGGGACTGCCTCTTCCCTGGTTCTCTGGGAGCACAGGCAGTAAGAATGCCACGTCTGCCAAGCTTTCCTTTCACTCCAGCCACGATCTCTAACCCCAGCCAGAGTTGGCAGTGCCTCAGTTACCCCAAGGGCCTAGGAGACCTAAAATGGTTCAGGAAGACCCAGAGCAGAAATGCTTTGTGTTTCCTTTCCTACCTCAATGTGAAAATCATAGTTGACCGTGAGCCTGCCATAAGCTATACCCTGGGGCCATGCTCAATGTTTTGGCTCCAGGTTTCACCCTTGAGATCAGGGGAAAGTGCCCATTCTCATTCTACGAGGCACTTGGATCCGGGCTCTGATGGCCTTCTCTGAAATTCCTCTCTGTCTCTAAATCAAGGTTTTGTTTCAACATCTGGGGGTCACAGAACCCTTCAGGAATCTGACGAACGCTTAGGTCCTCTTCCCAGAAAGTTGTGTGCACAAACACACACAAATGTAAATCTGCATACAATTTAGAGGATGTATAGGCCCTTTGAAACCCATCCAGGGATTCCAGGTTAAAAATCTCTAGGAGTTTCAGCACCCACATGAACATGGAGTCCTGGTACAGTTTTCTGTCCTGGCTAAGAGTAGGATAGGATATATGCCCTTGACCCAAGCTCTTTGAACCTCCTGAACTTACTTCCAGTTCTGGCTTACGGCTGTTTTGTTTGACTTTTTTTCTTTAATACCAAATTAATGCATGTACCCTCTAAAACATTTCAAAAACACATATGGGCTGGGCACAGTGGCTCGCACCTGTAATCCCAGCTGCTTGAGAGGCTGAAGTAGGAGGATCACTTGAGGCCGAGTCCAAGGTTACAGTGAACTATGATTGCACCATACACTCCAGCCTGGGTGACAGAGTGAGAGCCTGTCTATAAATAAGTAAATAAGCACACACAAATGAATGCAGAGAAGAAAATAAAAATCACCTAAAGTTCCACCAATCAGAAGATAATCCACTGTTATAATGTTGATGTGTTTCCTTTTTGTCATTTTTCCTTTACACACACACACACACACACACACACACACACACACACCCTTAGGGTTATATTAAAGTATTGTTTTATAATATTTTTAAATGTAATATATCATGAACATATTTCCATGTCACTAAACATATTTCTATATACTAGACATTTAAAAATATGTTGTTACATTTGGATTCTTATAGTTTATTAATCAATTTGATTTATTAATAAAATTCAAATAAAAATAACTTGACAACAACTTGACAGAATAAATTACAGTTTTGGGACTCCCTGGGAGAATAAACTACAACCTGTCACTCAGATCTTGTACTGTGGAATTTACCACCGTGTCCTCTGAGCCTGACAACCAAAGCCTATCTTATGCTATGCTGCCTAAATCACTGAGGTTGTGTGTGCTTTCTCCCCACTCCCACTCTAGGTGGGGATAAGGACATGGACTTTGACATTGAGAAGACCACAGGCAGCATCGTCATTGCCAGGCCTCTTGATACCAGGAGAAGGTCGAACTATAACTTGACTGTTGAGGTGACAGATGGGTCCCGCACCATTGCCACACAGGTTAGAGGCCTCGGCTGGGGACCCCTGTATTGAGAGGAGATGGAAGGCCTTCTTGGTTGGGATGAGGCTACAGAGGTTTTCTGTGGATGTGGTGTTCCTCAAGGAACACTGAATTTAGAATCAAAGTTCTTGTCTAATACACTCTCTACTTCTGTGATCCTGGGAGAATTCTTTCTCCCACTCTGGATCTGTCTATAATTGGAAGCTTGTTTAAATGAGCAGTTTTAATTAAAGATAGAGTACAATGGGGCTACTATGGGTATAGGGGGATGATGGTTGGGTAAGTGGGGCTCTGAATTTCTATTCTAGCTTCAGCCAGTGTTTTATCTGTTTCTTACATTTGGATTTCACACAACATTTCACTTGATGGAAAGGCCCTTCCAGAAAATTTTTGTTTTTGAAAAACACTAGACTGTGCAGCATCTGAAGGTCTTTTGATTTTGAAATACTGTCATTCATTCAACAAATATTTATCAAGTGATTGCTGAGTGCCAGGCACTGTGCTAGGCCTGGGTGATACAGGGAGGTCCAGACAGACCCAGTCCCTGTTCCCCTGGGGCTTGCAGTGCACCTTCTCCCTCATCTCCCTCCCTAGGTCCACATCTTCATGATTGCCAACATTAACCACCATCGGCCCCAGTTTCTGGAAACTCGTTATGAAGTCAGAGTTCCCCAGGACACCGTGCCAGGGGTAGAGCTCCTGCGAGTCCAGGCCATAGATCAAGACAAGGGCAAAAGCCTCATCTATACCATACATGGCAGCCAAGACCCAGGAAGTGCCAGCCTCTTCCAGCTGGACCCAAGCAGTGGTGTCCTGGTAACGGTGGGAAAATTGGACCTCGGCTCGGGGCCCTCCCAGCACACACTGACAGTCATGGTGAGTAAATGGAAAAATCTGGTGAGAATACGTTTGCATGTAGATGTGTAGGGGTGGACATGCTTGGAGACATGCTGAAGGTCCCCCTTCCCCTCATAAGGACCATGCACGAGACAGAGTTGTGACATTTCACAGCTGGCTAAGGGCACCTTCCATAAGGGATGCCTGGAAGTGAAGGTAGAGATGGGACGGCTGCCAAGGAAACTCCTGTCAACCTCAGCTTTCTCTGGACTCACCCCAGATATTTCCCAAGAGCTCTCTCCCTGCTCAGTGACTTCATGACACAATGTGGATTCATGTAATGTCAGAGCTGGAAGGGACACAGAGCCTCTCCCACTGAGAGCAAGGACTAGGGTCAGGCCAGCAAGGCATGCAGGACACAAAATGTAAGGAGGGCTCACTCTCTGGGCCATGTGCCTGCATTTTTATGACCCCAAGAGTCAGAGCCTCTTTAAATTTTGCACCCTACTTGCCTCACTTGCTTCCCCCTAGTTCTATCCCTGACCCTGCCCATTTGTCTCATCTTACACCTGAGACCCACAGAGAAAGACAGACTTCCTCACTGTCATACAGTTATTTATGATGGAACCAGAATCGGAGCCTGGCCTCCTGTCTTAAAGATCAGGGTTCTTATGTGCTAATTTATCATCCTCTGGGCATATAATACGTATTCAAGGCTCTGAGAAGTCCTGCAACAAAGAAAACTGTTTGACTGCATTTAATTCAGTGCTCCCCAAATTTATGTGACCATATAATTTTTTTTTCCTGCATGACATGTTAACATCTTGAAGAATGAGTATTCTCTGAGATGTAATTTGGAAAACACTGCTTCTCTGCCTATTTCTGTCTTTCTCCTAAAATAGAATTATCCATTAAAACAGCTGAGCCTAGGAATCATTGACTGATCCATTTACATAAATGAAGAAAAAGAGCATATAGATTAGAACAACATTTAAAAGAATATGGGGAGTTAGTTACAATTGGGCATATTTTAAATTGGCATTCTAGTTCATTAACCTTACCCTAACCCTGCCTCCTCCTATTCCATTTGCTGCTTACCCAATTACCCCCTTTGGGCCCATAGGTCCGAGACCAGGAAATACCTATCAAGAGGAACTTCGTGTGGGTGACCATTCATGTGGAGGATGGAAACCTCCACCCACCCCGCTTCACTCAGCTCCATTATGAGGCAAGTGTTCCTGACACCATAGCCCCCGGCACAGAGCTGCTGCAGGTCCGAGCCATGGATGCTGACCGGGGAGTCAATGCTGAGGTCCACTACTCCCTCCTGAAAGGTGAGAGGCCTGGCCATGAGCTCAGAGGATGGGTCAAGATGCTTTAGAAATAAAGGAAAGCACTAGAGGCATGAATTCGCAAATTAATCAAGTACCAAGCTCATTAAGCCTTGGCAAACAATAATTCTAGAGCATTCCCTGGGACTACCTAAATTAATGCACTTCCAAAGGTAGTAATAACATAATTACTACAATATGAGTAAGGACCACTCATGCTGTGGGAGAATTTGCATATATATTATATAAACCCACCAGTGACCAAACATGTAGAAGATATTTATGAAGTCCATGCAACATTTAAAAATGTAATAACTTCATGCATGTATCTTAGAACACTTTATGAAGTGTATGGCATAGTTTTAGAAGTAATTTTTATTTTCTGATAAGGCTCCACAGTGATTTAGTATCTATTTTATGGGTTTATCTATTTTATGGGTTTCTTCATCTCAAAAACGGGAATAATCTTACCTGTGCCAGAAAGTCATTGCAAAGATTAAAAGAGAAAATGTATGTTGGCCAGATGCGGTGGCTCACGCCTGTAATCCTAGCACTTTGGGAGGCCGAGGCGGGCGGATCACCTGAGGTTGGGAGTTCGAGACCCGCCTAGCCAACATGGTGAAACTCCGTCTCTACTAAAAATACAAAAATTAGCCTGGCATGGTGACATGCACCTGTAATCCCAGCTACTCGGGAGGCTGAGGGAGGAGAATCGCTTGAACCTGGGAGGCAGAGGTTGCAGTGAGCTGAGATTGCACCATTGCACTCCAGCCTGGGCGACACAGCAAGACTCCATCTCAAAAAAGAAAATGTATGTTAATACATGTTGTAAATTGAAATATTATACAAATGCCAGGGGCTATTACTATCATTGATAAGTGTTAATTATAAGCAATTACTATAACAAAAGCGATAATATCCAGTATCCAACTAATTATTAATGATAATTTGTAATAATTATAATACATAATTAATGATATTTAATAGTAATAATTATATTTAATAATAATACTTCATAGAGCTAGTTGCTATGAGAAACCAAGAAGAAAATAATTTGCTGTCTGCCCTCACAAGACCTAATGTTCATTTATTGCATGTCAGTAGCTTATACAGTAGCTACTGGTACTGTATAAAGCCAGTAGCTTTACCTTTTCTTTTTGGAAGAAACAGTTGCCATATAACAGAAGTCTATTCACCGCTGAAGAAGAATATGGATTATAATGCATTGCTTGCTTTTTGTGATTTATGAAATGAAATCACATCTTTTATCTCATTGACAACCTCATTGATGGAGATAATGACTTTATTTTCCAGATTAGATTAGTTTTAAAATATTCTTCTGATTATAGAAGTAACACATGCTCATTTTTGAAAACACGAAAAATACAGGAATGTATAAAGAACACAACACATAACCATCATTTTCATCACCCCAAAAGAATGATTTTCTGTCTTTCCCTCTTATCTTCCCCTATGCATATTTTTGTAATATTGAGATCATAATGAATATACAATTTTGTGCCCTGATTTCTTTCTTTCAGCAGTGTGATATTATATAATAAATTATAATCGGAATCACATGTAGGTTGTTGACTTAGCTGCTTTTAATGGAATCACTTTAAAACGGCTACTCATTAAAACCATGTTCTTTGACTGAATTTAGCGGTTATATGACAAATCACCTAACCAGTCAGCTGGAGAAGGGCTTCAAAGGTGGAAGAATCAGATTGAAAGTTTTATGACAAAACTTAGCCATTTGCCTTGCCACTGAAATAATAAAATATGCTCTCACGTGATAGAGGGAATAAGACATGTAAAGTGCAGTATTTTCTCAAGTGTAAGGCCTGTATCTGTGGTGGTGAGCAAAACAATTCAAGTATTACTCATTTAATGGCATTAAAAGATTATTGGGCATGGAGAAAGCACTCCTCTTTAAATTATTCAAGCTCCCTGATAGAATGAAGAACAAAGCCTCTGTTGGGTTCTAGAATGTCTTTTAGTCTTCTCTAACACCTGCCACTCTTTGTTTACCAAAGAAAGAGGATAGCTCACAGGCTCAGACCTTTTGGCAAGCAGTAGATTTTATCTCAATTTTAATACGGTATTTTTTCTTTGACTTCTTTTTATGGTAACTTCTGATTTATGGTAAGCAATATGGTGTTTTTATTTAAAGAAGCAACATAATGTTACCTTTAAAAATATTTATCAAAATTTGAGTGAGTTAATTTAAAGGAAAACATCAATTAAATAATAGTGTAACATAACATAGGCAATGGATGGATATTGAAAAAATTATAAAGGTGATGTGAGAATGCCTAGAGTTTAGGAAATACACACATGGGGCAAAGATATTTGCTCAGGAGCCTTGAGATATGGGTGTTCTATATAACCAAAGCTATTAAAAATTATATTAAAAATGTAGCCAGGCACGGTGGCTCACACCTGTAATCCCACCAGAGGCTGAGGCTGGAGGACCGCTTGAGCCCAGGAGTTTGAGGCTGCAGTGAGCCATGCTCACATCACTACATTCCAGCCTGGGTGACAGGAAAGACCCTGACTCTAAAAAAAAAAAAAGTTATACAAAAGATGGTTAAAAATTCTGTATGATGCAAACTGAAGCTTTTCCTACAAAAGGCATCACTGAAATTCAGGGTGGAGTGTGTTTTCCTATGGAGTCTCCTTTTTTGGTTTCAAAGACCTGCTATAGCTTTGGTTTGTAGCTTAAGTTGTGTCCCAGAAACTTAGTGATAATTGATGGTGATATGAAGCACCTACTATGCACACCATGTTAGAGATTTTATAAAGTATCTACTCTATACACTATATCCAGGGTGGGTATACACTATATGCAGATTTTGCTCTGTCCAGGTTTTGTGTGATAGACCCTTTACTGATCTAGAAAGCCTAGCTGATACCTGTCGAGGGTGTGGCAAACTTGTTTGTCTTGTCTTCTGTTTCAGGGAACAGCGAAGGTTTCTTCAACATCAATGCCCTGCTAGGCATCATTACTCTAGCTCAAAAGCTTGATCAGGCAAATCATGCCCCACATACTCTGACAGTGAAGGCAGAAGATCAAGGCTCCCCACAATGGCATGACCTGGCTACAGTGATCATTCATGTCTATCCCTCAGATAGGAGTGCCCCCATCTTTTCAAAATCTGAGTACTTTGTAGAGATCCCTGAATCAATCCCTGTTGGTTCCCCAATCCTCCTTGTCTCTGCTATGAGCCCCTCTGAAGTTACCTATGAGTTAAGAGAGGGAAATAAGGATGGAGTCTTCTCTATGAACTCATATTCTGGCCTTATTTCCACCCAGAAGAAATTGGACCATGAGAAAATCTCGTCTTACCAGCTGAAAATCCGAGGCAGCAATATGGCAGGTGCATTTACTGATGTCATGGTGGTGGTTGACATAATTGATGAAAATGACAATGCTCCTATGTTCTTAAAGTCAACTTTTGTGGGCCAAATTAGTGAAGCAGCTCCACTGTATAGCATGATCATGGATAAAAACAACAACCCCTTTGTGATTCATGCCTCTGACAGTGACAAAGAAGCTAATTCCTTGTTGGTCTATAAAATTTTGGAGCCGGAGGCCTTGAAGTTTTTCAAAATTGATCCCAGCATGGGAACCCTAACCATTGTATCAGAGATGGATTATGAGAGCATGCCCTCTTTCCAATTCTGTGTCTATGTCCATGACCAAGGAAGCCCTGTATTATTTGCACCCAGACCTGCCCAAGTCATCATTCATGTCAGAGATGTGAATGATTCCCCTCCCAGATTCTCAGAACAGATATATGAGGTAGCAATAGTCGGGCCTATCCATCCAGGCATGGAGCTTCTCATGGTGCGGGCCAGCGATGAAGACTCAGAAGTCAATTATAGCATCAAAACTGGCAATGCTGATGAAGCTGTTACCATCCATCCTGTCACTGGTAGCATATCTGTGCTGAATCCTGCTTTCCTGGGACTCTCTCGGAAGCTCACCATCAGGGCTTCTGATGGCTTGTATCAAGACACTGCGCTGGTAAAAATTTCTTTGACCCAAGTGCTTGACAAAAGCTTGCAGTTTGATCAGGATGTCTACTGGGCAGCTGTGAAGGAGAACTTGCAGGACAGAAAGGCACTGGTGATTCTTGGTGCCCAGGGCAATCATTTGAATGACACCCTTTCCTACTTTCTCTTGAATGGCACAGATATGTTTCATATGGTCCAGTCAGCAGGTGTGTTGCAGACAAGAGGTGTGGCGTTTGACCGGGAGCAGCAGGACACTCATGAGTTGGCAGTGGAAGTGAGGGACAATCGGACACCTCAGCGGGTGGCTCAGGGTTTGGTCAGAGTCTCTATTGAGGATGTCAATGACAATCCCCCCAAATTTAAGCATCTGCCCTATTACACAATCATCCAAGATGGCACAGAGCCAGGGGATGTCCTCTTTCAGGTATCTGCCACTGATGAGGACTTGGGGACAAATGGGGCTGTTACATATGAATTTGCAGAAGATTACACATATTTCCGAATTGACCCCTATCTTGGGGACATATCACTCAAGAAACCCTTTGATTATCAAGCTTTAAATAAATATCACCTCAAAGTCATTGCTCGGGATGGAGGAACGCCATCCCTCCAGAGTGAGGAAGAGGTACTTGTCACTGTGAGAAATAAATCCAACCCACTGTTTCAGAGTCCTTATTACAAAGTCAGAGTACCTGAAAATATCACCCTCTATACCCCAATTCTCCACACCCAGGCCCGGAGTCCAGAGGGACTCCGGCTCATCTACAACATTGTGGAGGAAGAACCCTTGATGCTGTTCACCACTGACTTCAAGACTGGTGTCCTAACAGTAACAGGGCCTTTGGACTATGAGTCCAAGACCAAACATGTGTTCACAGTCAGAGCCACGGATACAGCTCTGGGGTCATTTTCTGAAGCCACAGTGGAAGTCCTAGTGGAGGATGTCAATGATAACCCTCCCACTTTTTCCCAATTGGTCTATACCACTTCCATCTCAGAAGGCTTGCCTGCTCAGACCCCTGTGATCCAACTGTTGGCTTCTGACCAGGACTCAGGGCGGAACCGTGACGTCTCTTATCAGATTGTGGAGGATGGCTCAGATGTTTCCAAGTTCTTCCAGATCAATGGGAGCACAGGGGAGATGTCCACAGTTCAAGAACTGGATTATGAAGCCCAACAACACTTTCATGTGAAAGTCAGGGCCATGGATAAAGGAGATCCCCCACTCACTGGTGAAACCCTTGTGGTTGTCAATGTGTCTGATATCAATGACAACCCCCCAGAGTTCAGACAACCTCAATATGAAGCCAATGTCAGTGAACTGGCAACCTGTGGACACCTGGTTCTTAAAGTCCAGGCTATTGACCCTGACAGCAGAGACACCTCCCGCCTGGAGTACCTGATTCTTTCTGGCAATCAGGACAGGCACTTCTTCATTAACAGCTCATCGGGAATAATTTCTATGTTCAACCTTTGCAAAAAGCACCTGGACTCTTCTTACAATTTGAGGGTAGGTGCTTCTGATGGAGTCTTCCGAGCAACTGTGCCTGTGTACATCAACACTACAAATGCCAACAAGTACAGCCCAGAGTTCCAGCAGCACCTTTATGAGGCAGAATTAGCAGAGAATGCAATGGTTGGAACCAAGGTGATTGATTTGCTAGCCATAGACAAAGATAGTGGTCCCTATGGCACTATAGATTATACTATCATCAATAAACTAGCAAGTGAGAAGTTCTCCATAAACCCCAATGGCCAGATTGCCACTCTGCAGAAACTGGATCGGGAAAATTCAACAGAGAGAGTCATTGCTATTAAGGTCATGGCTCGGGATGGAGGAGGAAGAGTAGCCTTCTGCACGGTGAAGATCATCCTCACAGATGAAAATGACAACCCCCCACAGTTCAAAGCATCTGAGTACACAGTATCCATTCAATCCAATGTCAGTAAAGACTCTCCGGTTATCCAGGTGTTGGCCTATGATGCAGATGAAGGTCAGAACGCAGATGTCACCTACTCAGTGAACCCAGAGGACCTAGTTAAAGATGTCATTGAAATTAACCCAGTCACTGGTGTGGTCAAGGTGAAAGACAGCCTGGTGGGATTGGAAAATCAGACCCTTGACTTCTTCATCAAAGCCCAAGATGGAGGCCCTCCTCACTGGAACTCTCTGGTGCCAGTACGACTTCAGGTGGTTCCTAAAAAAGTATCCTTACCGAAATTTTCTGAACCTTTGTATACTTTCTCTGCACCTGAAGACCTTCCAGAGGGGTCTGAAATTGGGATTGTTAAAGCAGTGGCAGCTCAAGATCCAGTCATCTACAGTCTAGTGCGGGGCACTACACCTGAGAGCAACAAGGATGGTGTCTTCTCCCTAGACCCAGACACAGGGGTCATAAAGGTGAGGAAGCCCATGGACCACGAATCCACCAAATTGTACCAGATTGATGTGATGGCACATTGCCTTCAGAACACTGATGTGGTGTCCTTGGTCTCTGTCAACATCCAAGTGGGAGACGTCAATGACAATAGGCCTGTATTTGAGGCTGATCCATATAAGGCTGTCCTCACTGAGAATATGCCAGTGGGGACCTCAGTCATTCAAGTGACTGCCATTGACAAGGACACTGGGAGAGATGGCCAGGTGAGCTACAGGCTGTCTGCAGACCCTGGTAGCAATGTCCATGAGCTCTTTGCCATTGACAGTGAGAGTGGTTGGATCACCACACTCCAGGAACTTGACTGTGAGACCTGCCAGACTTATCATTTTCATGTGGTGGCCTATGACCACGGACAGACCATCCAGCTATCCTCTCAGGCCCTGGTTCAGGTCTCCATTACAGATGAGAATGACAATGCTCCCCGATTTGCTTCTGAAGAGTACAGAGGATCTGTGGTTGAGAACAGTGAGCCTGGCGAACTGGTGGCGACTCTAAAGACCCTGGATGCTGACATTTCTGAGCAGAACAGGCAGGTCACCTGCTACATCACAGGTAAGAACACCTGTCATGGACTGCAGGCTCTGGAATGTATCGAAAAACATCCAGGAAGAGGTGCCCTAAAATGGGTTCATGTCCTGGATTTGCCACTTATTAGCAGTGTGACCTTGGGCACACTTAACCCCCTAGGACCTCAGTTTCTCCACCTATAGACTTGGCATGCATGTTCTCATTCACCTCACAGGCATGCTGGTAAGATCTGTAATTTCTAGAAAGCACCTATACATTAGAAAGTGCTTTGCAAAAAGTATGTCTCATTATTTTACATGAGTCATACTCTAACTGCTGTCAGTTGTCTTTTGAAAGATGGAGGAGGCACCAAGAATGTTGCATGATCCTTGAAAATTCTGTCAAGCGACTGTCTTTATGGAGAGTGTCCTACCCAGGTAAAGTTGTGAATGATAGAAAATGCTTCTTAGTCAATCACAGGTCCTAAGTGTAAGAATGACAGCACTTCCTTAGATATAATTCCTTCATTTCACGTATGTGGAAACCAAGGCCCAGATGGAGAAGTTCAACCAAGGTCACACTCTTGTGCTTGCTTCAGGGCTGGGATTAAAACCCTACCCTATAAGCTGCTTTCATTAGTGGATACCTACTGTAAAACTAAATTACCCTATCCCCAATCCAGTGGCTAAGCCAGCTAACCAGTGGCCATGAGAGAGTTTCTTCACTCCTGTGGCCTTTTTTTCTCATCCCCAGGTGCCATGTCCCCCCATTCCCATGAACATGGCTCCTTCTGCTATCACAGCTGTCCAGTGAAAAGCCCATGAGCCTGAAATTCCAACCAAGAACCACAGACTCCCGAAGACATAGGATCAAAGCTGTTTGAAATACAGAGTTGTAGAAAAACAGAATCTTATCATCTTAAAATATCAGACTCCTAAAAACACAGAAGTCTTAAAATCTCAGGATAATAGAGTAATAAATGTCAACATGTTATCAATTCTTGGAGTAGTTGGATCTTAGAACTCTGGAATCTTAGGATCTCAGAGTGAGAAATCCATATTCCCACATTCTTGTCAGTGATTAGTGTCAAGGAAAGAAAGATGACTTACAAGCAAACCCTAGTGCTCCTACAGAACCTCCACTTAGGGTGGGTCCTTAGTTATAAAATAAAACCTTGGAGTGTTTAGTGTTTTTGATTGCTTCCTATCTCTCCACTGTTGTATAGCTATGCATCTTAGACATTTATATAGAATTGAAATTTGTTTCCCTTTAACTTCCTCCCATGCCTTCTGGGCCACAAAACAAAAAACCCTGCCTTCAGCCACATATTTTGAAGTGATGCTTCTTGCATTGACAATTTCATTCAACAGGAGGCATTTGAAGTAGAAGTAGCTTCATAACACCAAAAAGTGGACTCAGTGTAGAATCGTGGGTTCCTAGTTAAGGAAGGAAATGTTTGCTTTCCCAACAATTCTAAAAAATGCATCCAATGGGCAGCCACCTGTGACACAAAGCCTAGTTCATTCCTATTGCTTGGCTTCTGAAAGCTCTGCCCCATCTGTTTAGAGGGAGACCCCCTGGGCCAGTTTGGCATCAGCCAAGTTGGAGATGAGTGGAGGATTTCCTCAAGGAAGACCCTGGACCGCGAGCATACAGCCAAGTACTTGCTCAGAGTCACAGCATCTGATGGCAAGTTCCAGGCTTCGGTCACTGTGGAGATCTTTGTCCTGGACGTCAATGATAACAGCCCACAGTGTTCACAGGTGAGAGCCTGGCGAGGGGTGGAGTGGGTAGTGAAGGCAAGGAAGATAAGAGTGAGGGGTGGGAGAACAGAGAGTGAGGAGCAGGAGAAGGGAGATTGAGGGGCAGGAGAACAGAGAGTGAGGGGCAGGAGAAGGGAGATTGAGGGGCAGGAGAACAGAGAGTGAGGGGCAGGAGAAGGGAGATTGAGGGGCAGGAGAACAGAGAGTGAGGGGCAGGAGAAAGGAGGACCGAGGGACCCATCTCTGAGGCTGGCCATCACTGACCTCACCTCTCTTGCTTCTCCCCAGCAAGCCTCAGACTAGCTCCCAGGGGCAGGGACCATTCTAGGTAATTCCTTGGCCCCCATAGGGATATACCAAGCTGTTCAAGACTCATGGCCCACATCTCTCCCCCTACATTCCCAACAAAGGTCTATTTCTCTGCAGAACATATCCAGAAGGAAAGTAACATAAGCATTCTCCAAATACAGCCAGCCATGCCCAATGGGCAAACCCCTGGCACTGCTCAACTTGTTGACATGGCTCACTATTATCAAATACACCAACAGAGACCTGACCCCAGACAAACCCCTCACCCCATGCCCATATATGCACCTCCTCACATCTGCTGGGGTAATTTAGTCCACTGAGATGCCCTTCTTCACTTGTACAGAGACACAAACACGAGACAGGGCAATTTCATTTGGTGAGGGATACTTTCCTAAGGATCTCATGTAATTCAACTCTAAATTTCCAGCAGGAACAAATGTTGAGTGGGGTGTGTATGTGTGTTTGTCAGGAGAGGAGCTGTGTTCCTAGAGGCATAAACCAACAATTGCTGTCATGGAGCTTTGCTTTTAAACATATTTTTTAAAACACAGTAAGTAGTTTTTAACTTTGGGAGGATTTACATTCTTTCAAAGTTTATAGATAAAGTTAAACTGCTAACATTTTAATTTTATAACATCTCAAATTATCATAATCCAGCCATTCAGTATATATATAAAAATGCACAGTTATACATACCCACACATATACACAAAGGATCATCTACAACCCTATACACACAGGCAAATACCTATGCATATATACACATAAACATATAAGCATATACCTATATACCTAGCACAATCAACCATATACTCACCCACACATGCAACTATACGTAACAAATTCACATGAACATACTTACATATGCATTTGCATATATACAAACTTCGACTTGCTTGCACACACATATGAATGTATAGACACATACCTTGCAACACACATAAATACATATATCTCCTCACCTTTTCTTCCTCCACTCTTCTACATGCCAGTCACATAAAAGCACTGTAGAAAAAGAGAGTCTGGTTATTGGTATGCATGCAAAATGTCTTTTCAGGATCCAAGATGACCATATTTGGGGTAGTCTCAGAAGGGAGGCTTTTTTGGGGAGAATGGTGGTCACCTTCCTTCTCTTTTCCCTCAGCCATCATTACAACCAACTTCTGTCCTCCCCATGCTTGGAGAGGCTGAGATCAGGCTCACCCTGGCCCTCCCGGAGATGGTTCACAGCATCACTAGAACAGAAAAAAGAGGCCTGGGGAACCATCTCCACACATAAAACTTCCATCCACGTCTGTAATCCAAGCACTTTGGGAGGCCGAGGCAGGCGGATCACCTGATGTCAGGGGTTCGAGACCAGCCTGGCCAACATGGTGAAACCCCGTCTCTACTAAAAATACAAAAAAAAAAAAAATTAGCCAGGTGTGGTGGCACGCACCTGTACTCCCAGCTACCTAGGAGGCTGAGGCAGGAGATGGTTTGAATTTGGGAGGAGGAGGTTGCAGTGAGCCAAGATCGTGCCACTGCACTCAAGCCTGGGCAACAGAGTGAGACTCTGTCTCAAAAAAGAGAAAACAAGAAAATAAATAAAGCTTCCATCCAGGGCATGTAGGGGTCCATGCTTGCCCACACTCAACAGTGGTGGAAACCATGATGCTTGCAGGCTGGCTCACTGCCAGCCACTGAAGAAAAATTGAATTCTCAGGGAGCTCCAGCCTTTCCCCTCTGCCACTCCCTCAGATGCCATGACGGTACCTGCAGCAAAGGGAGGGTGGGCCAAGCGATGGGGCCACTGGAGTCCAGACCTGACTCAAAGGTCAAGGGTCTGTCCTGGGGATACGGTCAGGGAGATGAGCTTAATAGCATGGCCTCGCCACAGAGGCAGGGGAGGTTGACCTGACACCTTCCAGAATGCCTATATCAGGCCCATCTTGCCTTCCTTCTCCAAAAGCCTCAAAGGACTGGGTGGAAGAAATTGTAGCAGTCCCTTCTAGCCCTGCCTGTGGGCTTTTGGATGACAGAACTTCTCCATTCTCTCTTTTCTGACTCGTTCTCTTGTCATCCTCTTCCTGTTTTAAACCTCAGTTTTCCTTGCATGTTTCATCTTATTCTACCTCCTCTGTTCCCCTCCCTCCCTCTCTCTGCTTCTCTTTCTCTCTCTCTGTCTCTGTTCTTTTTTCTGTCTCTCTTCGTCTCTGCCCTCTTAGTGTCTCTCTTTCTGCTTCTGCCTCCCTCAGTCAGTCACTCTGCTTCTCTCTGGATCTGAATGCAGTCCCCACAGTCTCCCTCTTCTTTGTCTTTCCATCTCTAGCTTCTCTATACTGGCAAGGTTCATGAAGATGTATTTCCAGGACACTTCATTTTGAAGGTTTCTGCCACAGACTTGGACACTGATACCAATGCTCAGATCACATATTCTCTGCATGGCCCTGGGGCGCATGAATTCAAGCTGGATCCTCATACAGGTGGGTTTCCTGAGCTGCAGGATCAAAACAAGAACTTCTTTACTGAATACCAAGTGCCCAGTGCCATGGTATTCTCCTTGGAGAAGAAACAGGAATTCACTCATCTATCAGCAAACATATATTGGCCCTATGTGCCAAGCATTGTACTGGGGACATAATAAATAGATTGATAAGACAAGATTTGGGCCTTTATAATCTAGTGGGAAAGGGGGTCATTGAATCAGTGGTTTTAAATGTGCTAAATTAAGAAAAAGTGCAGAATGCTAAGGGGATTTATTTTATTCTTTTAAAATTTATTTTAGCACAGCTGACATCTTGGTTTCTCCTTTCCTTCCCTCCCCTCCCCTCCCCTCTCCTTTCCTCTCCTTTCCTTTTTTCCTTTTCCTTTCTCCCTTTCCTTTCCTTTCGTTGTTCGTTGTTTCTTTCCTTCCTTCCTTCTTTTTTCTTTTCTTTTCTTTTCTTTCTTTTTTTCTCTTTCTTTTTCTTCCCTCTCTCCCTCCTCCTCCTCCTCCTCCACCACCACCATCGTCTTCTTATTATTCTCCTTTTTCTTCTTCTTCCTCCTCCTCCTCTTCTTCTTCCTCTTCTTCTTTCTCTCTCTCTCTCTTCTTTCTTTCTGTATTTCTCTCCCTCTTTTTCTTTCTGTCTTTCTGTCTTTTTGCTAGCTATGGGAATATTTGACAGCAGAACTTGACTTTGGCTACGGAGGATCTTAAGTAAAAGATCACTGAGGAAATGCCACTTTATGTGAGACTTGTGGACACAGAAGTGTTAGCCAGGGGTAAGAGAGTGGGGGAAAGGGCACTCAAGGCAGGAGAATTTATACAAAGACCTTCTTTGGGGAAATAGTACACACACTGAGGACCTGACAGAAGGCCAGAAACTGGTGCCCAGAGAGGGAGGAGAGAGGACAAAGAATGAGGCCCCAGGGTGGGCAGAGCCAAATCCCACCTTTAGAGCCACTGGAGGATTTAGGCAGGTGAGTGTCATGGCCAAGAACATGATCTCAAGGTATCTATGCTGCAAACCAGGGATAACACCTCATAGAATTGTTATAACACAGGTGAGAAAGCATATGGAAGCCTAGCCCAGGTCTGGCTCAGTGGATGGGTTGCCATTATCATTGTTACTAGCCAAGAGATAGAGCAGAGTGGGAAGCAGAGATTCCTGCAGGGTAGGCCAGGAGTAGCCAGGAGAGGCTGGGCTGTGAGAGTCTGGTGGAGTGGACTTCCTTTGGAAGAGCAGCCCACCTAGGAGGGATTCCTGCCCTGCTGCTGCAGGGGAGGGTGTGGAGATGGGCAGCACAGAAGGCCCAGGTCACAAGGGCCAGCTGCTGACATTTGGCTTGGGCCCAGTAGCTCACAGGATGACTTGGAGATACCTGAGCAGGGGGTGGCAGGGGAGAAGGGTGTCGCAGGAAGCTGTCTGGGTAGATAGGGGACAATGCTGTCCTTCCTAACCCCAGCAGGGACAGGCAGAGGGACCCAGGCAGGTTATTTAACCTCTCTCTGCTGCTCTTTGTTCAGCTTCAGGATGATCAGTAAGGACTTTAAAAAATGGCGTTTTTTTTTCTGAATATGGAAATAATACATGTTCATGGTATAAAATTGAAGCAATGTAGGTATGTATTATGCAGAAACTGGAACATCTGCATGATAACCCCTTCCTCCACAGATAAGGACTCTTGGTATATATTCTATCTGACTGGTTTTCCATGCATCTCCAAAATCTCTATATAATTACTTCATGAAAGTAGAATACTATTTGTAACTTGCTTTTCTTCACTCAGCAGTATCTCAAAGCTCTATCATAATTCATTTTTGGTTATATGGTGTTTCGGAAAAACCTCTCTCAAACCAGGTTTTTCCTCTGCTCTCACACCACACCAATCATCAGCAAAGAAGACTTCTGTGACCAAATGTGTGTGGGTTTTCCCCATACAACAAGCAGCGGAGACCCCTCAGGTGTCCTCTAATTCAATTCCAACACTATCTACCTGGAGATAGTGTCAGATCCCATGGGTTTAGGGCTCTGTCCACAAGACTCTACCCCCTTACCCAGACACCAGTTGCAAGTCCAGGCCTCCAGAATGTCTGACCAACCAGCTTCAAGTTGGGGCTCCCACGACTCCTTCTTTGGGTTCGATTAATTTGTTGGGACAGCTCACAGAACTCAGAAAAACACTTGTGTTTACTGGTTTATTATAAAGGATACTGCAAAGGATACAGGTGAAGAGAGGTGTAGGGCGAGGCATGAGGAAAGGGGCTCCCATGTCCTCCCTGGGCGCACCACCCTCCAGGAACCGCCCTGTGTTCAGCTATATGGAAGCTCTCGGAACCCAGTCATCTTGGGTTGTTATGGGAGCCTCATGATGTCAGCATTATTTCCCCCAGGGTATAAGGCAGGAGACTCTCTGGGGAGGGTCTTAAAACCCACAATTAGAAAAGGGGGGAAAGATGGGAATCTTGCTTTGGGGCAGGTGAAAGGAGAGCAGGAGAAGGTCAAAGAGATTGTGCTTCCTGAGGCCTAACATAACACACCCAACATTATAACAAAAGAGTGTGTAACAAGGGCTGTGGGAGTTACGGGCAGGAGCCATGCATGAAAACCAAGATACACTTATAACACCACACATGGTGTTTTACTGTGTGGCTAAATCATAATATACTTAACCAGTCCCTTTTTGAAAGACATATAGGATGATTTCAATAGTTGCTATTATAAACAGTGCTGCAGAGAATATCCTTATACATAGATTTTTATCTTTGGGTTGATTTTTCTATAGAAAATGTATACATATATATATATATATATATATATATTTTCCTAGAAGTGGAATTACGAACCAAAGGATAAATGCATTTTATATATTGTTAGAAATTGCCTAATTGGCCATTAAGAATATACCTATTTTTAGCTTGTTGATGATGATCTTAAACTGGCAATGTGATGAAGTGTGTTTGGGAGAATCAGGGAGGAGAATGGGTATGGGGGGATACAGGCTTAGCTGCTTTCCTGACTGTATTGACCCCTCCTTGCTGTGAACAAAACTCTGTGTGGCTGGGTTTGTCTCCTGTAGATATATAGAGGGCACATGCTTGGGTAATATTTCCCCAGAGAAAGCTCAACTTTTGTCATTTCTCCGACCAGGGGAGCTGACCACACTCACTGCCCTAGACCGAGAAAGGAAGGATGTGTTCAACCTTGTTGCCAAGGCGACGGATGGAGGTGGCCGATCGTGCCAGGCAGACATCACCCTCCATGTGGAGGATGTGAATGACAATGCCCCGCGGTTCTTCCCCAGCCACTGTGCTGTGGCTGTCTTCGACAACACCACAGTGAAGACCCCTGTGGCTGTAGTATTTGCCCGGGATCCCGACCAAGGTGAGTCTGAGAAGGATTGAGGCCATTTCCAATGATCTCCTGGGTCACCTTGGGCAAGGGTTTGGTCCCCTTTGTGTCTCTCTAGGACTGGTAAGGGCGGTGCCTCCTTGTTGAGTCTGGGGACACTTAAAAGTAAAAAGTATTTATCCTCAAACTGCACACCTAAGTGCTATATGACAAATGATTTTAGCAATGTTTTGAAGCAGGAAAAAGGTATTTCAGCCTTATTGTTTCTCCCCTTCCACTTAGACCTGGGGACTTTTCAATACTGCCATTTAACCACAAAGGCATTTTTAAGTACAAACATTTAATCAGAAATATACCAATCAGACTTCTTCAATTCTGATTGATTTGCCTCAAGAAAGGAATTTTGGGTACCAACCCCAGTAAGCCCATTAAATTCCTTGATCAATTTTCTGAAGAGTGAAGTTGAACCCTTTTCAATATTTTACATTTTAACTCCATATTTTCATTGGAGTTAATTCTTTTTCTTTTAAAATTTACAAGGTAAATTGCATTCATTCAAACATATTTGTTCCATATTGTACCAATTATAGCTTATGCTACCACAAAGTGTTCTATTCTGATTGTATATACATACCTGCATGTATACATACATATATATAACTCATTAATGTGATATATATATATCACATATATATATGTATGTGTGTATGTATATATATATGTATATAACCTGTCCAATTTTCCTGAGTCAAATTTTATAATTCAGATAGGGTAAAAAAAATGCTCTCAGCATCAGAATAGCCAGGTCAACACAGGAAAATGATGATGATAAAAGTGGGATCAAAACACCCTGCTCTGTTTGACACCAGCAGGGTAAAATTAAGATTTCCTAGAGAAAGTGAGTTTTAGCTTGGCATTGAAGGAGGTGAGATATTCGAGGGATGTAGGGGTTCTAGGGAGGGCAAACAGTCAACACAAAGGCAGGGTGGCTGGACCTGGAAAGCGTGTGTGTGTGTGTGTGTGTGTGTGTGTGTGTGTGTGTGTGTGTTGGAGATAACAAGTGCAAGTGGAATAGACTTGCTTGAGATACAGAAATGGGTTTGATAGGAGAGATCTGGAATACATCAGAGCTGGAGTGACCCATAAGCCATCTTATTTACGTCTCCATCTAATGGCTGCAAGGCTCTGTAAGTGCTCCATTAGCCACTGCTTACACACCTCCAGGGACAGGATGCTCCCTACTTCCTAAGCAGCCCCTTCCTTCTATGGTTCCTCAGGCCATTATCAAGTGGGACATCTGTCATTCCTGGTCCTGCCCTCTACAATCACACAGATCTCCTAGATAGCTCCTAGAGTGGCCTTATATCAACTTACCATTAATCTTTCCAAAATGGTTATTCCAACCCAAATATTTCAACTAAATAATCCAGGTGTGGTTTGACCAGCATCTCTCTGTCTCTAGAAAAATTATGGTTTCTTCATATAAGTGCCAATATGGGGAAGTTGCATGGCATGTGCATTTAATGGATATAAATTCAACTCTTCTCAGAGGCTACTCCTGTCACCATTCCACCAGAGAAGTTTGTGTTCCACGTGTGTGGGAGACGTGAGACCCTTAGGCTCAGGGCGTGTGTTCATCTCACTGGGGGAGGACCTCACAGCCGAGCCTTAAATGTTGGTGTTTTTCCTACACTATGGCCAACTGCTTCATCTGGTACTTAACCAAAGAAAATAACAGAATTGGAGACAAAGCTGGAGAAACACTGTGTGTTTTGATTTACTAAGAACTTCCATGGGTGTTTTCTTAACTTTTTATGTTGACGTAATTATAGACTCCATAGGAAGTTGCAAAAATAGGACTGGTGGGGACTGTGTGCCCTCTTCATGCAGCTTCCCTAATGGGAGCATCTTACATAGCAGTAGGATAATATCAAAACTGGAAAACTGACATTGGTCCATTGTTGGTAACTAGACTACAGCCTTGCTACTCAGATTTCACCAGTTTCTGTATGCACTCATTTGCGTGTGTGTGTGTGTGTGTGTGTGTGTGTGTTTGTACACGCACACTTAGTTCTATGCAATATTATTCCATGTTTAGATTCTTGTAACCAACACCACAATCAAGATACAGAGCTGTTCTATCTCAGTCAAGGAACTCTCTATGGGTGGTTTTATCTGCATATTTTTCATTAATAAACTGATATTAGACCCTAATCCCCACATAATATTTTCGGATAGTTTGATAGATTTGCAGATTAGGTTCCCCCAAAAGCATTTTAGTGAGGCCTTGGGTCTCCCTGCCCCAGTCAAGACACCCCGCTGGAGAGACCCTCACTCTTCATATACCCAAGCCAGCTTGTCCGCCTTCATGGGAGCCCCTCCCCAGCCCCTCCTGTGGCTGCAGGGTTTGCTGCAGGCAGGTCCAGAGGAGGCGCCCTCAGTGTGGATCACACCCTTGGTCTCCCTGCCAGGCGCCAATGCCCAGGTGGTTTACTCTCTGCCGGATTCAGCCGAAGGCCACTTTTCCATCGACGCCACCACGGGGGTGATCCGCCTGGAAAAGCCGCTGCAGGTCAGGCCCCAGGCACCACTGGAGCTCACGGTCCGTGCCTCTGACCTGGGCACCCCAATACCGCTGTCCACGCTGGGCACCGTCACAGTCTCGGTGGTGGGCCTAGAAGACTACCTGCCCGTGTTCCTGAACACCGAGCACAGCGTGCAGGTGCCCGAGGACGCCCCACCTGGCACGGAGGTGCTGCAGCTGGCCACCCTCACTCGCCCGGGCGCAGAGAAGACCGGCTACCGCGTGGTCAGCGGGAACGAGCAAGGCAGGTTCCGCCTGGATGCTCGCACAGGTGAGAGCCTGATCCACCAAGCCCCAAAGCATCGCGTACAGGGTTTCTGGGAGCGCTGGGTTCCTCCCCTGTGTGGGTATCTACCCTGTGCAGCGCCTCCCAGAGCAGACCTCCTCTGGTCGTTTCTCCATTCTCTTCTGCTTCTCTCCGAGTACCAGGTCCCTCCTTCCACCCTGGGGCCAGCTTATGTGGGAGCCTCCCTTAAACGGGACCCTCCCACGTCCGCAGCCAGGTCTCTGTGTCCAGGACCCTCAGTGATCCACTCTCCTCCCACACAGTTAGCGGCTTCATGGTCTCAGCTCAGGCCCAGCGCAGGAGGCAGAAACGGCTTGGCTGCAGAGGCAGGGAGCCCTTGCTGGAATCTGGGGCTTAAGCAACCCTGGACAAGGCTGCCTGCTTCCCTCCTGGAGTCCCCACATCCACTCCAAACATCCTGGCACCCCTTAATTTTCCCTTATTCTCTTGAAGAGAGAGAGAACTAGGAAACCGTCTCACTTCTTTCCTACTAGCCACAGAAGACTCAAAGTCAGGTTCACAGAAACTCACCGAAGGGCCTCAGAGGCCACCCAGGTCAGCCTGTGTCTCACACAGATTCCTCCCCATGGCTCCCCTGGAATGGTGCTCTCTACCTCCCCAAACAGCTGCCTTATCATTGAGCAATATTTTTTAAAATTTACCATGGAGATTTTGAACATATTAAAAAATAGAATAGTACAATGAGCCCTGTGTTCCCACCACCCAGCTTCAGTAATCATCTGCAGAGACCAGCCTGGTTTCCTCTTTACCCTTTGGCCCCTACATCCATCCAACCGCAGACACTGTGTCATTTCACTTGTAAGGACATCAGTGTGTATCTCTGTATAATAAGAACTCCTTTTCTAAACAAAACCACAATACCTTATCACACCTAAAAGATAACAATTTCTTAATATCACCAGGCCATTTTTCAGATTCTCATAAATGTCTTTTCGAAACTGGTTTGTTAGTATCCCCAAAACATCTACATACTGAATTTGGTTGATATGCAAGATTTTAAGTGTCCTTTAATCTCTAACATTTTCTTCTTCCTCTTTATTTCCCCCTGCCATTTATTTAATGAAACAGTTGAGTCATGTGTCTAATAGAATTTTCCATCGTTTGGATTGGTTGGCTCTTTATAGTGTCATATAGCATATCCCTCAGGTCCTTGTATTTCCTAGGAATGACATTTGGATCAAAGGCCTTGATCAGGTTTAGTTGACAGTGCTTGATCAACACAGTGCCTCACAGATGATGCTATGCTGTTTGCATCATGTCTGGACGCACATAAGAGCTAACTGGCTTTTTTTTTTTTTTCTGGTGTTAAGATAGATGGTAAGTTCAGGTGTTGTCAACCTGATCCATTATATATGAATATATAGTTATAATTTGGGTATATAAGGCCATTATAGACTTCTTCATCAGCCTTTCTTCTAATGGTTTTAGCAGGCTTTGCTAATCATTTCCTAGATAGATATACCTTTTCATTAAGGGCTGTAAAATGGTGATTTTCTAATCCTATTACTCCTCATTATTTTCTGACTGAATTATAAAAAGATGTTCATTGGCATGTGATGCTGTTGAAAGAAAAATAAAATAAAACAAAAAGCAGAGTGTCCACCATTAACTATTTGGTTAGCCGGGAAAGGCAGGATAAATCCTTGTTCTTTTATTTCTTTTTTCCAGTTTTCAGAATAATAACCTATGCCCTAACAATTTGTGGGCAACTTTGAGTATTAATGAATCTCATTTTATGCCCTGAGGTCTGTCATTTACTAGCTGGGTGAGGTTGGACAAGTCACTTGCCTATTAGAGCATCTAGGTCAATGGACTGACCTAGAAAATGGGAATCATAATTGTCCCTGCTCCACAGGGTTTTTATAGATCTCAATGAGATAAATTTAGCATCACACATTTAAATGAGATTTAAATCAAATATTACAGAAGTAAGTGAGGGAAACATAGCTGTTGTGAATAATAATAAAGAAAAATGAGGGAGATGATGGGGAAGGGGGTCAAGGGGATAGCAAAGGGAGATGGATGGGGAGATGACAGAGGACACTTACCTTGCCTAGCCCTGTTGAGCTGCCTCTCCTAGGGCTGGGCTCAGACCCTCAGTCCTGCGCCTTTGAGGGCCCAACTGCCTCATTGCTGCTGTCACCTCTTGCTTCTTCAGGGATCCTGTATGTCAACGCAAGCCTGGACTTTGAGACAAGCCCCAAGTACTTCCTGTCCATTGAGTGCAGCCGGAAGAGCTCCTCTTCCCTCAGTGACGTGACCACAGTCATGGTCAACATCACTGATGTCAATGAACACCGGCCCCAATTCCCCCAAGATCCATATAGCACAAGGGTCTTAGAGAATGCCCTTGTGGGTGACGTCATCCTCACGGTAAGGATCTGCCACCTTGCTCTTTGTGGGACAAGAACTCTGGGATGGGTTCTTATCTCACCCCCACACCCAGCCATCTATGAGCATGGATTAGTTTATTAAGTTAATACACTGTAGACTTGACTCTGACTTGTCAGAGGTTTATGTGAGATTTGAGTATGGCCAAACAATGCTCGGCCAAACTATCTCTCCTGAGAGAATGTCTCAGAGCCATATGATAAGATCAGAGACAATGGAATGGGGCATGGGATAGGCGAGGTTTGTTAGGAGAAGAGAGAAAAAGAGACAGACCCCAGAGGACTGCCAGAGGCTCTCAAGCCTGGGAAGGGCCTGGTCATAGCGGGTGACGTGGAATGACAGTTGTGGGGCAGGGACTGAGGGGACACCAAATAATACCTCTTTGCATTTAAATATGCAATAACTCCCTCATTCAATGGAGTGAAACCCAGTTCTGTCCACCCATACTCCCACACTCTTCATCCCACCTTCCAGTCTCTCCCTCCACTCCCTGCTATGGTGCACCCTATGCTCCAACCACACAGGAATATCTACCTTTCCCCAAAACATCGTCTGCACTTCCACACTCTGGGCTCACAGTATTTCCTCTCCTGGATTGCCTGCTCCAGCCCCGAAAGAACCTCCTGATCCTTCAGGGCTTCATGAGTCCTTTTCTAATCTCCCCAGTGTAATATATCACTGTGTGCTCTTATAAGGCTGATCATACTTTACTCCAAATTAGAATTACCCATAAAATTAGACATTAAACTTCCTGCAGGCATATTCATTTTAGCACATTCCTCACATTCTAGGACAGGGCCTAGCATGCTGTTAGCAAGAGTGAATGGTGAGTGAATGAATAAACCATGGCATGCTGAAGTCCACACGAGGATGTAAGTGAAGAGATTACTTTGGCAGGGACAACTGTGATCCAGGCACTGCTAGCCCAAAGGCAGTCACTGGGGCAGGGACATATCTGTTTCCCCCTGTACTCCCAGGGGTCAAGATTCCTGTCCCTCCATTCACAATCCCCCTACCCCACCGCAGGTATCAGCGACTGATGAAGATGGACCCCTAAATAGTGACATTACCTATAGCCTCATAGGAGGGAACCAGCTTGGGCACTTCACCATTCACCCCAAAAAGGGGGAGCTACAGGTGGCCAAGGCCCTGGACCGGGAACAGGTGAGTCATGTGGGAGGGGCGCACCCTGAGCTCATTAGAGCAGAGACACAGTCCCACTGCAGGTCCAGAAGATGAATCGCTGTCAAGACCCCATCCTGAAACTTCCTCAGACCTTCCCAGAATGTCTCTCACTTGTTTTCTCTGTGGGGCCTCTGTGGACTGTGAGGCCAGAGGCAGGAGAGGGACTGAGTGACCCCGTAACCTTCCCTAGAGGACCTCAGGTGGCTTCTCACAATTGAGTAGGGATCATTAGATCATTATAAAATAGCCACATTTTTTGAGCACCCACTGTGTGCCAGACACTTTCCTAAATGTTTTATAAGGATTTATGCCATTTGATCCTCAAAATAATTTAAGGAAGTGCATCCTGACATTATCCTCACATAAATTCATTCACTTTCCCAAGGTCTCATTGCCAGCAAATGATTGAGTAGGGAATCACACCTATTTCTGTCTGACTCCAGAACCTAAGCCCTAAAATGCTACGGGTGGGCAGTGGGGGTGGGCATAGGAAAGTGTCTCCTTCTTATTTTTTTTGAAAATATTAGTGATGACTCAGGGGGCAGAAGTGAGGGACAGCTACCTCATTGCTAACCTCCACTGGACATTTTGCAATAGGCCTCTAGTTATTCCCTGAAGCTCCGAGCCACAGACAGTGGGCAGCCTCCACTGCATGAGGACACAGACATCGCTATCCAAGTGGCTGATGTCAATGATAACCCACCGAGATTCTTCCAGCTCAACTACAGCACCACTGTCCAGGTAAGCTTGAGCCTCCAAGGCACCCTGAGCCCTTCCTCCCTTCATTTCCCTTCTAGCAGAAGATGCCCCTCAGTGGCATTAGTCCACATGAACAATGACTGTGACTTTGCCACTGATGTCCCCAAAGGCAACACAGACTGCTGGAGGGCATTATAGAATTGAAGGGAATCAGGCACTGTGTTAGGCACTTTCATATCCATTACCTCATTTGAGACTCATAACAGCCATATGAAGTAGGTAGTACCCATTTTACAGATTTAGAAGATTGAGGTATGAAAACATGCCATACCTGGAATGTGGCAAACTTGGGATTGAACCCCAGGGATTTTTTTGTTTGTTTCCAGAACCCAAGCTATTCCCTACTAATGGTTTGCAAATAGGATTTGGAGAGGGCCTTGGGATTCTATGAGTAATTTTCAGGGCTGTAAGTGGTGAAGGGAGGTGAGGGAGTGAATAAAAAGGCAGAGTTCTGGGTCCTACTATGCATTACCTAGGGCTGTTCCACTTTTACCTGTTTTATATATTATGGGTATGGGTTAGGATGCTTTGGCTGCAAATAATAAGTTACCTGACTAAAAATATCTTTTCTGAGAATATCGCCAGTCCACATCTGAACCAAAGCAGGATTTTATAAGAAAGGAACAGAGAATGTCTGTTGGATAGGCAACGATCAGTTTCTGCCCATTAGATTCTGTTTGTGATGCTAAATAGTTAGCAACCATTGTGTTATAGTATACTAAATGCCCATGTTATACAACAAAGGCTAAAATGATACTCAGGGAATCTGGTTTTTCTTATTAAATTCCTAGTCATCTTTAAGTGTGCTTATCAGATACATATTGCATGCAGGTCCTCTAAGGAAGAAATCATTTATAAGTGTTCAATTGGCTTTGCAAATCGCAACATTCCCTTATGTAATCCAGGTAATAACTAATTTAAATACATGATTCAGCAGTGTGTGATCTTGAGCAAGTCATCTCTCTACAGAATAAAGGGTTTAACCTTTGTTCTCTAAGGATCCTTCCTGCCCCAATGGGCTGTGTTTCTAAGACCCAACATTGCCCTTGGGGAGCTCCTGGTCTAGACAGCAAAGTCAACAACTACCTCAAAGGCAGGCAGAATGAATGAGCAGCAGCTTGATGTCCAGGCACCATCTACAAGCAGTCAGAGTGCTGAGGACTCATTCCAGATGACATACCCAGACACGTGCGAAAGGAAGGACCGGGACTCATTCTGCTCTTTGCCTTCTTTGTCACTCTCGGTCTCAGGAGAACTCCCCCATTGGCAGCAAAGTCCTGCAGCTGATCCTGAGTGACCCAGATTCTCCAGAGAATGGCCCCCCCTACTCGTTTCGAATCACCAAGGGGAACAACGGCTCTGCCTTCCGAGTGACCCCGGATGGATGGCTGGTGACTGCTGAGGGCCTAAGCAGGAGGGCTCAGGAATGGTATCAGCTTCAGATCCAGGTGAGAGCTGTGCTAGGCTTCTGGTGGTGACCATGGGGACAGTAAAGATGCTGGCAAAAGCCCCACCAGTGCTTCTGTCATTAGGGAAAAAATGTACAAAGCACTTAGGATGCATCAGGCACTGGGCTAGGTCCTTCTCAGGACTAAAGCCTCATAACACTCAGGGCAGGTATAGTTACCACCCCGCTTTACAGATGAGGAAACTGAGGAACACAGGGGATTTAAGTGACTGGCTTAAAGTAATACTGGTAATAAGTGGCAAAGGTGGGTTGCTTCAAACCCAAGCACTCTGACCCCAGACTCCAAATTCTTAATCCCTGCTCTGTGCCTGGGCAAAACACCCTCTGGCTGTAGCTCCTAGAGCTTAGCCAGAACAGCTCTCTGAACCTCAGGAGCTAAAACAACCTACCTCAGAGAACTGGCTTGGGGCTCAAGTGAGATATTGTATGCACATGTGTGTAGGGGATTCTGGTGGTGGTGTTATGGGTTTCATAGGAATTGCTAAAGAACAGTGGCCAAGATGGTGGTCTGATATCTCTCCCTCACTTTATTTCTCCAAATCTCTTTCCTAAATCTCAAGTCCAGTGGACCCTACTATTCTGTAAACTTATGGGCTGGGAATGATGTATTCATTCTTTCAGTCAGTCAGTCCATCTCTCGACAAGTATTTATTGAGCATCTACTACATGCGAGGCCATTTGCAAGCTGCTAGGAACATAGCAGAGGGTAAGGAGGGAATGATTCCTGTCTCCAGGGGCTTTCCATTGTAATCATGGAGATAAACAATAAACAGATAAAGAAAGAAATAACATCTTTACAAATGATGATAAGGAAGTAAAGTGATGAGAGACTCATAAGACAGGGGGACACACATTCAGAGGGAGGCTGCCCCCAGGAGGTGACATCTGAGCAGAGAGCCAAGCTGCCAACCATGTGAAAAGTGGGCAGGAGAGTCTTCCAGGCAGGAAGAGCAACATGAGTTGGGAAAGAGCCTGAAGTGGCTTGAGGTATGGCTGAGGTACTGAGAACATCATGAGCAGGGGTGGGAATGAGGCTGAGGAGATAGGCTGGGTAGATCATGTGGGCCTTGTGGCTTGGATGACTGTATTATCTGAGGTCCAAACTGTGATCTTTGAGAGTGAGAGAAGCACTGACTTAGTCCATTTGGGCTGCTACAACAGAACACCATAGGCTGGGTGGCTTAAAGGACAGAAATGTATTTCCCACAGTTCTGGAGGCTGGAAGTCCCAGATCGGGGTGCCAGCATGGCCAGGTTCTGGTGAGTGCCCTCTTCTGAATGGCAGACTGTCGGCTTCTCATTGTATCACATGGCCCTTCTCATAAGGGCCCTAATCCCATTCACAAGGGCTCCACCTCCAAATACTGTTACACTGGGGATTAGATTTTAACATATGAATTTTGAGGGGACACAAACATAGAGTCCAAAACAGGCACTAAAAATAATACTTGGTAGTAGCTGATTTACAACAGGTAAAAATCAAGACTGTCCTTGACAAACCAGGGCATCCAATCTTCTAAGTATAAGCCTTGGTAACACTTTTAGATTCTAATCTAAGTACAATGAGAGGTGGTTGGAGGGTTTCAGACGGAAAAGGGATCCTCTTTGTGTCTCAGGAAGCTCATTTTTCAAGCTCTATAGAGTGGGTGAGGGAGACCAGTGAGAAGTCATCCAAGCTGGAGATAGTGGGGCTGAGACCACGGAGTGATGGAGAAGATGCAGGAAGCGGAGAGATTTCGGACATATTTTGTATGTAAATTGATAGGAGTTGGTGGAGTGGATGTGCAGTTAGAAAGAACAGAGACGATTCAGGGGTGATTTCTAAATTGTTGGCTCCCATGAAGACTTCGGTGGTAGTGCATTTATGAGACTGGAAAGGCCCAGACGGGAAGGCAGGACAGGTTTATGGGCTAAACCGAAGCTCTGTTTTGCACATTATTTCCCAGTTGTTTGTGAGACATCCAAGCAGAGGTGTCCAGTGGGTAGCTGGGAATTGGAGTTGGCAGCTCAGAGGATTGGTAGATGGCCCTCAAAGCCAAGAGCATGGATGTGATTGCCTAGGGAGAGATGAGAGAGAATGGCTTCCTGACCTCTGTATTCTCAGACCCAGGCACACGTCCTGCCTAGACAGGAGCTTAGTAATGACTGGCATCATCACCATCAATTGCATTGGTCCCGTACTTCCACTTCCATGCACTGGGAGGCACCATAGGCCAGCAAAGAAAAACACAGGCTATAGACACAGATAGGTATTCAGATTCTGCTCAGGCCTTATCTGCTGCTGTATGACCTTGGGCAAGTTACTTCACCTCTTTGAGCCTCAGTTATATTTTTTGTAGGATGGGTGACTTGATAGTACCTATCTCATAAGAAGGATAAACTAGGATAATGTATTTACAGCATTATCATAGTTTATCTATGATAATGACTAGCATTGTACTCAGTTAATGTTAGCTATGTATTATATATAATCGGTAGTAGTAGTATTGTTGTAACTAATGTTAGCTATACATTATAATTAACAGTAGTGTTAATTATTATTGTTGCTATTAATATCTCTTCGGTGTTATGCATGACTTCCAGCAGTAGGTGTAATCTTATCAACTTTCTTGTACATTAAAAGTGTTGGAGTGCAGGTGAACAAGATATTACTACAGGGAAAATTGTGGAGACCCTCGTTGACAGCTGAGGAAGTGATAACATCACTGAGGAGAAGAAGGCAAGCCTGTCCTTTCTAAGTCAGGCAGGAAGTTGCAGGGATGTGTGGTGAAACATGAAAGGAAAATGCGTTTATGATTTACATTCTTTTCCCTACTTAAGTGAGGTCCTGTCACCCTCACGGCTTTTCACAGTTCTGACATTAACTGCAACCCTGCGCGTGCCAGCCCATCAGTGAGGTCAGGCCTGCTTCCCTGCCCACTTGCTCCAGCACCAGTGACCCCGTCTGTGCTGTTGAACACACCGCCTTCATTCCTACCCCAGGACCTTACACTTGCTGCTCCCTCTGTCTGTCGCCTCTTCTTCTCATCCCTCAGGACTCAAATGTCACTCCACAGAGACTCCTTCTCTTCTACCTGATCAAAGTTAGGTCTCTGTTTATTTCCTTCCCAGCATTTTATCCAAGTTATTTGGTAACTTATTTATTGTCTCTTTTCTCCTGGCCACAGCAGAAGACTTCGTTGACTGACTAGAAGGACAAATCCCGACTCCCACTCCAATCGCATAGCAAAAGGGAATCCCAAGGGGAATTTTCGTAGGCTGAGCAGGGTGCATGGTGCATCAGAATTGCTGAGACATCTGAGGGCGCCCTTGAGGACAGGGACAGAATGAGAAACTTCATGAGGAAGTTAGCCCAAGTCTATGGCTGGAGAGATTTAGGAAGAGGCTCAGAGAGATGTCACATGAGGAAACTGCATTGTTTTACTGCATGGTATAGGATGTAACTCCCTCCTTCAATCTCTACAAAACCTTCAGAAAATCTTTCTTTTCTGTCAGTGCTTTTGGAGTTAGGTTTTTTTTTTCTAAATGCAACAATGCGCTGAGCCAGCCCTCAAGTTGGGCGTGGGGCAGAGAAACGTAGCTCCACAAGGAGGCCCAGCCTCAGTCGGGCGCAAGAGCACTGCAGTTCTGTTGGGTGACAGCAGTGTTTGTTTTGCCCACAGGCGTCAGACAGTGGCATCCCTCCCCTCTCGTCTTTGACGTCTGTCCGTGTCCATGTCACAGAGCAGAGCCACTATGCACCTTCTGCTCTCCCACTGGAGATCTTCATCACTGTTGGAGAGGATGAGTTCCAGGGTGGCATGGTGGGTAAGATCCATGCCACAGACCGAGACCCCCAGGACACGCTGACCTATAGCCTGGCAGAAGAGGAGACCCTGGGCAGGCACTTCTCAGTGGGTGCGCCTGATGGCAAGATTATCGCCGCCCAGGGCCTGCCTCGTGGCCACTACTCGTTCAACGTCACGGTCAGCGATGGGACCTTCACCACGACTGCTGGGGTCCATGTGTACGTGTGGCATGTGGGGCAGGAGGCTCTGCAGCAGGCCATGTGGATGGGCTTCTACCAGCTCACCCCCGAGGAGCTGGTGAGTGACCACTGGCGGAACCTGCAGAGGTTCCTCAGCCATAAGCTGGACATCAAACGGGCTAACATTCACTTGGCCAGCCTCCAGCCTGCAGAGGCCGTGGCTGGTGTGGATGTGCTCCTGGTCTTTGAGGGGCATTCTGGAACCTTCTACGAGTTTCAGGAGCTAGCATCCATCATCACTCACTCAGCCAAGGAGATGGAGCATTCAGTGGGGGTTCAGATGCGGTCAGCTATGCCCATGGTGCCCTGCCAGGGGCCAACCTGCCAGGGTCAAATCTGCCATAACACAGTGCATCTGGACCCCAAGGTTGGGCCCACGTACAGCACCGCCAGGCTCAGCATCCTAACCCCGCGGCACCACCTGCAGAGGAGCTGCTCCTGCAATGGTAAGTACTACATCTTCCCTAGGGACGAGCAGCACTGCTGGGCTCAGCCCGCCTGACTCTAAGCATGGAGATTCCACTGAGGCTCTGTGGGAGAGTTCAGGGAAGTTTTAATAAGCCCAAAGGCCACCAATCACCATAAGACGGCTAGTGGCCTCACAAAATCTAGTTATGGAATAATACCCAATTCTCAGCTCCCTTTCGAGATTTAGAAAATAACAGTAAGACTACAATATGTGGTTTAACATCATGGCTAAGAGCATAGGCTGTGGCTTCAGTCTTCATGGGTTAAAATCCCAGCTCTACCCCTTACTAACCAGGCGACTTTAGGAAAATTAACCTCTCTGTGCCTTTGAGCTGGGCTGCTGTAGGAATTACATCAGTACTATGTATCAAGTGCTTGCTTAGAACAGTGCCTGACATATAGAAAGTGGTCAATACATGTGAGTTACTAATACTGCTACTATTATTACCATAGTCTGGTGGTTATAAGCTCAAGGCTTAGACTCAGACAGCTCAGGTTCAAACCCTAGCTCCATCAGTCACTAGCTGTGTAACTTTGGGTGTATTGTTAAAACCCTCTGAGCTTTTTAGTTTCCCATCTATAAAATAGTCAAAATAAATACATCTGCCTCCTGGAGTTGGGTTCGGGGGGGAAATTACGTAAGAGTTATAAAAGCACTTAACCCATGGCTGGCCCACAATAAGCCCCAGATCAACGGTGACTGTCATTCCCGTGGTAGCAGTTGCTATAGGGAGCCTGCTGTACGCCACACTCTGTGTAGATGTCACCTAAACTAATCGGCACCACAGCCCTACCAAGCAGGGTCATTAGCCCCATCTGCAGTTGGAACTGAGATATGAGATTTAGTTTGCCTGAAATTGTACAGCTTCCAATGAAGGCCTCGTTATTCAAATATCTGTGTGTCCCACTCTAAAGCCTGAACTCTTCACTAAGCTCCTCAGGCACTCCAAGACTCACCCAGCATCCCTGGCATTAAGGCCAAGGGAGCAGCTCAGGAGCCTTGGCTAAAGGAAAGTGACATGACCTTCAGCTCACCAGCGCTCCTGCCTGGCCTGGCCTGACCTGCCCTTTATGGGTCCAGCTGCCTGGCATTCGGGATATCATTTCTCAGAAGATTTGTGGACTTTGTCCAGGGACCACTCGATTTAGGCTGGGTGGGCTTCTCTCTGTTGGGGAGAGGATTTCCTTCTCTGTGTTTCTTGCCCCAGGGCCTGCTTCAGGGAAAGCCAAGAAGGCTGAAGGGTCTCTCTCAGCCACCTGGCATCAGACAGCAGGGGTTCTAAAATTCAAGATTTTGCAAAGTCTACTGGAGAGCGTGATTTTAAAGAGACATGCTCCTGGGTGTCACCTCCAGAGGTTTTAATTTAGAAGGTTCTGAGTGAGTCCTAGAATTGGCATTTAATTCTGAAGCAGCAGGTGCAAGGGCTTGCATTGAAGAAATACTAGATAAACTCATGGATCACCAGAATCAGTTGAAAAGAGGTTTTTTATTTTTTAACATTTTAGTGAAATATAAAACATACAGGAAACCAATTCATGTATCATAAGTACACACCTCAAATAATTTTTATAAAGCAAATATATCTGTGTAGCCAACGCCCAGATCAAGGAAAGAATATGACCACCATCTCAGAAGCCTCCCTTGGGCCCCCCTTCCAGTTGTTACACCCATGATGGTAAGATTTTTAAAATACATATTTCCACGTGCCACCCAGAACTACTGAATCAGATTCTCCGAGAGAACTTAGGATTCTGTGTCATAAAGATTCTCCAGCTGATCCTGATATCCAGCCGGGGTGGGAATTTCTGATCTAGATCATCTTCAATATCCCATCCAATAAGTACCTACTACAATGGAATTGCCAGTGTCAGGGAATTTTGGACTTGTTTGGATTTTTGTTTTTGTTTTTGAGATGAAGTCTCGCTCTGTCACTCAGGCTGGAGTGCAGTGGCACGATCTTGGCTCACTGCAACTTCCACCTCCCAGGTTCAAGCAAGTCTGCTGCCTCAGCCTCGTGAGTAGCTGGAATTACAGGCGAGTGCCACCATGCCCAGGTAATTTTTGTATTTTTAGTAGAGACGGGGTTTCACCACGTTGACCAGGCTGGTCTCGAACTCCTGACCTCAGGTGATCTGCCTGTCTTGGCCTTCCAAAGTTCTGGGATTACAGGTGTGAGCCACTGCGTCCAGCTGGAATGTGTGGATGTTATAATCCCTTGTGCCTCATCTTTTCTGGTTCTTTCTTCTCCTCCTTTTGGCTTTTGTTCTCTCTCTTCAACAATTCCTCTTTGCTAGGTATCTAGAGGCTGGACCGCTCATCCTCTCCCCTGACAACTGACAAGCTTATTTACACTGGGGTTTTGGGGATTTCATAGCTGGACTCACTTCTGGGGAGGGTGGATATTTTTTAAAATCTGGGGAGGGCAGTGCTTCCCAAAGGGGGTTCAACAGAATGCTATTCCCAAGAGTGGTCCACATAAGAGTGTCCCACAGTCAAAGATGCTTAAGAAACTCAAGTTTACTCCATACTATGCAACTGTGCATTAGCCATTGCTAAGGCGGGATGGAGGATGCCAGACTTTACAAAAGTTTTGGCCATACAGTCTATCACTGCCCCTCTCTCTTTATCATAGAGTGGCTCTTGACCTCTCAGCCGCATTTTATTGTTTACCTAAATGATTAACTCCTGCTCATACAAGGAACTATCCTGAGGCAAAAACCCTTGTGGGTCTAAAATCACACACACATGCAGTATCTACATTCCCAGTGTAGATTCCCAACACCAGAAATAACATGGAAACTATGTAGAATAAAAATTTTGATTTTCACACACTTGATTCATTACATTTCTGGCCTGATTTTTACTTTCTTTTAAAAATTATTATTATTATTATTATTATTATTAGAGACATGGTCTCTCTCTGTCACCCAGGCTGGAATAGAGTGGCAAGATCATGGTTCACTGCAGCCTTGACTTCCTGGGCTCAAGTGATACTCCTGCCTCAGCTGAGAGGATGTAATTCCAAGTAACTGGAGTTACAGGCATGAGGCACCATGCCTGGCTATTTTTATTTTTATTTTATGTTTTAGAGATGAGGTCTTGCTCTGTTGCCCAGGCTGGTCTCGAACTTCTGGGTTCAGGTGATCCTCCCGCCACAGCCTCCCAAAGTGCTGGGATTATAGGCATGAGCCACCTCACCTGGATGACTTTTGCTTTCTTAATGGTTTAAATTCATATTTCTTGACCCAGCCTGGGACCTAAGGCAGGGGTCCCTGCAGTCAACAAAAGGTAGGGTGAAGGCTCCTGTCTGGCTCTACGTGTGAGGCTAGAAAGGTATGGCACACCCCACACCCAGCCTAGTTTCTTCATGTATAAAATATGAGCAATGATTCTGTCTGCCACCCAAGGATTAAATAAGACAAAGTCAGTCCAAGGGCTCAATGGGGACCACTTCAAGTAGAGGTGACAGCTTTGGTTGCTTTCTCAGGTACTGCTACAAGGTTCAGTGGTCAGAGCTATGTGCGGTACAGGGCCCCAGCGGCTCGGAACTGGCACATCCATTTCTATCTGAAAACACTCCAGCCACAGGCCATTCTTCTATTCACCAATGAAACAGCGTCCGTCTCCCTGAAGGTAAGGCACTGCCAGCCTGAGAGATTTCATGTGGGTGTCCCAGGCTGGGGAGGTAGGGGGTGAGGCATGAGGAATGTCAGGAAGCCCATTTCTGCCAAAGAAATCCCTGCACAGTTTTCAGGGATTCTGGGTGTGACTGTTGGGCCACATGATTATCCTGTCCTGGATGGCCACAGCCACCCAACCTGGAGATATACGTCCAAGGACGGTCACAAGTGGGGCTGCTTACTCTGTGGGGTAAGATAGAAATGGAGATGGATGAGGTCAACTAGCCCTGGTGCCGTTATCATTTTTGCTGAGTAATAGGCCAGTGTTTCCCAGGGATGGGGGGATTGCTTACCACTGGGGGTGCTCAAACCCCATGGAATCACATGGAAGAAAAATAAATTTCCTTTGTAATAATCATTCAGTTATTTGGATTATGTCATGTGGAAGGTCACAGTCTGCCTGTGATTTTAACACCTCTATCACATATGCCAATCTACCATTTCTTTTTTCTTTTTTTTTTTTTTGAGATGGAGTCTCTCTCTGTCACCGAGGCTGGAGTGCAGTGGTGTGATTTCAGATCACTGCAACCTCTGTCTCCCAGGTTCAAGCGATTCTCCTGCCTCAGCTTCCCGAGTAGTTGGGATTACAGGCACACACCACCATGCCTGGCTATTTTTTGTATTTTTTAAGTAGAGATGGGGTTTTGCCATGTTGGCCAGGCTGGTCTCGAACTCCTGACCTCAGGTGATCCGCCTGCCTCGGCATCCCAAAGTGCTAGGATTACAGGCATGAACCACTGCCCTCAGCCCCAACCTACCATTTCAACAAAGAGAAAGCCAACTTTGGCCACTAGATTTTAATTCATTCAAAACAGATTTATTGAGCATCTACTATGTGACAGGCACTGTCCTAGGTGCTTGGGTCTCATCAGTGAAAAAGACAGAAATCCCTTTTAAAGCTTTTGTTCTATGGGGGAGAGACTGACAATAAACATAAACATAATAGCTCAGAAAATTATAGAATTTGTTCAAATGTGATAAGTATTATGAGCAAAAAGGAAAAAATGGAGGGGCATCAGGGGTGAGGAGAGTTGCAATTTTTATTTATTTATTTATTGAGACAGAGTCTCACTCTGTCGCCCAGGCTGGAGGGCAGTGGCATGATCTCAGCTCACTGCAACCTCTGCCTCCTGGGTTCAGGTGATTCTTGTGTCTCAGTCTCTGGAGTAGCTGGAATTACAGGTGTGTGCAACCACGCTCACTAATTTTTTTCTTTTGCGTCTTTAGCAGAGACGAGGTTTCACCATGTTGGCCAGGCTGGTCTTGAACTCCTGGCCTCAAGCGATCCACCCACCTTGGCCTCCCAAAGTGCTGGGATTATAGGCATGAAACACATGCCCAGCCGGAGTTACAATTTTACAATTTTAAATAAGGTGGCCAGGGAAGCTTTCATTGAGATAATAATTGAGCAATAATTTGGAGAGGGTGAGAAAGTTAGCTCTATGGACATCTGGAAGGAACAACATTCTAGATAGAGGGAATAGCAATGTGAAAGCCTTTTGGCAGGAGAATGCTTAGCATGTTTAAGCAATGGGTTGGAGTTCTACCTGGCTCCAGTGAAGTGGGTAAAGGGAACAGTAGGAGGAGGAGTTGGTCAGAGACGTAATGGGATGGGGCATATCTATGAAGGTCTTGTAGGACATTGTAAGGACTTTGGCTTTTATTCTGAGCAAAATGGAGGCATTAGAAGGTTTTGAGCAGATAATTGCAATGATCTATTTTAAAAGGGTCATCATGGCTTCTTTGTTGAGAATCGACTTTAGAGAAACAAAGATAGGAGCAGAGAGACCCAGTCAGGAGGCCACTGCAATAATTTGGATAAGAGAGGATGGTGGTTTAGACCAGGGTGATGACAGAGGAATTGGAAAGAAGATAGATTCTACAAAGATTTTGAAGGCAAAGCCAACAGGATTTCCCAGTGAATTGAATGAAGGGTGGGAGAGAAGGCAAGTAGTGAGATTTTGGCCTGGGCAACTGGAAGAATGGAGTTTGTGCCAGCAGGCCTGGGGAAGGGTATGGGTGGATACAAGGTTTGGGGAGGGGAGATCAGAGTGCAGTTTCGGATGTGTAAGTTTCAGATGCCCATTAGACCTCCAAGTGGATCTGGTAAGACAAGCCTAATGTTGTGAGGGGTCTATGCTGGAGATGGAGATCTGGGAGTCTTCAGCGCATACGTGGTACTGAAAGCCATGAGATGGGAGATCACCAAGCAATGTAGATTGAAGAGAGAGTAGGCCAAGGATTACTCCTTGAGACCCTCCAACATTAGCAGGTCTGGGGGAAGAGGGGATTCAACAAAGGAGACTGAACATGAGTAACCGGTGATGCTGGAGGAAAACCCAGGGAGTATTGTATGCAGGAAGCCAAGTGAAGAACACGTATCAAGAAGGAAGGAGTGATCTGTTGGGTGATCTGCTGCTGAGAGGCCAGTAAGATGGGAAGTGATTTGGCAACACAGAGATCATTGAATCCCCTGACACCAATGGTTTCCGTGTATGGTGGGTTGGGGTGAAATTTTGCGGAAAAGGGACAGGAAAGAAGGAAAATATCTGGCTGGAAAACTGAGGTGAAGACAACCTTTTTTAAAAAAATAAAGATTATCATCTGTAAAGAAGGTATATTTTTGAAAATAAAGATTAGAGCAATAACACCATGTGTGTATGCTGTGGAATGATATAGTGGTGAACGAACAAAGATGTAAGAAAGAGGAAGGAGAATCAGTAGACCCTTGAGGAGGTGAGGAGGTAGAATCTAGTGCATAAATGGAGAGATTGGCTTTAGCTAAGGTGGATAGATGTGATGGTGAAAGTGCCTGCAGGTTCCCCCATCTGATGATTTCAGTAGGATGTGAGATGATCAGCTGAGAGTGGGAATGAGGAGGGAGGCATTAGGGATCTCAGGAGAGAGACGTAGTGAAAACAGTCATCTGGAAGAACGGATGGACTCAGGAAGGGAGTGTGATTGCTGGGCAGCATTAAAGGCTCATTTGAGAGCCATGGTCATGAAATTAAAGAGAGGCTCGTGAGCAAAGCTGCACGTTTTTCTCCAGCCATGTTCTGCTCCATGTCTGTATAGAGCAGGTGGAGAGTTAGCTTTTTCCATAGTTGTGGGTTTACCAAGAGAGTTCTACGAAGTAAGAAAGAGATAGGTCAAGAGTATGTGAAGGGAGTAGTTAGGATGATTGACTATGGAACTTAAACTGGATAAGGAGAGGAACGAGGACATTACAGAGGTGGGAGACAATGAAAAGACGGTGGGATCAACAGATTTGTGGTCCCAGACAGATAAAAAGAAATGATTTCATTGCAATGTTTTACTTGAGTTGCATTCATTTTTGTTATCCCCCTTTCTTAAAGGCAAGTGTGTTGGTTTTCTATTTACCCTAATAATAGTGTCTCCTTTTTAAGTAAATAAAGGTATAGGTAGTATTCAACTGGGGCAAAAATCTGAGAGGTGGTCTACAGATAGCCAATGTATAAGAAACACTGGGTTAGATCTTCAAATTTCAACAGAGAAAACTCTACCTAGCCCAAAGTGACCAGAAAAGTATTTGGTCACAGGCAGTCCTACCTCTTGGGAATGAAGTGAATTAAAATGTTTTAACCCAGTGGTTCTCAGACTTTTTGACTTCAGGACTTTTTACACTCTTGAAAATTATTGAGGATTCCAGGGAAGTTTTGGTTATGTGGGTTATAACTATCAACATATTCAGTATTAGACATTAAAACTGAGATATTTAAAAATGTATTAATTTATTTAGAAATAATAAACTCACATGTCAACATAAATACCTTAATTAATTAAATAATTTTTTTCTTCCAATTTTTAGTTTAGTTTCGGGGGTACATATGCAGGTTTGTTATACGGGTAACCGATGTATCATAGGGGATTGGTGTACATATTACTTCATCACCCAAGGAATAAGCATAGTTCCTGATAGGTAGTTTTTTGTCCTTAACCTTCTCCCACCCTCTGCCCTCAAGTAGGCCCTGATGTCTATTGTTCCCTTCTTTGCGTCCCTGTGTACTCAGCATTTAGTTCCCACTTGTAAGTGAGAACATGTGGTATTTGATTTCCTGTTCCTGTGTTAGTTTGCTTAGGATAATGGCCGCCAACTCCATCCATGTTGCTGCAAAGGACATAATCTCATTCTTTTTTATGGCTGAATGGTTGTCCATGGTGTATCTGTACCATATTTTCTTTATCCAGCCCACTGTTGTTGAGCATCTAGGTTGATTCCATGTCTTTGCTATTGTGAAAAGTGCTGCAATCAACATATGAGTGTATGTCTTTATATATTTTTATGAAAAATAATTACTTTCCGAAAGAAAAAGGAAGAGTGGCATTGTTTTACATTTTTGCAAGCCTCTCTTTTGCCTGGCTTAATAGAAGATAGCTGGCTTCTCATATTTACTTCTGCATTCATCAGTTGTGACAACATGTGTCTCCAAAACTCTGTTGTATACTTGTGAGAAAACAAAGGCAAATCAACTCTTAGGATTACTATAAAAATACTTTGCCCTTGTGGCTTCCCTGAAAAGGTCTTGGGGACCTACTTTGAGAACTGCTAAGCTGTTGAATAAGGAAGTGGGAGTGGGAGACAGGTTTTTCAAATCGCTGAAGGCCAATATTCACAAGTGTGGAACTCTGGACAGGCCTGTGAAGAAGCATCCAAAATACAGGGTCTTGATCAGCAAAGCATCTCTCGGCCTCAGTTTCCTCATCTGTGAATGGAGATGTCACCCCCTACCCAGACCATCCCATGGGGTGTGGTGAGAACAAAGGAGACCATCAACACAAAAGCACTTTGAGGGTTTTTATGCTCTGCAAATGCCATGTCTAAAACAGCCAAACACCCCCCTCCTACCCATAAAAATACAAACAACATTCTTTGAACTGGCAGCCTCTTAGCAGGTTTACAAGGACTCCTTGGCTTTGCTGATGGCTGTTTGGATTTCCTTTGCAGCTGGCCAGTGGAGTGCCCCAGCTGGAATACCACTGTCTGGGTGGTTTCTATGGAAACCTTTCCTCCCAGCGCCATGTGAATGACCACGAGTGGCACTCCATCCTGGTGGAGGAGATGGACGCTTCCATTCGCCTGATGGTTGACAGCATGGGCAACACCTCCCTTGTGGTCCCAGAGAACTGCCGTGGTCTGAGGCCCGAAAGGCACCTCTTGCTGGGCGGCCTCATTCTGTTGCATTCTTCCTCGAATGTCTCCCAGGGCTTTGAAGGCTGCCTGGATGCTGTCGTGGTCAACGAAGAGGCTCTAGATCTGCTGGCCCCTGGCAAGACGGTGGCAGGCTTGCTGGAGACACAAGCCCTCACCCAGTGCTGCCTCCACAGTGACTACTGCAGCCAGAACACATGCCTCAATGGTGGGAAGTGCTCATGGACCCATGGGGCAGGTGAGGGCTGGGGTGCCAGGCTGAACCCAGGGTTTATCCCAGAAGGCTCTTCAGGTGGGAAAAGCATGTCAGGGTGGAGATCTCAGAGCCTCCTGGTTCCAAATTTCTCTCTCTTCCCCTAACTTGTGAGTAACAGGTTGGAATCTGCAATATCTAGACTAGGGGAAGCCAGGAGTCTTCCTTCCCTCTCAACAAAAACTATCTTTCTACTTCTGGGGGGATGAGGGAGGATATGAATGGGGACCTCAGGGGCAGAGGGTTGAATTAATCACATACCTTAGTGTCATCACTGGTCTATGCACAGTCTCCTTCTCATTCCCCTTTAACTTATATTCCACTCCCTTCCCCTTCCCTAACACTAGAGGCAAACATTTACAGTTTTTGAATGAGTTCTTGCAAAATACATGTTGTTTTTCATATGCTTGAATTTCCAATTTATATAAGTGGTATATGTTGTTTACGCTTTCGCTCAGCACCATATTTTTAAGATCTGTCAATGCTGCCATGAGCAATTCTCATTAATTGCTTCTAACTGTGGCTCAGTACTCCATGATGTACACGCACTCACATTTTCCCTCTCCACCCTCGCACTCCAAACACCCATCTCCATCATCAATGCTGCAGGGAGCATTCTCCTATATGTCTCCTTGTGAAGCTGTGTGAGAGTTTCCTTCACACACACACACCCGACACCCAGGGGTGGAAGTCACAGGCTCACAGTATGCAAATAATTATTTTGACTAAATAGGGATACATTGCTCTCAGCATGGCTATTCTATACATCACATGCAACATGAGCGGTTCCTGTGTACCCACATGCCTCTCAGCCATCTATTCTATACATCACACACAACATGAGAGGTTCCTATGTACCCACATGCCTGTCAACATGTGACATGCCTGTCAACACTTCGCATTACCCCTTTTTCTGATTTTTGTCTGGCTAATCATGTCATTTCTACCTGCAAAATATCCAAGGAATCCATCACTTCTCTCTTTCCCCATTGCTGTCCCTCTGTCCCAAGCCCCCATCACCTCTCACCCTGGCACCAGCCTCCTCCCTGTTCTCCAGCTTCTATCCCGGCCTTCCACCTTCCAGCAGGAGCCGGGGTGATCTTTATCCAGCACAGACCTGTGCATGGCACTCTTCTGCTGAGAACTGCTCAGTGGCCGCCATGCTGCTAGGATAGAGTCCCAATCCCTGCATGTGGCTCCTGCACCTCCCAGGCCATAGTTCAAACTCTCCCTGTCCCTCACCAGGCTGGCCCACCCTGGTGTGGTTTGAGTTCCTTGACCATGCCACACCCTTCCCTAGCCTTTGCACGCACTCTTCTCTTCCGCCTGAAACACCTTTCTCTTTGCCCTCTAGCTTCTTGCCTAGCTAATTTCTACTCATCCTTCAGATCTCAAATGAAATAGCTCCCAGATCCCTAGAGTAAGCTAGCCTCATCCCCCACCCCTCCCAGCATTTCCCTTCAATAAAATTAATTTTATTATAATTACTGAGATACTGATATTATAGCTAGCTGTCTAGGTTTGAACCCCAGCTTTGCCATTTACTGGCTTGAGCAAATTCTGTCCATTCTCTGTGCCTCCTTTCCTCATCTGCCATCCCTTTGTACCTGTCCCCTGATGAGGATGATGACAGTCACCAACCTCAGGGTCATCGTGAGGATCAAATGAGCCAACACAGGAAGATCCTTGGAACAGTGACTAGCACTAAGTTAGTGTCTATGGTTGTTATCCTGTTTATTACTGTTCTTTAGGTGACTGTTGTCTCTGGTGGGCTGTAAGCTGTTTGAGGGCAGGGACCAAAGTGCTCTTGGTTCAGCAGGGCACCAATGCCCAGCACGGTATTGGGCACAGAGGGGAGCAACCAAATAAATAAATGGTAACTGAACGGCTGCACAAACACACCAGTCTGCCAATGCCAGGTCTCCTTTAACTGCTAGGCCAGTGCGGTCTCTCACCTCCCTTCTTTTTCTCCTAGGCTATGTCTGCAAATGTCCCCCACAGTTCTCTGGGAAGCACTGTGAACAAGGAAGGGAGAACTGTACTTTTGCACCCTGCCTGGAAGGTGGAACTTGCATCCTCTCCCCCAAAGGAGCTTCCTGTAACTGCCCTCATCCTTACACAGGAGACAGGTAATCCCAGGAGAGGCCACCTGCCATGGGCTCCTTGTTAGGGAATGCGCTCTGTACTCTGACCTCTAGAAAGTCCAATGGGAGGCCAGGGGAGAGTGCTGCAGGGACCTGGCTTCTAGGCCTTTTCCATCTGTTAGGGCAGTGGTCCCCAACCTTTTTGGCACCAGGGACCGGTTTCATGGAAGACACTTTTTCCACGGACCAGGCAGGAGAAACGGGAGATGGTTTCAGGATGATTCAAGCACATGACATTTATTGCACACTTTATTTCTATTATTATTACATTGTAATATATAATGAAGTAATTATACAACTCACCATAACGTAGAATCAGTTGGGAGCCCTGAGCTTGTTTTCCTGCAACTAGACAGTCCCATCTGGAGGTGATGGGAGACAGTGACAGATCGGGCATTAGATATATGCTCCTTATAAGGAGCATGCAAACTAGATCCCTTACATGCACAGTTCACAACAGGGTTTGTGCTCCAGTGAGAATCTAATGCCCCCAGTGATCTGACAGAAGGCGGAGCTCAGGTGGTAATGCTTGCTCACCCATGGCTCATTTCCTGCTGTGCAGCTCGGCTCCTAACAGGCCACCGACCAGTATGGGTCCGTGACCCAGGGGTTGTGGACCATTGTGTTAGGGTGTCTCTCTCTAACCACCTGCATTACAACACTTCTGGAGGAGGAAGCTGCTTATTAGAGATTTCCCCAGCCCTATTCTGAACATACTGTCTCAGAATCACAAGCTGGGGCTTAGCAATCTGTACATTTAACCAGCTCCTCAGGTAGTTCTGGTCCTTGCTGCAGTCTGAAAATGGCTGAAGTGCTTATTCTCTCACTCTGGACCTGAACTTCCCAGTGACCTGGGGAAAATGGTTCCACTTGGGCAGGTGCTGCTGTGCCTGGAACCCCACTGCCAGCTGTCTGTGCCTCATACTGTGTGGGGCTGTGGCAGTTGCAAGGGAAACTGTCATTCCTAGAATCCTAGAGAGAAAGAGACTTTGACAATTATCTGGTTTTAGGGCTCCCAAACTTGGGAGCCTTTAAAGAATCATGAAAGAGACATGAAAAATATAGATTCCAAGATCCAGCCTAGACCAACTGAATCAGAATCTCCAAGAATGGGCCTAGCTTCTATTTTTAACAAGCTCTCAGTGGATCCCTTTGCTATTAGCCTGTGTATAAGAGCCAGTGATGTAGTTCACCCACTCATTTTACAGCTGCAGTAACTGAGGCCCAGGCAGGGAAAGGGCTTTCCCATGATTACTCTGGGTATGCTGATGACCCCAGTCCTTTTTTTTTTTTTTTGAGAAGGAGTTTCACTCTGTCGCCCAGGCTGCAGTGCAATGGCACAATCTCGGCTCACTGCAACCTCTGACTCCTAGGTTCAAGCCATTCCCCTGCCTCAGCCTGCCAAGTAGCTGGGATTACAGGCATGTGCCATAACACCTGGCTAATTTTTGTATTTTTAGTAGATACGGGGTTTCACCATACTGGCCAGTCTGGTCTTGAATTCCTGACCTCAAGTGATCCCGCTGACTCGGCTGCCCAAAGTGCTGGGATTACAGGCATGAGCCACTGCGCCCAGTCGACTTCAGTCCTTTTTCTCAGCAACTGGTGTGTCCTGCCCTGCTTTGCAGTCGGGAATGCTATTCGTTCACGAGATGTGTTGGGAGGACATTTCACAGCTGAAAGTGGTGTCTGCATTTTAAAAGAGGACCTTGGGGAAAACAACATTTAACCCAAAATAACAAACAACTGGTAGTGACATTTCGGGCACTGAGAAATGTTTTGGACTCAAATGGGATGGGGCAAACTTTCCCAATAGCCCTCAAAAGTGGATAAAGCTGGCCACAGAAGTTTCCCTGGAGCTTCACACCATGGAATGCCAAGCTAGAGGTACCCTGAGAGTTCGCATGCTTTCTCTGAGCAAGTTGCCCATTGTAAGGTGGCTGATCTGTGCAGGACCACGTTGGCTCCTGTGACCTCCTGGTGAAGCACAGCAGGGAACATTGGTGCCTGGCTGCTATAACTGGGCAATGCTGACTTGTATCTGGAACCCTGACATCATTGCTAGAGAGTCGATGTCTCTACTGCAGTGATATGGGAGGAAATCCGACCTCATGATAGAGAGTGTATACAGTGCCTAGATCTCATTGCTGGAAAAATAATAGACATTCCCAGATCCTAATGGTCACAAATGAGGATGTAGCTGAGACCCATACTTTACTGGTGGAAGGTGGAAAGTTCTGATGTTGATATGCTTGATAGTTACTTTTTTGGGGGGTGAAAAACGGGAGATGGTAGGTTTTGGGGGGAGCAGTCTCTATCCCATAGATCTCTGTAAGAGGGGACATGGAAAGGGCAATTTCATGACTTGGCCCCCTGACTACTCTGTCTCCGCAGGTGTGAAATGGAGGCGAGGGGTTGTTCAGAAGGACACTGCCTAGTCACTCCCGAGATCCAAAGGGGGGACTGGGGGCAGCAGGAGTTACTGATCATCACAGTGGCCGTGGCGTTCATTATCATAAGCACTGTCGGGCTTCTCTTCTACTGCCGCCGTTGCAAGTCTCACAAGCCTGTGGCCATGGAGGACCCAGACCTCCTGGCCAGGAGTGTTGGTGTTGACACCCAAGCCATGCCTGCCATCGAGCTCAACCCATTGAGTGCCAGCTCCTGCAACAACCTCAACCAACCGGAACCCAGCAAGGCCTCTGTTCCAAATGAACTCGTCACATTTGGACCCAATTCTAAGCAACGGCCAGTGGTCTGCAGTGTGCCCCCCAGACTCCCGCCAGCTGCGGTCCCTTCCCACTCTGACAATGAGCCTGTCATTAAGAGAACCTGGTCCAGCGAGGAGATGGGTCAGTATAGCCAGAGACGCTTAGCCTCTGGGATTGATGGAAGTGGGTGGTGGTTCTAAACACTCCGTTATCTGAGGCACAGGCATTTTTAGCTACCACGCATCCAACCCTTTGGGATGGGACATGATGAGATGTGTTCAAGATTACAGGGCACGGATGCTGGAGCAGATACCAGGTTTCTGAGGCTCATTCTATTGCACTCCTTTAAATTCCAAGTCACTCCATGGGATTGAGGTTCATGACAGAAATGTGTAGACCCTGGATAGGGTTGGGTAGAACCCTTGGAGTGAGAAGGGGGCTTCTGCACATTTGTGCTTTTCTGGGAAGGGAAAGGAGAAGTGGTCTAAGCTTCTGGTTGCCCAGTGTGGAAGTGCAGCAGCCTTGGGCCAGACCTGGCTGACCTAGAGGGGGAATATCACCTTCTTCTCATCTTTGGCTCAAAAGGGGGTGCATTAGTAAAGCACTTCATGTTTTGGCATAATCATTAGCAGTTATGATAGGTATTTTCACTATGTGTCAAATACGGAAACCGAGGCCCATCAAGATGCAGTGACTTGTTCTAACTAACCCAACTATTCAGTAGCAGAGGCAGGGCTAGGACCAAGGGCTCCTGGTCTCCTGATTTCCGAGCCACATCTCATTTCATCACTCTCCATGATAGACTCCATCACACCTGTGAGTGAGTCCAAACTGTGTGTGTGTTTCCTTCAGTTAAGGGGATGAAACTCACCAGTAGGACTTGGGATGGAGTTACTGTATCCAGCTGTGGGGGTGGGTTGCATGGAGACATCCAAATCCTTCCCTTGTTCACTGACCCTCAGATTAGTGGCAGGGATTTGCAAGATGGGCTGGCCTTAGGTCAAACCTCTAGCCTTGAGCTTGTCCCATTGGATTCTATGTTATCAACGTAAGCCAACAGAGACAACCTGCACAGATGGGCCTATGCCCACCCACTCCCATCTCCACCACTCGCTAGGTTATATATAGTTGCTATAGAGCCAGCTGAAACCTTCCGGGGAGAAAATGAGCTCACCCTATCTTGCTGTTCCCTTTCAGTGTACCCTGGCGGAGCCATGGTCTGGCCCCCTACTTACTCCAGGAACGAACGCTGGGAATACCCCCACTCCGAAGTGACTCAGGGCCCTCTGCCGCCCTCGGCTCACCGCCACTCAACCCCAGTCGTGATGCCAGAGCCTAATGGCCTCTATGGGGGCTTCCCCTTCCCCCTGGAGATGGAAAACAAGCGGGCACCTCTCCCACCCCGTTACAGCAACCAGAACCTGGAAGATCTGATGCCCTCTCGGCCCCCTAGTCCCCGGGAGCGCCTGGTTGCCCCCTGTCTCAATGAGTACACGGCCATCAGCTACTACCACTCGCAGTTCCGGCAGGGAGGGGGAGGGCCCTGCCTGGCAGACGGGGGCTACAAGGGGGTGGGTATGCGCCTCAGCCGAGCTGGGCCCTCTTATGCTGTCTGTGAGGTGGAGGGGGCACCTCTTGCAGGCCAGGGCCAGCCCCGGGTGCCCCCCAACTATGAGGGCTCTGACATGGTGGAGAGTGATTATGGCAGCTGTGAGGAGGTCATGTTCTAGCTTCCCATTCCCAGAGCAAGGCAGGCGGGAGGCCAAGGACTGGACTTGGCTTATTTCTTCCTGTCTCGTAGGGGGTGAGTTGAGTGTGGCTGGGAGAGTGGGAGGGAAGCCCTCAGCCCAGGCTGTTGTCCCTTGAAATGTGCTCTTCCAATCCCCCACCTAGTCCCTGAGGGTGGAGGGAAGCTGAGGATAGAGCTCCAGAAACAGCACTAGGGTCCCAGGAGAGGGGCATTTCTAGAGCAGTGACCCTGGAAAACCAGGAACAATTGACTCCCGGGGTGGGCGAGAGACAGGAGGGCTCCCTGATCTGCCGGCTCTCAGTCCCCGGGGCAGAGCCTGATTGACTGTGCTGGCTCAACTTCACCAAGATGCATTCTCATACCTGCCCACAGCTCCATTTTGGAGGCAGGCAGGTTGGTGCCTGACAGACAACCACTACGCGGGCCGTACAGAGGAGCTCTAGAGGGCTGCGTGGCATCCTCCTAGGGGCTGAGAGGTGAGCAGCAGGGGAGCGGGCACAGTCCCCTCTGCCCCTGCCTCAGTCGAGCACTCACTGTGTCTTTGTCAAGTGTCTGCTCCACGTCAGGCACTGTGCTTTGCACCGGGGAGAAAATGGTGATGGAGGGCAACAAGGACTCCGAGGAGCACCACCAGGCCTCGGGCCCCAGAGGTCCCACTCCTCAGCCTACACGCAGAGGAACGGGCCCACCTCAGAGTCACACCACTGGCTGCCAGTCAGGGCCTGCCAGGAGTCTACACAGCTCTGAACCTTCTTTGTTAAAGAATTCAGACCTCATGGAACTCTGGGTTCTTCATCCCAAGTTTCCCAGGCACTTTTGGCCAAAGGAAGGAAGGAACTAATTCTTCATTTTAAAAATTCTTAGGCACTTTTTGACCTTGCTGTCTGGATGAGTTTCCTCAATGGGATTTTTCTTCCCTAGACACAAGGAAGTCTGAACTCCTATTTAGGGCCGGTTGGAAGCAGGGAGCTGGACCGCAGTGTCCAGGCTGGACACCTGCCATTGCCTCCTCTCCATTGCAGACGCCTGCCCATCAAGTATTACCTGCGGCGACTCAACCCTATGCATGGAGGGTCAATGTGGGCACATGTCTACACATGTGGGTGCCCATGGATAGTACGTGTGTACACATGTGTAGAGTGTATGTAGCCAGGAGTGGTGGGGACCAGAAGCCTCTGTGGCCTTTGGTGACCTCACCACTCCCTCCCACCCAGTCCCTCCCTCTGGTCCACTGCCTTTTCATATGTGTTGTTTCTGGAGACAGAAGTCAAAAGGAAGAGCAGTGGAGCCTTGCCCACAGGGCTGCTGCTTCATGCGAGAGGGAGATGTGTGGGCGAGAGCCAATTTGTGTGAGTGGTTTGTGGCTGTGTGTGTGACTGTGAGTGTGAGTGACAGATACATAGTTTCATTGGTCATTTTTTTTTTAACAATAAAGTATCTTTTTTTACTGTTATTTTCTGTGTCCTTTAGCCTGTTTGGGGTCAGGGGAACGATGCAAGGGTCCACAGGCCGTTCCAAGATTCATGGATTTTGGGAGCTGGAAGGGATCCTAGAGATTGTCAAGCAACAGAGATTCCCAACCTGGCAACATTACCTATCCCAGACACAAAACCAGAACTTCTGGGGGTGGGGCCCAGGAAACTATTTGGAAAAAACCCTCTGCCTCTGATACAACTGTCTGCAGTGGTTCAAGCCCCTCCATTTAGATGGGGCTCTGGGGCTCTGAGGCTCTGAGTGATGAGTCCACTAACTAGCAGGCTAGCTAAAGCCCAGGACAAGACCTGGGGCTTCCTGCCCTTGCCAGCACTCTTTGCACTGCATGGCATTAGTTACGGAGAAGGGACTTAACTATCAGAAGTCTTGGGAAGCTGGCCCTCCTGGGACCCAGAGTCAGCCTCTGGCTGCTACTCCACAGCGCACCCTTAGTCGCCAGCTAAATGTGACTTCACCAGGCAACCATGATGACACCGAGACAGGAAAGCCCAGTCCCTGCCTTCAAGTTCCCAATCCAGCTGGGCAAAGAAGGCACACCCGTGGGAGACACCACGCAGGCAGTGGCTCTGAGGTTGAACAGGTTTGATTCCAAGCCCAGCTCTGTCGCACACTAATTATGTGGCCTTGAGCAGATATGACTTGGCCTCTCATTTTTCAAAGAGAATTTTTTTAGAGCAGTTTTATGGCTCACAGAAACACTGAATGGAAGGTACAGCGATATGCCTTCCCTCCCATACATAGCCTCCCTCATTATTAACATTCCCCACCAGAATGGTATAGTTGTTGCAACTGACAACTCTCCATTGATGGGTCATTATCACCTACAGTCCATAGTTTACATTAGGGTTCACTCTTGGTGTTGCACATTCTATGGGTTTGGACAAATGTATAATATGTATCCAGCATTACAGGCTCTTGCAGATGGTTTCACTGCCCTAAAAATCCTCTGTGCTCTTCCTACTCTTCCCTCCTGCCCCCTAACCCCTGGCAACCACGAAACTTATTGCTGTCTCCATAGTTTTCCAGCATGTCATATAGTTGGAATCATATGATACGTAGCTTTTTCAAACTTGCTTCTTTTACTTAGTAATATGCATTTAAGATTCCTCCATATCTTTTCAGGGCTTGATCATTTCTTTGTAGTGCCGAATAATACTCCACTGTCTGGATGTACTACAGTTTATTTACCCATTCACCTTCTCAAGGACATCTTGGTTGCTTCCAAGTTTTGGCAACTATGAATACAACTGCTATAAACATCTGTGTGCAGGTTTTATGTAGATATAGGTTAGCTCTGGGTAAATACTGGCAAACAGTCTTCCAGAGTGGCTGAACCATTCCACGTTCCCACCAGCAGTGAATGAGAACTCCTTTTGCTCCACATTCTCACCAGCATTTGGTGGTGTCTGTGTTCTGGGTTTCCACCTTTCTAATGGGTGTGCGGTGCGGTATCTCACTGTTGTCTTAATTTTGCATTTCCCTGATGACATATGATGTGGAGCATCTTTTCATGTGCTTTTTTTTTGACATCTATAGATCTGCTTTAGTGACGTGGCTGTTAAGATGTTTGGCTCATTTTTAAACTGGTTTGTTTTCTCAATGTTGAGTATTAAGAGTTCTTTGTATATTTTAGAAAACAGTATTTTATCAGATATGCCTTTGAAAATATTTTCTCAGTCTGTGCCTTGTCTTCTTGACACTGTCTTTTACAAAGCATAGGTTTTTAACTTTTTTTTTTTTTGACAGAGTCTCACTCTGTTGCCCAGGCTGAAGTGCAGTGGCACAGTCTCGACTTACTGCAACCTCTACCTCCTGGGTTCAAGCAATTCTCCCACCTCAGCCTCCTGAGTAGCTGGGATTACAGGTGCCCACCACCACACCCAGCTAATTCTTGTATTTTTAGTAGAGACAGGGTTTCGCCATGTTGGCCAGGCTGGTCTTGAACTCCTGACCTCAGGTGATCCACCCGCCTCCGCATCCCAAAGTGCTGAGATTACAGGCATGAGCCACCGCACCTGCCCTACTCGTTTTTAATTTTAAGGAAGTCTGGCTTATTTCTTTTATACAGAATGCCCTCGGTGTTTTATTTAAAAACTCATTGCTAAACCCAAGGTCTCCAGGTTTTCTCCTATGTTATCATCTAGGAGTTTTATAGTTTTGCATTTTACATTTAGGTCTATGGTCCACTTTAAGTTACTTTTTGTGAAGGATGTAAGATCTAGATTCATTTTGTTTGCATGTGGCTGTCCAGCTGTCCAGCACCATTTGCTGAAAAGGCTGTTCGCTCCATTGTGGTGCCTTTGCTCCTTTGTCAAAGTTCAGTTAGGCCTCTCATTCCTCAGTAAAATGAAGATAGTAAATAATATAGGAATAATAGCTATCTCATATTGTCATGAGAAATACATGTAAATGGAAAGTTTATTAAAGCATAAACAATAAATGGTGGCCAGTATGACAGAAAATAATACCAGGCCGGGTGTGTGGCTCACACCTGTAATCCCAGCACTTTGGGAGGCCAAGGTGGGCAGATCACCTGAGGTCAGGAGTTCAAAACCAGCCTGGTCCCTCCTGGGACCCAGAGTCAGCCTCTGGCTGCTACTCCACAGCGCACCCTTAGTCGCCAGCTAAATGTGACTTCACCAGGCAACCATGATGACACCGAGACAGGAAAGCCCAGTCCCTGCCTTCAAGTTCCCAATCCAGCTGGGCAAAGAAGGCACACCCGTGGGAGACACCACGCAGGCAGTGGCTCTGAGGTTGAACAGGTTTGATTCCAAGCCCAGCTCTGTCGCACACTAATTATGATACCATGAAAATATGTAACCATTCAGATTAAAAAATGACTGTCAGGGGCCCCCTCTTCGTCTTTGGGAAACAATGACCTGGTCCTCCTCATTCCTGATGTTTCACATGCTAAGGCCCATAGAGAAAGGGTTTGTCTGAGGTCTCACAGCCGGAATTCCAGGGGCAAGACCCCAAGGCAGGTCCGACACCCAGTCTGGGGATGTCCACACAGCACCTCCCTGCCTCCCATTCTCCTGGATGGGGAACGCCTTCTTAACCAGCCCACCTCCATCCTCTCCCCACCAGGCCCCGCCTTCTCCTTTTCTTCCGCAGCCTGCGCCTTCACAGATTAGCCACCAGAGGGCTCTCTGGGATCAAGGACCAGTTTACTGGGCCTGCGGGGAGGCCTAAAGGTTTTCAGGTAAATCCCGGCATCCTAAACCACTGGGGCTCAGGCAGACTTGCAGTTCACCATCGTGACCGTCACTACCATCAGCCACCACCTCTACTGCCTCCTTTTACTGAGCATTTGCTATGCCAGGTGCTGTGCAAGCACTCAGCGTCTTATCTCATTTAATTCTCACAAAAACCTAATGAGGGGCCAGGCACAGTGGCTCCCACCTGTAATCCCAGCACTTTGGGAGGCCGAGGTGGTTGGATCACCTGAGGTCAGGAGTTCGAGACCAACCTGGCCAACATGGTGAAACCCCGTCTCTACTAAAAATACAAAAACTAGCTGGGCATGGTGGCGTGTGCCTGTAATCCCAGCTACTCAGGAGGCTGAGGCAAGAGAATCACTTGAACCCAGGAGACGGAGTTTGCAGTGAGCCGAGATCATGCCACTGCACTCCAGCCTGGGTGACAGAACGAGATTCCGTCTCAAAACAACAACAACAACAACAAAACCCTAATGAGGTAGGTACTATCATCATTTACAAATGGAGAAACCGAGGCACAGATAAACTGAGGGACCCCTAATTTATGTTAGTAACTTAAATAAGGTAAGTCACAGAGTTCATGAGTGACAGGACCAGGATTCCAGTCCAGGTCGGCCTGACTCGGGAGGTGCGCCTTACGTTTGGGTTCGCGAAATAAATTACAAATACAGGGGACTGATGAGCAGCAGCAAGTGCAACGGAACAGGCTGAGTTCAGAACAAGCCAAGAGAAGGCCATGCTAATTTCTAGGTGGCACAGAGCCAGGGGGCCCAGATTTGGGGAGGTGGGGGTCTGCTCAACTTAGGACTCAACCCCAGGCCTCTCCCGAAGCCCTACATCCACTTTTGGGGCTGGACCTTAAGAGTGGCACAGCAACTTTGAGCATCGCTAGAGGAGCAGGCCAGAAGGGAGGGGCAGGGTGGGGACTTGCTGCCCTGCTGTGAGGAGTGGTTTCAGGAGCCAGACAAGGCCTTGCTATTGGAGAAGGAAACGCAGCTGGGATTTGCCAGGACAAACGGTGTAAGAATTGGGAAACAGGAGAATTGGGAAACGACTTCCTTCAGGGGCTGGCGGATGAGGGAGGGCTTGCACAGTTGTTGTTACAGGGGTGGTTTTCAAGCCTTTACAGGAAGGACACATATGTTTTCCAGGCATCAGGGCAGTGCTCTGGAGGGAGGCACATGGGATCTCCGAGGCAGGCATGAGGACTGGGCTAGAACCCTCAAAAAGTGAGCATCTGGGGATAAGCAAAGGCAGAGCCAAAGGCCTTGGGGGGAAAACGACATCTGTTGGACTGAAGATTATGTATGAAGATTCTAAAAGAGCTAGAGGGCAAAAAAGACCCAGCAGGTAGAGTTTTAAGGCATGGAGTGACGCGCCCAGGGCTCGCAGCTGGTCCAGTATAGAAGAGTCAACCCAACCTCTTTGCACGACTTGAAACACTGGTGCAATGCCAGCCTGCTAGGGTGCCAGACCCAGGTGCTGGTCCATCACCTGTGGTGCGGTGTCTAAGGACAGGCTTTGGAAACCCTCGGGCAGCCTCTGACTGCTTCTAGAAGAGGGGCACCAGCTGTTTCACTGAATGAAAAGCAGGAACTTTCTCAGGCATCCAGCTGCAAAAAGACAATTTTAAAACTTTTCTCAAAATTCCTCAATGAATCCAAAGTGTCCAACCAAGAAAGGTGCCTGGTTAGATTGATACAAAGCTGACAATATAGTGATGTCACCTCCTTACCAGGCCAGGGCACTATTCACTACAGAAGGAGACTACACTGAATTTAGTAACCAAAGATTTCAGATACGTAATTAGCCCCCAAGGGCAGAGTGGGAGTAGATTTCATCTGATTGATCAGTGCCCTCAGGCAGCTCACAATCTGGGGAAAGTGGCCGAGCAGCCACGTCTCCAGCGCAGGCAGGTATGAGGATAACCAGAGGAGGGAGGTGACAGCATTGCTGAGGAGGGAGCTGTAAAGTTCTGACTGAACTGGCCAGGATGGGTCCACAGGGGCCCAGCCATCTGAGCTGGGTCTTAAAGCAGAGCTTCCAATTTAGCACAGAAAGGAGGGTCAGCTAGGCTAAGGGAAAATCCCAAAGGGAAGGCCTAGAGATTTTAAGTATTTGGGCAATGGTGGGTAGTTCTGACAGCTGGGAGTGACTTATGGAGGGCAGGGTGCAAAGCAGGCTGGAGTCAAAAGACAGGCTTGGAAATGTGCCGTGCTCAGTGAAGGAGGTGAGGAATGAAGGAATCAACTGGCAGGGGAGAAGATTGCAGCAGCAAGGACGTGAGGTTTGATGTCAGACAGACCTGGCTTCACCGCTTTGGAAACGTGATCTTGGGCAAGTCATTTAACCTTTTATGCCTAGTTTGCAAAGTGGGGATATTACCAGTACTTTCCTTCACTGGATTTGAGTATTAAAGGAGACAATATACATAAAGTGCTTAGCATAGTTTGTATACTGAATGTTCAGGAGATGTTAGAGATATTTTACCATTACTACTGAAAAAGCAGCTCATTGTGTAGTATCCATATTGACACACTTTCCTTTGTTCCATGGCCATAATAAAAGGACATTCCCACCCCCCTGGCCGTGCGCAGTGGCTCACACCTGTAATCCCAGCACTTTGGGAGGCCGAGGTGGGTGGATCACCTGAGGTCAGGAGTTCGAGACCAGCCTGGCCAACATGGTGAAACCCCGTCTCTACTAAAAATACAAAAATTAGTCGGGCGTGGTGGCAGGCGCCTGTAATCCCAGCTACTTAGGAGGCTGAGGCAGAGAATCGCTTGAACCCAGGAGGTGGAGGTTGCAGTGAGCCAAGATTGCACCATTGTACTCCAGCCTGGGGGATTAGAGCAAGACTTCGTCTCAAAAAAAAAGAAAAAAAAAAAAAGGACATCCCCCCAGCTAAAGGTAGGTGGGCACCAAATGTTCTCAGGCATTGGTTCCTGGCAGCTGAGGTGGGCAATTTCCACCCCATCCCCCACTCCAGCCAAGGGGATATTTGGCAATTCTGGAGACATTTTTAGTTGTCACAACTTGCAGGGTGCAACTGACATCTAGTGGGCAGAGGCCCAGGATGCTGCTAAACATCCTAGAATGCACAGAAAAGCCCCTCAACAAGAATTCTGCAGCCCCAAATGGCAGTAATAGTGAGGTAAAGAAACTCTGTCCTAAAGAAACCCACGCAGCCTTTCTGTAGCACCAGAGCAGCCGGAAATCCAGCCTGGGGCAAAAGTACCCTTATGCCAAAAATAGAAGTTATGCATATGGCTTTGCTCATTTCTAAAAAGGCACCATTCTGGATTCTACATCTGTCAGAGTAAATATCAGGGTGAGTGAAAAATGAAAGGCAATCTAACAATATAAAGAATAGTATACAATGATCAAGTAGGATTTATTCCAAGTAAGCAAGGCCAGTTCAATATTCAAAAATCAATCAATGGAATCCACCATATCAAAAGGTGAAAAAAGAAAAACTATACGATCATATCAGATACAGAAAAAGCATTTGACAAAATTCAGTACTCATTCATGATTTTTAAATATCTCAGTACAGAAATAGAGGGGAACTTCTATAAAAATTATACTACTTACATCATACTTAAAGTGAAAGACTGAATGCTTTCCCTACAAGATCAGGGACTGGACTAGGATGTTCACTCTCACCACTTTTTTTAAACTGGAAATTTGAACCATTGCAATATGACAAAAAAGAAAGAAAGAAAGAAAAGAGATAGACACTGGAAAAGAAGAAATGCATCTATCTCTATTTGCAGACAACATGGTTGTCTAAATAGAAAATCTCAAGAAATCTAACCAAAAACTCCTAGAATTATCGAGTACAGAAAGGTCACAGGATACAAGATTAAAATACACAAATCAGTTATATTTCTATATACTACCAATGGACACACAGAAACTGGAATAAAAAATACCATTTATAATTGCTCCAAAGAAAATTAAATACTTAAGTATAAATCTAACAAAACACAGGATCTGATAAATGGTTAAAATAACAAATAGTGTCAGGAAGGATCACCTAGGTCAGAAGTTCAAGACCAGCCTGACCAACATGGCAAAGCCCCCTCTCTACTAAAAGTACAAAAATCAGCTAGGCGTGGTGGCATGCACCTGTAGTCCCAGCTACTCGAGAGGCTGAGACAGGAGAATCGCTTGAACCCAGGAGGCAGGGGTTGCAGTGAGCTGAGATGGTGCCACTGCACTCCAGCCTGGGTGACAGAGTGAGACTGTGTCTCAAAAAACAAACAAACAAACACCACAAATAGTGGTAACACCAAAGGCTGGCAAAGTTGCAGAGGAAATAGATCACTCATACATTGTTGCTGGAGTAGCAAAATGGTAGTCACTCTGGAAAATGGTTTAGAAGTTCCTTTTAAAACGAATAATGGGCTTACCATACGTACTAGTCTGTTTTCGCGCTGCTGATAAAGACATACCAGACATACCAGAGACTGGGCAATTTACAAAAGAAAGAGGTTTAATTCGATTTACAGTTCCACATAGCTGAGGAGGCCTCACAATCGCGGCGGAAGGCAAGGAGGAGCAGGTCACATCTTAAGCGGATGGCGGTAGGCAAACAGAGAATGAGTTTGTGCAGGGAGACACCCCTTTTTAAAACCATCAGATCTCGTGAGACTTATTCACCATCACGAGAACAGCGCAGGAAAGACATGCCCCCACAAATCAGTCACCTCCCACCGGGTCCCTCCCACAACATGTGGAAATTCAAGATGAGATCTGAGTCAAACCATATCACCATACAATTCAGCAATTGTGCTCCTGGGCATATATCCCAGAGAAATTAAAACTGATTTTCATGCAGGAACACTTGTACAAATATTTATAGTACTTTATTTGTAATAACTAAATCCGGAAACTGCACATTTCTTTCAGTGACTGAAGGGTTAAACATCAGTACCATGGAACCCTACTCAGCAATAAAAAGAAAAAAACTATTGATAAATGCAACAACTTAGATGAACATCAAGGAAATTATACTGAGTGAAAGAAGCCAATCCCCAAAAGATACATATGGCATAATTCAATTTATTGAATTATTATTATTAATTTCATGAATAAAATTATAGAGATGAACAGATTCGTGGCTTCTGGGGAAGGTTAGGGATGTGGGGGACTGAAGGGAGTGGGTATCTATAAAGGGGTAGCATAAGGAGTCTTGAGGTGACGGTACAGTTAGGCATCTAGATTGTGGTGGTGGTGTATACAAAGCTACTCATGATAACATTGCATACAGCTATACACAAACACACACACACAAATGAGTATCTGTATAACTAATGAAATCTGAATCAGCTCTATGGATTGTGCTAATGTCAATTTCCTGGTTTCAATAATGTACTACAGTTATGCAAGATGTTAACACTGGGAAGCCCAGCTGAAGAGTGCTCTGGACCTGGACCTCCCTCCTGTGCCTTTGAGTCTTCCTGTAATCTACAATTATTTCCCAATAAAAAACCTATATCAAAAGAAGTAGATGACTGAATTTTAAGAGGCAAAATATTTGAACAAGTACTTCCTTAGGCCAATAAGCACGTAAAGAGGTGCAAAACATCACTAGCCATTGGGGAAATGCAAATTAAAACCGTAATGAGATGCCACTTCACACCTATTAGAAGGGCTAAAATTTAAAAGACCACAATATTAAGTATTGGTGAAGATATGGAGCAACTGTAACTGTTATACATTAGGAATCCAACAAGGAACGGCCACTTTGGAAAATAATTTGCCAAAAGTTAGCACACATTTCCCATACAACCTCATCATTTCACCTCTAGGTATTTACTCAAGAGAAATAAAAACATAGGTCTACACAAAGACCTGTACATGAGTATTTATAGCAGCTTTATTCATAATAGTAATTTTTTTATAATTAAATATAGAGTATATTTGAGCCCAAAACTTGCGAATGGCCACTGGGAAGCACAGATTCAAGTTGCCCTCATAACATACTCTGATTAGCAGCAGTTAGAAGTGAGTTTTAAAGGAAGAAAGAAGAGGTAGTTTCTAAATTGTTTACCAGAAATTTACATTAAAATAACATAAGCCATAATAACTAAAAATTTGAAGCAACCTCAAAGACTATCAACTAATGAATGGATAAACAAATTATGGTTCATCCACGCAATAGATACTACTCAGCAATAAAAAGAACCAATTACAGATACATGTAACAACATGGAGGAATATAAAAAGGATGATTATGTTAAGTGAAAGAAACCAGACACAAAGGGCTACATATGTAACGGTTTTATATGACATTCTAGAAAAGACAAAACTGGAGACAGATAAAACAGATTAGCAGTTGCCAAGGGCTGAGTGGTGTGAGGATGGGATTGATTGCAAAGGGGCACAAGGGACCTTCTGGGGGCAAAGGAAACATTCTGTATCTTGATTGAGATGGTGGTCACATGACTGTATGCAAAACACATTGAACTGCACATTTGAAAAAGGTAAATTTAAATTTAATTACATGTAAATTATACTCCATTTTTTTTAAAAAAGGAGACCAATGGCCAAGGGTCTAGTAAAGCATACCCATTAAAGACACACATAGTTCCTCAGCACAACCGCAATGGGCAAAGTATGAGGAAGGCAACCTACATAGCAAAGAGCCCCAGGCTTAGGGTCCAAATTCAGTCCACTGTCACTCAGGTTTATGCCTCCAGTAGTAATGCAATGGGCTTACCTGAGGGCCCTGGCTTTCTGGAAGAAGGGGTTCCAGCCATTAGGTATAAATGTGAGCAGAAATAAAAAATTCAGGAGGTAGACAACCTAAAAGAGGATTGAGTGGCCTCCACAGAGGAAGTGAGCAAGACATCAGTGCATGGATGGACAGCCAGAACAACAAGCAGAAGTATTTTGGAGTCCTGGTTTTCTACAAGTCAGCTAATATTTCAGAAAATGTTTAATAAGCCCTTTGTGATTATGACATATGGCACTTTACAACATTCTCTCTAACCCTCAGGACAATTCCCAAGGCAAACCTTCCTCTTGAGGCTGCAACAGACAGGCAGCCAGCGCCTTGGGAAGCACTCAGGTTCTGGAACCAGAAGACTTGTGTGTGTATCCCAATGCTGCTAACTACTAGTTGGTGGCTTGGCGTAGCTGCTAAATCTCTTTGACCTTCCTGTTCCAGAAATGATAATGACAACGAAAATAGTCAGACTACATGCCCACCTTCCTCTCTTGGTAAAATGTTATACTTTAAGAGTATTCTTTGAAGGCTCTGTTTTAAAACTTATACTGGTAAATGTATTTTCCTGAGTTCTATGAGCTACTCTAGCAAATTAATTGAACCCCAAAACAGAGTCATGGGAACCCTGATTTAAAATTTTTAGCCAGTCAGAAGCACAGGTAAACAACCTGGTACTTGCAATTGGCACTGGAAGTGGTGGTGGTGGGGGTGTCACTCTTGGGGACTGAGCCCTCGTCCTGTGGGATCTGATGCCATCTTCAGGCAGGTGGTGTCAGAATTGAATTGGAGCACACCTGGCTAGTGTTTGCCGCAGAAGTGATTGTATGCTTGCTGGTGCGAACAAATTCTCAAGTATTTTGGGGGGCGGGGAAATGTATTGAGTGAGAGAATAAACATTTTAAGCCTTAAGTGTGTTTTCCCACTCAGTGACAAAAAGGGAAGGGAAGGGGTGTCATCTCTTCCATTGTCCTGTCCTGAAATTAATCTCCACATTTCAAGAAAATTAAGTGTTACCTGTTGTGTCCGGTTTCTTCAGAGAAACAAAGCCAGTAGGAGATATATATATACACACACACACACATATGTGAACACAGATACACATAGAGAGACTGAGAGAGAGACAAATCAAGGAACTGGCTCCCATGACCGTATGAGTCGGCAAGTCTGCGAGTCATAGGGCAGGCCTGTAGGCAGGAGCTGATGCTGCAGTCTGGAGGCAGAATTTCTTCTCCAAGGAAACCTCAGCTTTGTTCTAAAGGCCTTTATACTGATTGGATGTGGCCCACCCACAATATTGAGAAAACCTCTTTTACTTAAAGGCAACTGATTATAGATGTTAACCACATTTACAAAATACCTTCGCAGCAACACCTGGATTAGTGTTTGACTGAATTATAAGTTGACACATATAAAACTGGCTGTCATGTGGGCTCATCTGCTATGCAAGGAGAGGGCTGAAAATTCTTACTCAAGTTTTCGAGAGAAGCAGGAGGAGGTTTAGGGAGGGGAGGATTGTCTAACAGAAAAAAAAATAAAAAACCATTCCTAGTCCCTTTCTTCTTGGGCGACTCTTAATTCCATGGATGGGTCTACTGCTTGTGCCACTTTGCCATATGAACTCTGTGGCATAAGCCGGAAACATTTAACCCAGTATCTAGTAAAGGGATCTGAGTGATATAAAAAGAAAAAAAAAAAAGACACAGATAGCAACCTCTCAAAAATAAAAATAAAATTCATTTATTGAAAAGAAAAAGCTTAACATACGATCCATGTGCAAACCCCAAAACAGGATCTACGAACTCTGGCATGATCCACATCGCTACACATACCATGCTGGAAGTGCACATCCACACAGGCACGTAACATACACAGTACTGTCTAGTTATCAACACCTACAGATTGGTTGATTTTTCTTCACACACCATTGACATGTTTTACAATAGAGTTACCAATTTTATTATCCACTGAAAGAGCATAGCTTCCCCCAGAATCACTTTGATTTAAACCAAATAACACAGTGAATGACAGGCACCCTGCACCTATATCTGCTACCTTCCTTACTCTGATAACCTCCTACCAGCACCATTTATGTCCTCTGGCCAGGGAACGACTCAGTGGCACAAAGGAAAGAGAAGAAATGTTACAGGCTGATGCTGTCGGGGCAAATAGCCCTGCAACCAGCCGGACTTACTGTCTAAAAGTATTAACCGTAATTTCAAAGACAAACCACACCCCTTCCTTTTCCCCTAATGGCCTCAGAGATTTGTAATGTACTTTGGAAAATTAACTTCTAAGGCAGAGTGGAAGCCAACCTCAAGTCCTGCCACTTGGACTCTGTGTCTTCTCTTCGAGGAAGCAGCATTGTGCACCCAGCAGGGGCAGATGCTGAGGCTTGCCTTAACATCTCAGCAGCTACAAAATGAAATCCACTGATACAGAACCCCTTGCTGTGAGCAGTGAGGAGAGAGAGCTGTAAACAGACACAAATTGAGATTTTTGCACTTCCAAAAAATACGAGGTGAACATTAGTGCTAAACAGAGAGAATGTTCTAGGAAGGGAGAAATCTGAGAAGAAAAAGTAAGATGAGAGAGAAGAAACATGATTTTTCTAATGTACTTGTTTGAGATCAACACTTTAAGACTACTGATAAAACTAAATTTCGTGGGGATAGACAGTGAGCAGTGAGCATCAGCCAGTGAATCTGGCTGCAGAGGAGAGATGGAATTGGGCGGCTGAAGTGAAATGATGCCACACATTCACACATATCTAGCCAGGGCTTGTGCAGATGAAGGGATCTTAGCAGCTGGACAGCAGCACAACATAAATAATGCCACTTGTGAATGGTGACAACTGCTAGGCAGGGTGAACAGAAGACGCCAGCTCACACTCTTCCTAGCAAGTGCCTGCATTTAGGAGGAGGTGCACTGCCCACTGAGAGCTGGAAGCCCGCTCCCAACAGCAGCATTTGGAGGACAGAACCACCAAGGGGCTCTGAGAAAGCTACCTCTGGCTTGGAGAAATTGGGGTGACAGGAGCAGGGTCACAGAGCTCAAGAGTATCTGGCCGGAAAAGCCCACGGTTTCCCTTTGCTCCAGCAGATGCAGCCTCACACTCCCGAAAGCCTTTGCTCCGTTGCTCTGTGATCATATTTCTACTTATCCTGGGAAGACACTGGGGAGGGCTCTCTACCTCAAGAAGCCCTTTGGGCTGCATAAGAGATTCTGGGCTGGCTGCGAGCTGCTTGCATAAGAGGAGGAAGGGCTTCCTCCCACTACTACTGACTGGCTGACCCTTTGCTTGATGCCTAAGAGCTGTGCACCTGCATAGCCAGGAAGGTCCTCTGGCTGGAGCTGCCCTTCCTGGGTCTTCTGAAAGAGCCACGCAATCAGTCTGTCAGTGTAGCAGGAGCACAAGCCAGAGATCAAATAGGCCATGCCAAATTGGCTTCCAGAAATCCTAAAGCTACAGCCAACTCTCCTACATACCACGTTCTCACGGCCAGGGGTGTGGAAGCAATAGCCTGCATCCTGCTAAGAGCTGGGGGACCCCAGTATTCTACCATCCAGTCCTCAGGTCCCAACATCACAGTCCCAATCTCAGAACTCGGATGGGCAGGATGGTCTCTAGCAGCTCTGAGTAAACAGAAACGTCCACCAAGGAGGACATGGGCAGGACACAGGTCTGGCCCTCCAGTTGGCATCTACCTTCTCACTGAGACCACTCTTAGCACCGCTGGGAAAGACAGCTAAGATAGCGGCTGGGCTGCCAGAGCCCGAACTTGGAACCAGGAGATGACAGTTTCTGAGCCCACTTTGGTAACTTCTAAGCCTGAGACTTCAGAAGACAGGGCCTCTGCTACTCCCGGCTAGATTCCTGGTCACATAGCACCTGTTAAGAGTCCACCATAGAACAGAAAGGGTGGGTGAAAATCGTCCTTCTCCTAAGGAAGAACAAGTCAACAATGATAGCATATTCCTAAGTTAACAAATTATTAGGTAGGTTGGGAGTCACTACAATGAGAGTCCACTTTTCCCATCCCTTCACCTGGAAGTCAGCTCTCCTGGCTTTGGAACAGAAGAGACAGAAAAAACTGGGGCCATATGGGTGGGTCACAGCCCTTATGAGCTTTGGCGAAACACAGAAGCAAAACCCCTGATACATTTTTGCTGCTCTCCTTCAACCAGCTTTCAGAGTGAACTGTATCTGCAGTGAAGCAAGAGCCTGGTGACGGGACAGAAGAGAAAAGGAGTCTGGTCTGTTACTTACACAGGAACACACACACACACGCACGTACACACACACGTGCACAAATACACAGCTAAAGAGGGGGAATTCATCAATGGCCTTCTGAAATACTTCGCACACCAAGAGGAAAGAAGAGGCAGCCCACAGCAAGGCAATGTATCTTCCTCTGCCTTCTCTGAAGTTTGCTCCCAAATCTGAAGGCTGACCTTGAGGAGGGCCAACCTCAAGGCTGTTTGTGAAACCCAGGGAGGCATTCTGGGGGAAAGACAGGGCTCATAATTAGTGTTCAGTGGGTTCCTTTCAAAGTCCAGGCCACAGAGGCAGTGTGGGGCCGGGCACTGGTTCTGCCCTTTTCCCCACTGATTGTAAACAACCGAGCACTGCGCGTAGTGTCAGACCAGCTGCTGTAAAGTCTATTAACTTAATTTCAAACTCTGTGCACACTGACCTCAGCTACTCATCGGTGGCAATAGAGCTGGTGTCGTCCCAGCACGATGGCAACAGAGCATTGCTGATCCTTTCACCTGGCGTGGGCTGAGGCTGAAACATGGGCCTGCATGCACACAGCCCCATTTTATACGCCTCTCACTCAGCCACCCTTCCCTCGGCCCGGTGCACCCATACATTTCTGCAGTCCTTCAATGTCTTTTCGGTATGAAACCAGGCTGGTCAACAGGAGGCAAAATCTGTGCCTCCTCACCGAGGTACATTTTTAGACGATCCTGATTAAAACCTTTGAGTCCTCAGCCAAGAGTGCCGAGGACCCATGCAGACATCTGGAGCGAGCTTCTTTTCAGCAGGAGAAGTTGAGTCAAAGTTTACTGAAGAAGAAGTGATTCGTAATAGCCCCAGATCTAAGACAGTCTAAAAACAAAAATCTGATTTTAAATAAAAGATAAATATTTTCAGTTTAGGCAACACTTCGTATGTTTTAAGAGCTAAAGCAACTAAGAACACAGTACTGTGACCCACACTAAGGAATCCAGGGAAGAGAAGCATTGCCTTAGGGGTCACAGCAAGCCAGAGAGTCCAGATTAAAAACTCCAGCTTGGGGGCCTGTTTCAAATGACCAGGTAGGTCCAGCCACCCCCTGGAGACTCGAATAGGAAGAATACTGAGATACAACATTTGGGAGAGAGATGAGAAAGAAGCCCAGCTTTATAAAGAGGGGGCGTTCCCAGTTACTTAATCTATGCCTGGCCCAGAAAAGGTGAAAACATGAGGTGGGGGACATGAAAATTGTTAAATAAAGTGAACTGTGCAGTAAGAATGAGTTGGGCGAGGTGCACCAGCAGAGGGGAGGCAGGTAGGAAGGAGGAGGCATGATGAGGGGGAGCTGGAAAGTTCTGGGTGTAAATAGGTACAGGTGAGCGATGGCAGCCCTGTCACTAGTAGCACTTCTGCGTGTCTGCCACCCCACCTCTCCCCTGCCCTCAGGTTACCTGGCCCAGGGTATCCAGGTGCCAGGCAGAGGGGTTCCCACACAGCAACCCTGACTTTCCTCAGAGCCTGGACCATACCTGAGGCTCTGAGGACAGGTAACGGGGGACACATGGGGCAGGGGTAGGCAGCTGCAGAGACGAACCCAGATCCCTATATGAAGGCACAGGTGGAATTGATGAAGATGGGAGCATTGCTTGGCTGGATCAGCTCATAGAGAGCCTCATAGGTCCCCACCACAAAGCCCACGAAGCCCAGGATGCTGATCAGGGCGTCCTTAAAGATGGTGAGGGGGCTCATGCCCTCTGAGTAGAAGGTGGTGACCTCCAGGAGCGGTGGGATGATGAGGGCCAGGGCGCTGCTGCTCACGGAGCCCACCAGGGAGATGACCAGGTCCAGGCGGGGGATGAGGATGGCCAAGATGCCTGCAGGGAGAGAGGACATGCCTGTTTAAGATGCCCAGAGCTGGGAAAGGTCTGTCTCCCTACTGTTGAGCGAATTCAGCATCTGTCCATCTTATAGGATTGAGAGCTCTAAGAAAACTTAGACATTGTCCAGTTCAATCTCTGTGAAATAGATGCCCAGAAACATGGAATAACTGGCGTCCCACTGCAAGGTCAGCAGAACTGGGACCGGAACCCGGATCTTCTGGCTCCGGTCCCCAGGCTTTCAGCTTTTCCGGCTACAGCACATGACTTCCATCTTTCTGTGCAAAAGGAACCAAATTACATTTCAGGTCAATCTGGTTTCTACCCAAGGAGGGAGGGTAGGGAGAAGAAAAGGAGGTGGACGTTCCTGAGCAGCTGCTCATTTTCTTACCACTCAGGGAGCCTCCAACACAAACATCTCTACCTGACTGACAAGAAACCAAATAGGAAAAGAAACCCCGCCTTCTGGAAAGACACCGTGATAAAACCGCATTTCACAGAGCATTTTGATACAGGTGAAAAAAAGCAGTTCTATCTGCAGGCTGACCCCTGGCGAAGCCCCACACGACGACCGTATCTCTGTGACAGGACACCCACTGGCTCTCACATCTGAAACTCAGCCACGGGTGAGCCAGGAAGGAGGAACTGACGAAGACCAATGGTGCACTGCCGCAGGAGGTGCCATCGGCTTCCGTGCCATACCAGCCATTGTCAACACTGCCAGACAGTGCTGTAAGCAGGAGGAGGCTTCACCGAATACACCCATCCTAGTGCCCACTGACCCCACGCTTCCCATCTCACCGATCTTTCCACCAGGTGGGCAAAGGCCAGTGTTTCACAGGTTTATTGAGGCCTGTGGGCTCTGGAACTAGGTTCTTGTGTTCAGATCCTGGCTCTGCTGCTAATTAGCTGAGTGACATTGGGGAAGGTATGGTACCTTTCTATTCCCCAGTTTTCTTGTTGGCAAAATGGGGATATTAACTGCTCCTGAATCATAGAGATGTCATGATGGTCAAATGAGGTTATGCAGGTGCCTCACAAAAGGCCTGGTGTACAGTAGGGATGTCTTACCTGTTAATGTTATCATCATTAGTACTCATCTTTTTGGCCATGAAAAGTACATCCTGCTACAGTGCATGACTTCCTGTTAGTTACTAACCTGTTAGCAATCAAATATAGTTTGACAGATTGTCTTTCCTACTGCTGGGCTACAGCTGGATGCTCCCAGCCTTGATACAGACATCCAGAGCTTATCTACTACCTCATTGATTCCTACGAGAGGGTTACATTTTATATGAGAGGTTTGCTTCTAAGTTCATTCTGTAAAGCGAAAATGCAGTCAAGTCACTCTAAGGAAGGCACCACACTGGTGAGACTGCCAGAACATCTCAGTCCAAGGCAGCCAATGTCTACATCGATCACTGCTTCTTTGGCTGAGCAGCTGAAGGATTGGATTGCATTTAGAGACCAGATTTTTAAGAAACACTTTAAACTGAAATGTCTAAAGTTGATTTTTGAGGAGCCATAAAAACAAACAAAAGAGAATAGCACTCCCTGCAGTAAGATGAGAGACATGTGGAAACAAGGACTTACCAGGTAATATGGTTTGGATCCCCTCCAAATTTCATGTTGAAATGTGATCCCCAATGTCAGAGGTGGGGCCTGGTGGGAAGTGTTTGAGTCGTGGGGGCAAATCCCTCATGAATGACTTGGGGCCCTCCCTGAGAGAGCTGTTGTTTAAAAGAGCCTGGTACCTCCCTTCTCCTTGCTCCCTGTCTTGCCATATAAAGCCTGCTCCCCCTTTGCCTTCTGCCATGATTAGAAGCTTCCTGAGGCCCTCACCAGAAGCAGATGCTGGCATCACACTTCCTGTACAGCCTGCAGAGCCATGAGCCAAAATAAACCTCTTTTCTTTATAAATTACCCAGTCTCAGGTGCTTCTTTATAACAACGCAAATGGACTAACACACCAGGGAAAGAATGGATTCATGCCTCCTGCCTCACACTTACCCTGGAGCTGTGCTGTCCAACATAGCCACGGACGGCTATTTACATTGAAATGAATTAAAATGAAATTAAATCCTGTTCTTCATTCACACTAGCCACATTTCAAAGGCTCAACAACCACTGGTGCCTAGTGGCTGCTGCAATGGACAGCACACACATGGGACATTTCCATTCATTTCCATTACTGCAGAATGTCTAGTGGTACCCAGCAGAGAGCACTGCTAAGCACTCACTAGTGGAGGTGAATCTGCCTCTGTTTCACAGGTATGTAACTCCACAATATTACTACAGTCCTATGGAAAGAGAGGCCCAGAGGGTGTAAACGACAGGAAGCAACAGAGCTGGGACCAGGATCCAGGACCTCAAGCCCCTGGCCCATAACCTCACAGACCTGATGGGCAAGGAAATGCAGAGGGAGGGGAGACAGGGAGTCTGGCGGATCAGTGGAAGGATCCTGCCTGTGAGGAAATGAGAGGTAGATACCCAGGCTAGCTTTCACAGGGATGCACCATGGTGCATGGTGGAGAACCCAGCACACGATCAGCCCTGACCTCTTTCTGCTTTGTCAAGTGGAATTGGACAAGGGATCCAAAGCCTGACAGCAAACGGGTACAAGGATATCGAGTCTCAGATCCACCTCTGCCACAGTGTTATATACTCTGGGGCAGTTCTTCATCTTTCCTTCTTCTATTAATCAACCATAATGGCAATTCTCATTAACATCTTCACCGATCTCAAGGCTTTGAGAAGTGTGCAAAAAGTTTAGGCTTTTAATTTCCCTGAAACTCAAAACTACTATGTTTTCAGCCCTTAGCTGCTTCTAAATAGAGTTGGTGACATCCCCCAAACCTTGAGGGTTGAATATGGAGAAAATTGGAGGTAAAATTGTAGGCTGATGACAAAACAGCATTCTCATCATAGGTCATCTAACGCTCAACAAAAGAGCTGGTCTGCTGTGGTACCGACACCAAGACACTTGCCCTCTCTGGGGTCTGGGTCTCCCTGCCTAATGTCATCCTTGCAGTGATGGTGCCAGGTGTTACTGTGGGGTGGAAGCTGCACTGAGGTAACAATCGGGAGAACTGAGCCCCAGGGAGAGGGTGGTATAGGAATGGGTGTAGGCTCTGGATTTGGAATGCCCAGGCTCCAACCTCAGCTCTACCACTCAGTGGCTAGTTACCTAAACTCTTTGAGACTCATTTCCCCAACTACTAAACAGGATGGTCAAACGATATCACTCATGTAAAGAACTCAGCGTTCTAAAAACCAATAATAAATGCTTCAATATTATCACCAGTCCCTGCTCCATAACAAGCTGAGTGGTGCAGGGCAAATCAGCTTACTATTCTGAGCCTCAGTTCATTCGTTTACCTGTGAAATGTGGTAACTGGGTGATGTCTGAAGTCTCGCCCAACTCTGAAATTCTAAGGAACTATACACTCCAGTGTTAGTCACTTAGGACTGTGTTCTGGGATATGTTCCTCACCTCACTGACAACTGGGAAGCACCACGTCCTGCCTGAGGGTGGCACAGCAAAGCGATGGGGCTCCAAGCCTCGAACACATGGCTTGCCCAAAAGGGAGCTTCTAACCCACTCGGTTTTGTATGGATAAAGGAAGTGTGAGTTATTCCTTCAGTCCCAGCCACACAAGCATCTCCACAAATGCTGATGTCCGCTCAAGAGACAGGAGGCCTTTATTATCAGAGAAAATGAGTCCCTGGCAGGAGACAAATCAGAGCCTTTCCCAGCCCTGAGAGTCTGTCATCTCCCCACCCTCTCCCATACTGACCTAGCAGGACATATGGGCACTTCATGATAGTTAAGTGGAGTCAGAGAGATGCTCCACTCTGTGGTGGGAGTTAAGTGGAAACAGAAACAGAAGATTGGGATCAGAATTTTTCCTCTGATTGGACAAAGATCTTCCGCTTCATCATGATATTTTATAAGTAATCTAAAAACTTGTTCTTGTTTTCACCACTATATAAGATAAACATGCCTAATAAAAATATCCTTAATAGAGATTTTAAGAACATTTCTCTCCTCTTAAAGCCAGGACCACAGGGCTGCAAAGGGAAGTCCTTCTTCCTGTCCTAGCTGAACCACATACCACCGCTGAACCCTACATGAAGCGTGACACTGCAGAGGGCAAGAAGAGCGAGCCTCCCACTAACACAAAGTGGGAAGAAGAGAAGGATGTCCAAACCAAATCAGCATCAGCAGCCCCCAGGGTTCAACAGCACGGGTATCTGTTTTGCCACCATGGAAAATGACTTTAACTAACTCCAGAAGCAGCAATCGACTATGCAGACATGTGGGGCAAATAAAACCCCTTCTGGCACTAAATGTCTTCTGTGAGTTAAAGTGCCTATGAAGAGACACTCAACAAGGTAGATATCTCAGGAAGCAGCCAGCCAGGAACAGCCCTCTCCCTACTCTCCCCTAATCACCCCCCCCACACACACAAAGACCCCAGCCCAGACAAAAAGGAAGACATTTGTATAACAAATGCAGTTATACACTTCTCAGCAGCAGCTCAGCTGTGGCGTGTACAAAAGGGGGGACAGAGGACAACCTCAGCTCGACCACATGATTAGTCAAGAGGGCTCCAACAGTATTACAAAACATCTTCCCTTCGAGTCAAGAGACACAAAGAATATGAGCTTTTAAACTGCTGAAGCAACATAAGGCCAACAGTCATGTTCACAGAAGGAACTGGATTCTGGAGCCTGTGGTTTTGAACCAGCATCAGAAAGAGCTGACTTATACACAACAAGAGCAAAGCACTGAAAAGAACAAAAGCGAACTTACGAAATACGCTGGCCATTTATGGCTCCTGTGCTGGGAGCTCTTGCTGCTATTTTATTATGATCAAAGCTGTTAAAACTTACCAAGTTACTTTTATTTATTTATTTTTATTTTTATTTTTATTGTTTTTGAGATGGAGTCTCGCCCTGTCACCTAGGCTGGAGTGCAGTGGCGCGATCTTGGCTCACTGCAAGCTCTGCCTCCTGGGTTCATGCCATTCTCCTGCCTCAGCCTCCCAAGTAGCTGGGACTACAGGCACCTGCCACCACACCAGGCTAATTTTGTTTTTGTATTTTTAGTAGAGACGGGGTTTCACCATGTTACTTTTAAATGTCTATAAATATGCCTTTAAAATTCATAGTAGTCTTGGACAGTATACAAAGTTTGACTTAGTGGGGGTATAAATTTAAAAAATACGAAAACAAGGGAAACAACCACCATGTCCAACATGAAAGGAGTACCTTAGTTAATATGATCCACCAATACAGTGGAATACCACGAGGTCATGAAAATATTAGTGAAAGATATGAATATTTGTGATATAAAACTAAATAAAATGTGAAAGACAAAATTATGTGTAAACTACAATTGCAACTATTTTTACAAGGCACCCATGAGGATTAAGACACAGAAGATACAATGCAAAAAAAAATTACTTTGTTAAATTGGTGGAATACTGGAATTTCTTCTTTTATTCCCAAATGTTTTTACATTGACTTTCTTTTTTTAGAGTAATATTTGTGTAGAAACTTAAAATCAAGCGCAAAGCACCTATACAGAATCACAGAATTTTGGAGTTGAGAGAAACCTTAGAGGTCAGACACCCTTCCTATCTTACAGTTGAGGACCCTGAGGCCTTATGAGGGTTCCTGGGCGGGGAATGCAGGGTGGGGGGTGGCAGGGTTACACAGCTAATTAATGATGCTGCTCTTCTTCACTGTAGCTGCAAGACTAAAAAGTGTGAAAGGCCCAAAGGTACTAAGAAGCTACTCTGTTTGGACCTGGAAGCTTCATCCTCTAAAAATCCGACTGCTTGGAATGTTTTGCAGCTCTGCATTCCAGTCTGAACAGGCTTCTTGGATGATGCGATTTTAGGTAATTATATCTTCAGAAATAGGTTTCTGAAATTTTCATAGCAAACTGAAGTAAAATGTTTCACATGGCAAATGACACAGAGAATCAGTATGAATCACTGAAGGATGGATGGGTTATTGCTCCAAAGAAATCTAAAAAACCGTTGATCCTACAACTCCAGACTCCACAGGTGGGGCCAGCCTCTTCCACACAAGGTCTGGACATAAGGTGACCTGCTAAGTCCGCATTTCCAAAAATATGGGCTGGAAGTAGATACTGTCCGATATGAAATCATAACAAAATGAGCACTATCCTATGAAATACTTGTTTTCCCTCCCCCTCTTCTCCAACTGTTTGAAATTAAGCATCACAAAGTCCGTATCAGCCATAGTAATCTTTGGAGGATGGGGGAGAGTGGTGAGAAAGTTGAATTCCAAGAGGGAAAAAAAAAAAGAAACTACACTGAATTCCTCCTGTTCCCTTTGGAGGGTGAAGAGGAGGAGGAAAAGTTGGGGAAAAGATAGGAAAACACCAGAAATAGTAATAAAAGAAGCTGCTGTTAAAATTTATGAATATAAATGAAAAAAATCAATTAAAGATCTAAAATCACATACTAACCAACGGTGCTGAAAGATCTGAAAGAACAGAGAAGCAAGAACAAAATGAACGCGCATAAATACATTTAAGTTGCTGCTGCCATGAAAGGCCTCTACTGAGTCCCACAATTACTTCAAAGTCTCCAAGGAAGGTGAGAGAGGCGAGTGCTCTCAGACATAAAGGGGGCTGCCTTTTTGAACAGGATGACAATGCAATGCTAAGTCACAACAGATCACAGAAGGGAAAAACAACTGCACACACTTGAAGACCAAAAGCAGCCGTGTCTTCTGAGCATCGTCCTGTTGAAGGGAGATGAGACTCACAGACAGGGCCAGGAAAAGTGAAGCAAAATCCAAGAGGCATCTAAGGATAACATGAGGTCTGTGAATCAGAGACTGCTGTCTCCTGCAGGGTGCTGCAGAAATAAACCTGGCAGGAAGTGTGACATATGCTACAGGGAGGCTGAGCCAGGCTGGAGGGGAAAATTGGGCAGGGAGAGGAGTCAGGCTCCTGTCACTGCCCCAGCTCAATAGGCAGGGTGGAGGAGCTGTTTAGTCAGGAAGGCACATTTTACCTACAGAGACCTACTTTTTCCGGAGGGAGCACTTTGGATAAAAGCAAATTATTTGAACTAACCACACTCTTTCTTCCAGTGCCCTTTAGATTTAAGAATTGGGCCCTCAGAGTTTACATTATAAATACCATACACGTGAAAGCTGTCTCCTCAAGCACTTAGAGCTACTCCATCCACGGTGGAAACATACACTTTGGAATCAAAGCATGGAGAGTTACTGGCACAAGATAGGATTAAAATTTACAGTCCAAGCATCCCATCTTAGCAGCACACATTAAGGCAATCTATTAGAAAAGCAGGATACATCATGTTCCTTCTTTTTCAGTCGCTGTGGGAACAGCAGCTGGCTTTCAACAGCCCTGGCCCCTGGATTAGCTGCTGCGTGGGCTGTTTCTATATAGGCTGGTCTAGGAGAGGGCCTGAAGGAGTGACTAAGAGCAAATGCTAGACAACTTTCCCATCTTTCATCCTTAAAACATTCAACCCTAATTAGAATTTAAAAAGTCATATGGATCTATCTTTATCCCAAAGACAGAGGCTCAGACTGAATAATTTAAGAAAATTCTCAGGGAAGTCTCAACATAATAAGCAAAGAGGTTCTTGTTCAAAAATAATAAAACCTAAAAAGAGAAAAAAAAGCCAAATAGAGCCAAAAAGAGGAATCTATGCTTTTAAGCATTTGAATTTGGAAAACAATTGCAAATCTCTTAGAAACTTAAATTAGCTATTATCAACCGATTTGCTCAGGGGTTCTCTAGTCTACCAACTCACAGAAGCTACAAAAAAAATTTACTTTTATTTTCTAAATGTCACCAGTTTTCAACCACAGCAAACAGAAGGGTATCCTGTCTTTTAACTTACACTCCTGGGAATGGGGTTGAGAGAAGAAGAATAAAACACAAGTGATCAATCAAATACCTAGGTTAATCAATAGAAATTTTCTGAAACATATTTAGTAAGACTGACATTAAAAAATGTCTAGAATACTATCATAAAGCCTCTAAAGGAAATCTAAGGAGCAACTTGTCACAGTGGAAAAACAACTATTTGAAAAAGCAAATAAGTACCCTTCATCAGAGTAACTTATACTCATTACAGATATGGGTTAAATGGCTTTCAGACCTTTACCTTATTTAATATGGGATAGTAATCGCATGTCTTTACTCTGAATGATAACCACCTCCACAGCATTTCATACCCTATCTATACATAAACCACTGTCCTCATTCCCATGTTCTTTACAGTACATATGTAATTAATTCACTTCCCCATCTGGAGGTGCCTCAACTCTGAAAGTGAGGCCATGGGCCAGGTTCTCTGTCACAAACATAGCCAGCTTCACTACAACACACATTGTCTTTTCTCATGAAAGCCTGCAGACTGGGTGCCCTTTAGGGAAAAACAAGCAAGGCAATTATCATCTTCTACTCACATGTCAGGCAGACCAGCACTGTGCGCACAAACAGGTCCACCACTAACTCACAGTGCTCGGGCGCTCGGGACACAAAGAAGGGGATGATGATCTCAGCCGGGACGTAGAACTGGAGTGCGTAGGTGAAAAAGATCCCGATGGAGTACAGCAGCTTAACTGACTGGTACAACCTGCCGAAACAGACAGGAGACATTCCAAGCCTGCTCAGCACACTTATACATCATCAGCAAGAGTGCAAAATGGTCCCATTGCGATTTGTTGACACTTATCAAGGATACAAACCCACATGTCCTTCGGACCCAGCAATTTCATGTCTAGAAATTTACCTCACAGATATCCTCACACACATACACAAAAGCTTATATTCAAAATATCTCACTGCAGCATTATTTAAGAAGGAAAGACTGAAAACAATTTAAATGTTAACCAGTGGGAACTCGATAGGTAAATCGTGGTGCCCCCGTATAGCTTTTAACAAAGTATGAGGCAGAACTCTAGGTGTGATGGTGTGATATGAAACTATCCCCATGATATATCACTCTATCACATGATATAGCATATCACTATCATGGGGACAGTTTTATATCACTTTTTTTAAGTGAAAAAAGCATGAAGCAATACAGTACCTACAGAGTGCTACAATTTGTCTTAAAAAAGAAAAAAGAGGAGGAAAAAACACACACTCACCCCACATGACAATCATACACTAAACATCTCAAAACAAACAAACAAACAAAAAAGAAACTGGGAATATGGTTGCCTCTGAAATGGGAAATTGTAAAATTGGGAACTAGAGTGGAGGGCGCGGGGTGGAAGCTTAATGCTCTCTATATACCTTTTGAAAATCTCAATCTTTGCCATGGGCATACAGGTGTACATGCCTTCAAAAATAAAAACAAAATTGCAATTAAAATGTCACAAGCCTATTTATATCTGTCCCATCCAAGTCAGTGTCCCTAGAATTAGATGAAGACACTGCAGGACCAAGAGGCCAGAGCAGAATTCCATCTTTCCATACCACTATGGCTCTCTTCCTACTACTGCTTCAAGTGTAGCTTCCAAAAATGACGTAACTCACCACAGGATATCCCTATTTTATTACTCCAGTGCCTTGACTGCACAGAGTAGGAAAACAGTCTGTGATCAACTTACAGATCTGACCTGGTCATTAAAAGGAAAGGTCTCTGTCCCTAAGCAAAGCTCCACCTTAAACCAGACCCTCATGTGTTAAACAGCAAGAAACATTTGTCCTCCCTTGTCGGAAATCTATTTAAATGTGCTAATACAGACTGTGTATATGTGCCTTGAGTTTCTCTGTGGTTGAATTTAAAATCTAGAAGATGTTCTTATGCTATAAGCAGGAGAACAACCTTGTAAAGACTGAGTCTGGTAAAAGGTCATACTTGCTCCATGAATAGATAATAAAAACTCTTGGGAAAAATCATCTGGTGGCTCTATCATTAAACTCAAAGCAGCCCCAAAGCCTCTGGAGAGCTGTGAAGTCTGGACTTAGGAGAGTGACACCTGCAGGGATAGCCAAATAAATTATACCCAAATGGAGGCAGAAGAGTTACAGCAGCTGGGTTTGGGGTGTTAGGAAAGAAGACAGATTCTCCTCTATGGCTTCGGATCATGTGGGCTGCTTCTGTTGCTCCCGATCCATTTATCTTCCAGGGAAAGGTGACACAGTTACACCAAGCTACCACCTGCCTCTTCCTTCTTGGAAGGGCAGAAACATTTGGAAATTTAAAAGTAGACACAAGATGGATATGCCAATTACCCTGATTTGATAATTACACATTGTACATATGTATCCAAATGTCACACATACTGCATCCATATATATAATTGGTATGCCTCACGAGTTAAAATCAACTGAAAAAGAATATAAAAAAATAAAAAGCGAATCCAGGTCTATAGCCATACCATTCTGAATGTGCTCAATTTCACCTGATCTTGGAAGCTAAGCAGGGTCAAGCCTGGTTCGTACTTGAACGGGAAAGCCCCTGGAAATACTGAGTGCTGTTGTCTTAAAAAATACAATAAAATAAAACAATACAAAACAAAATAAAAAGCACACCCAGGCAGATCAGCCAGCCTAGACTGAAAGCTGATTCTGATCCGCAGAGCACTCAACAAGCTTCTCAGTGTCTGCTAACAGCTGCTCTCCACCATGAGATGATTCATCTTCAAAACAGGATGGTTGCTCTGCACATGCCCTGGGACATTCACCCTTTCAGGAAGCATTTCAAAATGGCTCACTATTTCCCTATAATACATTCACCAATGCAAGGGAGGTACAAAAGGACTCCCAACAATCCCCGGCTCACAGTGAGATGCTCCCATCTGCATATCAAGCCTGTTACTACCAAGGGAGAGGCACAACCGATGCTGGGAATCAAATGCAGGTTTGCCCTCCCATCTCCCTGTCTATTTGGAATGGTTTACCATGAATGGACTAGATACTCGGTCCTTCTGAGCTTAGGAATTCCAAGGAGAAATGGCTTACCCATCGGCTGATCAGCACCAATGGCTTCAGCAGAAGGCTCTACATGAATTCCCCAAACAGAATGCAGTCCAGGGCAGCCAGTGAGGGCTGGCAGTGGCAGGGGATGGTGGGCTAGAGTGAAGTGGGCTGGTTTAAGAGATAAGTAAGAGGGAGAATCCACACTGTGACCCATTAGTTTTTAAAAATATCCAGTGCTCCTAGGTTTCCATCCTCCCTCCACGTACCAGCAGTTGGGCAGGTTGAGGGTTATGCTGCCTTGGATATTAGCTCCAAATTGCAGGTACCCCAGACACCCCAGGCTGATGTAGAGGATGGTGACGATGACCATGCCCAGGTACAGGATGAGTGGGAACTTCCGAGGATCCTTCATTTTGTTTTCCAGGGGCAGAACCTATGAGAGAGTAGTGAGAGAGGAGAGAAAGTGCAGAAAAAAGAAAAGTTAATGGCCAAGAAAAAAAAAAACCTCAGAAAAAAAGTAACTCTTTTATCCCCAGAATTCTCCAGAAGCACATCTGCTCTTTAAATAAAGTTATTTCATCAGACGTTATGCTCTTGGGACTAGAAGGGACTCTGCAGCCCACTGCCTAGCTAGGAAGTCCTAAAAGTAAGGGTGGACAGGACACGAGCCCAGGACTCCTGGCTCAGGCCAGTGCTCTGTCCTCCTGCTGCAGGATCCCTGCAGGCTGGGAATGTCCCTTGCCCTGTGAGTGAGGCCACATGGCAACCAGAAGGCCCTCTCATGTCATGCCCACCTGGCATCTAACCTGAGATCACAGCTTCCTGCTAACCTGTCTAAAGAATGCAAAATATAGGTCAGGGAAAACTGCCACTCTAGCTCAACAGGGGCAAGCACTAGCAGTGACAAGTTAAACCTCCAAGTGAGAGAAACTGCAGTGCGAAAGAAAGCATGACTTCGTAGAGGATCTCAAGACATGGGTGCTTAACAATGCCCAGTTTCCAGACTCCTATTACAAACCACTGACCTTTGCTACCTCCTTCATCATAAGAGAGGACATTCTTTAACTTTGGTAAAAGCAAAGGAAAGGCCCCTATGAAAATGAGTTTATTTAGGAATTGGGAAAATGGCAGGTGTGACTGTGAGGATCTTCACAGTCTGCCATCAACTGGATCTGGCACAGCTAATAAGGAAGAGCAACACTGGGCAATGTCTAGCTGTGCCACAAACTTTGATCTTGTTATTACACTTATTTTCCTGCAGCACCTGCAGCCATGAGGCACAATAGGTCTGTGCTGCACACACCAACATGATCCTGCTGCAGGCCTGGTGCTCCCAGGGGCCCCCAGTGTCCCCCACCACCTGCTCCAGCTTCAGTTAATCCACATCCATTAGAAACAGCTTCTAAATGTATCTGTCAGTTTCCATCATACCAAGAATACAAAGAGCCAGAGGGCAGGGAGCCCATATCTGGCCTGTGACAGCTGCATGAACACAGAGCACACGGTGAATACAGTGTGCAGCCTGGCACTTTACCCCGATGCAATGAACAAGCCCTAGATCCAAAACTAAGAGTCAATCTAGCAGTGTTCTCTCTCTATTGTAAAAAAATAGAAATACAAAGAAATCTTGAAAACAAATGATGTTTGCAGAATAACTTTGTGTACAAGTCTTGGGTAATAAAACCAAGCAAACAATTTCTGCGCTGTGCTGTTAGGGAAAGCTACTAAAAATTTAGCACAAGGTCCCTTAGGATGCCCAAGAACCTAAGGTCTCTGGGCATCTTTCCACACTTTCTCAGCCTCTTCTTTCCAGTCCTGAGTTCTTGGGATCTCTTTCTCACTGCTGAAGTATGGGCCCACTCAGGCCTCTGCCCCAGCAGCAGGAAACCATTTGTGTTTCTGAATTACAGTGAGACACTCTTCATGGGCAATGAAAAGCCCTAAGATAGAGCACAGGGCAAGGTATAAAACCTCAGGGAGACCAGTGATTTACATGTGATCACTCCCAAAGCCTCCCCCATGATGTCAGAGCTTCAACGTGTTCCATCAACACCACCTGGGTGATTTCTCACGATTTTGACAAAAAATGTGTACAGCTTCTAGGTTTTCTTAAAAGCAAATAAGGTGTCTCGGAAATCAAAAAAGAGAAAGAAGTGCCGTGCCGGGAGGAGGCTCTTCCCATTTGTGGCGCCCTTGGCCAGGAATAACTTTCTTCAGAGAAGAGTTTTGTACCATTATTATGAAAAATACAAATAAAATTCAAATTAGGTAAAAGTGAGGGGTAGATTCCTTTTTAGGAAAAGCATTTGGTGAAATCACAGAATGCTGAGCCAGGAGTGAAGGCTGCTCTTTTGCACGCAGAAAATACACCAAACCAATGTTGTAGGGCAGAGAAATTATTCATGCATTTATTGATTCAATAATAAAATAACATTATTAATAAAATAAAAATCTATTAAACATTTACCATGTGTCAGGGTCTGTGCAAAGCATTTTGCACATATCTCATTTAATCCTAATAACTACGAATCATTAAGCTCACTTTTCAGGAACAAATAATGAAGGCTCAAAGAGATGAAGCCCTTGCTCAAGGTCACACAGCTACTCTATGGCAGAGCCAGGACTTACCCCCATGTCAGTCTGACTCTAGACCCTGCCTTCCTGATTGCCATATGCTATTCCTTACTGCACACATAGGAGATGAGTGTGCAGTGAAGGGGCCTTGAATGTAAACATTTTAAAATTACATATAATTTGTCTTGAAAAGTTGAAGCTGGGAAATCTCAATGGAATCCCCGAAACACTATTCACTAACTGACCAGTGAGTTACAGAAGATAATTTCTTTTTTTTTTTTTTTTTTTTGAGACAGAGTCTCGCTCTGTCACCCAGGCTGGAGTGCAGTGGCGTGATCTTGGCTCACTGCAACCTCCGTCTCCCCAGTTCAAGCAATTCTCCTGCCTCAGCCTCTCGAGTGGCTGGGATTATAGGCGTGTGCCACCATGCCTAGCTGATTTTTGTATATTTAGTAGAGATGGGGTTTCACCATGTTGGCCAGGCTGGTTTCGAACTCCTGACCTCAAGTGATCCACCAGTCTAGGCCTCCCAAAGTGCTGAGATTACAGGCGTGAGCCACCATGCCTGGCCTCAGAAGATACTTTCTAACAATGTTTCCTCAGCATTCCTTGAAACAGACCTGGAGAACACCAAGGGCACCAGAGAACACTAGCCCAAATCACAGTGCAGCTCTTACCATTCCAATGCCTTCAAATGAAAAAATCGCTGTGCCAAAGAAGAGAGGGTAGGTCTTCCAAGGGGCCACCAAGGGGAGGTGGCTGGGGTCTGGGATCCTCTGAAAGACAGAAAGCAAAACAAAGCAAAACAAAGCAAAAGGCTATACAGAAATTCAAGATTTGAACTCTGAATCGGAGAGGTCATACCTTTTAACAAATCCAAGATTCTCTAAAGGAAGAAAGTCTAATACCTGACAGATGATTTAGGGACATTTAACCTTTGTATGTTTTTCTCTTCAGGCTAAGAAAAACCCACTTGTTTGGGGGAAAGACAAGCCCAAGGTACTATTAAAAACTCAAATGTTGGGGCTTGCATAAAAAGAGTCACATTCTTTCACTAGGTAATCCCATCCCCAGAAACTGAATTCAAGTAGAAAAAAAATCAAAAGATGAAAAACACTGAGCAAAGCTGTTTAATAAAGTAACTGAAAACAATATAAGTGCTTCCAAACAAGGGATCAGTTAAGTAATTAACAACATACCAGCTAAACCACAGAATATATATTCTATCTATCTATCTATCTATCTATCTATCTATCTATCTATCTATCTATCTAGAGACAGAGTCTCCTTCTGTCACCCAGGCTGGCGTGCAGTGGCGAGATCTCGGCTCACTGCAACCTCCCTCTGCCTCCTGGGTTCAAGCAATTCTTCGTGCCTCAGCCTCCTGAGTGGCTAGGACTACAGGTGCGTGCCACCACACTCGGCTATTTTTTGTATATTTTTGGTAGAGACAGGGCTTCACCATGTTGGCCAAGCTGTTTGTGAACTCTTGATTTCAAGTGATCTGCCTGCCTCGGCCTCCCAAGGTGCTGGGATCACAGGCGTTGGCCACTGCGCCTGGCCAGTATGCACTATTAAAAAGTAAAAATTGAGATAACTAAGTAGAACATGAAAAACTACTTACGAAATATTAGTGAGAAAAAATTTTAATTTTAATTTATATATTCACTCTGATACAACTACATAAACATCAAAGATAAAGCTGGAAGGGAAGAGAAAGTGGTACATTTTTATATTGGTTCTCTTCCTTTTTCCTCTTCTTTTCTTCTCCTTTTTAAAATTCTCATCAATGAACTTGAGCACTTTCAAAGTATTACCAAGAAGCACACAACAGGAGTGCTGGAACATGTGGGGAGGAGGAGCAAAAAGAATGCTTTAAAAAATGGGCCAGAAAAAGGGCAACTGTTAACTGCAGGTACAATGTTAAGGTTGTATAAGGAAGGAGGTTGTGATGGTTAATACTGAGTGTCAACTTGATTGCACTGAAGGAGGCAAAGTATTGTTCCTGCGTGTGTTTGTGAGGGTGTTGCCACATTTGAGTCAGTGGACTGGGAAAGGCAGACCCACCCTTAATCTGGATGGGCACAATCTAATCAGCTGCCAGCTCGGCCAGTGGCCAGATTAAAAAGCAGGCAGAAGAATGTGAAAAGGCTAGACTGGCTTAGCCTCCCAGGCTACATCTTTCTCCCGTGCTGGATACTTCCTGCCCTTGAACATCAGACCTCGAGTTCTTCAGCTTTGGGACTTGGACTGGCTTCCTTGCTCCTCAGCCTGCAGACGGCCTGTTGTGGAAACCTGTGATTGCGTGAGTTAATATTCCTTAATAAACTCCCCTATATATGTACATCTATCCTATTAGTTCTGTCCCTCTAGAGAACCCTGACTAAGACAGAGGTATAGTCACAAAATCCTCCACCGAACAACAGTCTCCAGTAACAGACTGTGTGGAAGGGGCAGGGTGGGGAGGAGGGATTCAAAGCTGCTGTCTTTTTACAATTTGGTTTTCTAAACCACATGTGTATGTTGCTTCAATTAAAATAAAAATTGATGTTAAAACAGCCTTTTACAATGTTTTAAAATTGATTTAACTGTATGGCTATTTGGATAATACGGGGCATGCTCTTAACAGGCTTCAGAATAATTTCAGGCAAGTAAAAGGAGATCCATTATTAAGCTCTATAACAGCCTTCACTTTGAAAGATTTCAAAGCAGTAATATTGCTTTTGAAAAAATAAAAAAATTAAATAAATGTGTTTCCCTGGGCCCCTGCTAAGAAATCTGTTAGATCCCTTTGTAAGAAGCATTTCAATACCTGGAATGAAGACAGGGTAATAGGTATTTTTCCTTTACAATGGGACTTGAGAGCAAGAGTGGCCTGTAATTATTCCTGAGTCACAAATGTAACCTAAGTTATTGGAAACAGGTGCTATCTGTTGGTTAGTGAATGACTCCTGCTCTTATTCATACATCAGATCAGATTCAAGTATCAGACTGGGAATTTCACAATCCATATGTGGGGATATTGTGGGAATGAGGCCAGCAGAAGAAGTGTATTATTCTACATACTTACTGATTGCTACTGACCCAACCAACTAAATGAGAAAAGTTTAATTTATAAAGAAACATACATGTTAAAATCAGCTCGTTATTAACATATCTCCTCAATTCTACAACACAGTAAGTCCTCCCTTGTCGTCAATAAGTTCTTGGAAACTGAGACTTTAAGTGAAATGACGTACAGTCACTTCCTTCAACGCTGTTTTGTTATAACATTGATGAGAAAAAAACTGATTTCGCTATACATACATTTAATGTATTGCAGTTTCTAAGAATGTATCAATGATATTAAGTGAGGTCTTACCATATTATCAATTATAATAACAGTATTTTGAGAAAATGCTGTTAAAGGTACACATGGATTGTGAGATGTACTCTTGCAATCCTGAAACTGTTATAACTATGAAAAAATACATCTCAGAAGCAACGATATGCAGTGATAAAACATTTATTGGGAGCACCCTCTGTGCAAAGCACTCTGCCCAGAACTGTTCCATTTGAGACTCCACATGCTGAAGACAGAGAGGAACCTGCTCTCTGTGGAAGACCTTGGTCTGCTACCTACAATGGCACGTGCATGAGGGGCAAGAGGAACAGTCATGTACATGCTTAGGATTAGGGAAAAAATTCAGAAACATTGAACAGTAGGGGAATCCTCATGGTAAGTGGGGCACAATGCCAAAACAGAACAGTAGTAACAAGCCGCAGAGGCAGCGGCAACAAAAATGACCTAAAGGGAGCATCTTTAGCTGTATGACACATCAAAATGAAGCAACTACAACACTATGGGCAGTGACTACATCAAAACACAGCCAAACCTCTTCCCCCATGCTGTACTCCAGGCAGACGGCACTATTTGATCACAGCACAACTTCTGGCTAAGCCCAGAGGAAGACTCAGAATTGCTCTCAAGAAATCAGCAGGGCTGCCCTTATGCAGACATTGCTCTGTGTCCTGGTTGTACTATGCATAGACATCACTCTGGATGGATACTACCAGTTGGTTGGGACTGAGACGCTATAAGAACCCAAATTCTTATCCCAGCCCTCTGATCATGGCAACCACCACAGCCCGACTACCTGCAATGATTTAAAAGTAAATGCAGCAGGTGTGTCTGTCTATGGGGGTGGCCTCACTCAATTCATCTTTAGTGTACAGTGGAGTATATCCTAGGTGCTCTTGAGAGTTCTAATTACAACATGAAATCATGGGTAAATATTTACCCTTCCTTGTTTGGTAATGGAAATGGTCTATAGTGCATTCACAGGCCCTCCTTCCAGTCTCATAAAAAGGGGACGTGAAGAACTATTTATTTTATGTTTAAAAAAATAGTTCTGCAGAAGAGTCAATATCTGCCACTCATCTGACTTAATGTGATGAAAAAACAGTCAATACTCACAGAGCAAAATGTTAATCTAAATTGATAATGTCATTTGCTTAGCACAAGAAGTCCTGCTTTTTATGAGCCACTGTCTTCCTGGAAACTATATCAGTGGGTGACTGGGTCACTGTTAAGCAGACTGTATGAAAATGAGATAATATTCACCTGTCAGACTGACCAAAATAATACTAATATAATTATACTATATATAAATACTAATATATCATACATATATCAAGAATACTAATATAAATAATACTAATACATCCAGTATTAGTAAGGATGGAAAAATGGGCACTTAAATACTGTGGAAGGGAGTCTCTATGAAATTAGGAAATAGCTTTTGGAAAAAACAACTTGGTAACATAACAAAAATTCAAAAGTGCACACTCTTCAGCAATTACACATCTAGACAAATATCTTAAGTATTTATACAAGTCCACAAAAAGGAATGTATAAGAACATCTCACTGTCTTAATACTGAAATAATACTAAAAATTATCCATGGCCTGATAGCCACTGAGTGAGGACTTGTTAAATAAATGGCAGCAAATCTCCTTGCTGTGATACAATGTGACAACTAACAACAACAAGGTAGAGCCAGGAATACTAACCTGGAAGGCTCACTAAGGCATTTTTAAGGTGGAAAAAAGCAAGGTAGATGAACATGTAACTTTAAAAAATTATGTTTCAAAAATGAAAACAAAATATATTTCAATGTATTTCTCAATATACTTACATGGGCTGTAAATCCATTCACAGGATCTAGAATGAGACAGACCAATCACATACAGCGGGTCCCTGAGAGGAGACTCGGGGTGGGGACATGGTATTCAAGAGGTATTTGTGTTGTCTGCATTTTAATGAATATGTACTGATGAATTATTTGGGGAACTGAATTTAAGTATTTTTTTTTTTAAGTTATGCTTTTATTTACCCGCTTTTACTTTTTTCCTTTTCTCAAGCCTTAGAAAATGCATTCTCATTTTCACAAACAGCCATAGTGTTTAAGGGCACATTTTTCTCAGCCTGATTTTCTACCCATCTGTATACAGATGTTCTCTCTCATGCCACCCCACAGACTTGCCTGCATGGGTTAAGTGAGGGCAAGGAACAAGTGAATTTATAATTTTGACAAATAAAAATTAACTGGAGTTGATAAGGAATTACTTATCTAAATACAGGTTAGAAAAATTATTTTTTATTTTAATCTTAACATTTTCCTCTATTTTCCAACTGTATACAATGATCATGAATTAACCATCTAATTGAAAAAAGTCTAAACCAGTGCCCCCTGGGTGGGGGGGCGATTTTGCCCCCCAGGAAGGTTTGGCAATGTCTGGAGACATTTTTGGTTGTCATAACTCATGGAGGGATCGCTACTGGTACCTAATGAGTAGAGACCAGAGATGCTGCTAAACACCCCACAATGCACAGGACAGCCCCATAGCAAAGAATTTATCCATCCCAAAATGTCAACAGGGCCCAAGAACAGAACCTCTAATCTAGACATACCAGTAGTAACATATAACTATTTACATTCCACTTACATATATATATTATGTATATATATACACAATATATAAATATTACATACATTATATAATATATATTATGCATGTACATAATATATATTACATGTATATGTAAAATATACATGTAATATATATAAAATATAATAACATATACACATATATGTAAATATATATATATAAAATATATATATATATATATATATATATATTTTTTTTTTTTTTTTGAGACAGAGTCTTGCTCTGTTGCCCAGGTCGGAGTGCAGTAGCATGATCTCAGCTCACTGCAACCTTCGCCTCCCAGGTTCAAGCGATTCTCCTGCCTCAGCCTCCCAAATAGCTGAGATTAGGCCCACACCCCCATGCCTAATTTTTCTATTTTTACTAGTAGAGACAGGTTTCACCATGACGGCCAGGCTGGTCTCAAACTCCTGATCTCAGGTGATCCACCCGCCCCCACCTCCCAAAGTGCTGGGATTACAGGCATGAGCTACCACGCCTGGCTTTTTTAAAATATTGAACCAAGATGATAGGAGAGGGCCTAGGCATGTACCTGAACAATGAACTGGTAGATCATGACCAAGCTGACCAGCATGGTGATGTTGGCCAACAGGGAGAAGATGGACAGGGCTCGGAGGTTCCTGATGAAAACCAGCAGCACCAGGAAGGGCAGGAAGGAGAGCATGTAGAGTCGCGAGTCCATGGTAGGCGTCAGAATCACCGTCTCATTGTTGTGGCAGTTATTGGTGGTCCCATTGGCCGCTTCTATCACCTAGAATGAGGGGAAGGAAGAAAACGGAAACACCTCTCAAACAACAGAGGCCGGTGGATCCTCTGCTGGAAGAGGTTCCTGAGGAAAGGCTCAGGTGTGTGAACAAGGCCTTTTAGAATCTGTGGCCAGTGAGCCATCTTTAGAGAACTTCACGACTATCATCAGCAACCCAATTGTCTGAGCTAGGTTTGATCATATGTACCTAGGACAGGAGGGTCGACAAGACATGTGGCGGTTTCTCTATGCCCGAGCTCTTTCCATGGGAATCAAATAGAAGACGTAGATCTATGTAAAATATGAAAACTTTAACTCTTTTGTTGACAAAAGCTGATTTGGAAAAAATCCTAAACAAAAACTTCAATCATCTTTTGCCATTCTCGCTCTGGTTTTTTTTTTTTTTTTCTTTTTTAACCAGGTGCCTACCTGTTTAAAGTTGTCAGCCAGAAACACAAAATAGACACAGCAGAATCCCAGCTGGGTGACAATCAGGAAGAAGTCCACAACACGTCTGGAGGTGGGGAAGGAAGGAATACAAAGACTGTTACAATACAAATGCAATGCTCCCAGAAGGGGAGGTGTTTTTTGTTTTTGTTTTTTAATAGATTTAGGGAGTACAAGTGCTGTTTTGTTAAATGGATATACTGCATAGTGGTAGTGCCTGGGCGTTTAGTGTACCCATCACCCAAACAGTGTACATTGTGCCCATTAAGTGTTTTTTTAACAGTGCTTTTCCCCAAGCCATCACAGACCCTTCCTGGCAGTGACAAGGACGAGATGCCCTGGCAGGAGAAGAAACCATGCTAGGTGCCACTGGTCTGGGGCATTGGGAAGAAGGTGAGGGAGGTGCTATCTGTGTGGTTTCCGACGTCCCCTTCCTGGCTTCTCGTCTGGAATGCTGCATGAGGTGAGACACATGCACAGACACCATGACCACTGCCCAGCCCCTTAGCATCCTCTCTACACATCTGCCCACCTATCCCATCTCACACTTTTTTGTTAGTTACAGGGAGCCCTTGACATAAAACACAAGGAAATAGTCCCCTTCACTGTCTCTATAACTTGGATATAAGAACCAACCAAGTCCCACATTAAGGACACAGAAACTGATGTACCAAAAACAGACTGCTGGTTGAACAATAGCAGCTGGTAACAACCTAAAGGATCATCAAAAGCAGAGTGATTAAATTATAGACCGTTCTTAAATGGAACATTACACAGCAGTTAAAAAGAATGTGTTAAATCTCTATGTGCTGATAGAGAAAAACGTCTCAGACGTTTAAGGGGAAAAAGCAAGTTTCCAAACAGTATACATAGTATGGTCAATCTGTGCAAAAAACTTTAAGAACATGTGTATGTTTCTACTTATACAGCAAATTCCAAAAGGCTACCCATGCAACTGTGACCAAAATTTTCTTTCACTTTTTACTTTATGTCCTATCTTGATCAAAACAAAGTTTTTACTATGAGCACGCATTAAAATAGCACACATTTTATTAAAAGGAAGGAAGGAAAGGAGGGAAGGAGGGCGGAAGAAAGGAAGTAGTAAGAAAGAATGGAAGGAAGAATTAACAACCACCCAACTCATGGTGGTCACCTGGCAATCTAGCTTCTCCCAGTTACAGAAAATAATTTGGCCAAAAGAACTATATAATCTGCATCACAGGATAAAGGTGACTATGAATGAAAGTAAGTTTCCTCTATGACAACAAAAAGGAACTTTTCTAGAGAACATAGTTTTAATGTGGTTCTTTTTTTTTTTTTAAGAATTTTTAGCCCTTGATAGTATCAATTTCCTACATTTAAATGTAGAAAACAAACATAATATTTCCCTCCAAACACTGAAGAGTTACCATAACGAGAAATTTGCAAATACTTCCCACCTCCAAACTCATCTCCACACCCTGCTCTAGTTTATCTCACCTTCTCCTGAAGCCTTCTTTGCTCCTATCTCTCATGTGCGTTTCTCATCTGGCACAGCCGACAAGAGAATCTTTAAAGTTCCTCTCTCTCTGAGCACTGAGGGTGTACTCCTAGCTCATGACACTTTCTTCTTATGGGTGTCTCCCACTACTGGTCTCTTATCTTGTTCCCCGGCTTCTCTTCCCACATTTCTTTTTCCTTACACAGACTACAAGCCTCTGGAGGGTAGGAACCACATAATTTACTTCAGGAAATCTTCCCTTCTTACCTAGAACTGTTTTGTTCCATTTATAAGATAGTGCTTAAATACATTTGTTGAACAAATGAGTGAATCAAAAACAATCACTGGTCATAGACCGCCAAAGCTGGAATGGCTCTAGAGACCATTCAGGCCAGGCCCCATGCTTTCCTGATAAGAAAACTAAAACCCAAGGAAAAAAGGGGTTACCCAGCCCCAGGTCACACAGCTTACTACCAGCAGAGCTGAGCCACAGCCCAAGGCAACTGACCCAAACAGCACTCTTTCCACGCTTTACACTGTCTCCCACGTTGCACCTCCCCATCTGAAGGCCTCACACTGGGAGGCCACAGTTGAAAGGAAGGAGGAAATCAGTTACCTTCCCCAGTGTGCGTGGTTCCGGAGCCAGGAGCAGGGGCTGGATTCTAGTCCATACATCACAGTATCACCATAATCCACAAAGGATTTATTCAGCCTGGAAGAGTAGGAGGGAAGAGGAAGGACAGAGCACGTGGATTAGACAATGACAATGACAGAACAAAAAGAGCCACTGAGACCTGGGCCAGTTCCCATCTTTCACCCTGGAGGTACCACTCTGAGTCCTGTATCTCGTGCTTTCAAAGATCAGAAGTATTCAGTCGACAGGATGGTTACTTTTATTATAATTAACAACCATCTGGTAGAATCATTTCAATGGGGTAAATATTACAACGCCCATGAAATTAGAATGTAGTACCCACTGGGCATAAGTAAATTTAACAGATGATAATGAGCCAGAAAAGAACGCAAAAATAACCAGGGAAAGGAAAACGCTGCAATCATAAGCTGCTACCTCCAGCCAGTGTAAAGAATTGAGAGTGGTCTGCATCAGTGCTCATTTTCAGGGTTGATAACAGAACCCAAAAGGACAATCTGTCACTTGAGAGGTGGCTCAGAGGGCTCTCACCTGCGGCAGAAGTGGTGAGCACATTTCACCAGGATACCCATGCAGTGCACGGCCACGATGCCTATGATCAGCAGGCTGATGGGACCCATCTGGGGACAGATATTGCAGGCAAAAGAGAGAGAGAAAAGTAGGTAGAATTAGGAGTGAACCCAATGGATACTCAGTTCACAAAGGATTAAAAAGCTACTAAGGCAGTTTTCAGTGACAAAACTTTGGGCCCAGCATTAGAGAGAGAAACGTGATCATGGAGATTAGCTCTGTGAGATGGGTGTTATCTGAACTTTAGCACATTTTCGAGAGATTTAGTCACGTGGAGAAGAAGGACATAAGATAAGTCTGTTCCAAGACTGGTGCACATCAGCAGAATAGAAGGCTCCTGTGACTGTGGGAAGAGCTGGGCTAAGGGATGTGAGGTGAGACGGGTAAGTTATCTTTACAGCAATGCCAGATCAAGAAAGACTGCACTTAGCTAAGGGCAACCCACATCTCTGAGTCTCTCTTCAACTCCGAAAGAAACCAGAATGGCTTTGGGCAGGCAGTCAACTGGAGGTAAATCACAAAAAGAAGACATAAGATTCTTGCAGTTGGCCATTTAGGAACAGGGCATGGGAGACTGTAGAAAATGGGCAGACATCTGTAACTAACTCATTAGTTCATATTATTGACAGAAACTGCTCGAGCCATCTCAGTACATCCTCTCCACCATGAAGTAAGCTCCATGAGGGCAGGAATATTTAATTCACTGATGTATTCTAAGAGCTTAGAACAGTGCCTAACGCACAGAACACTCTCAATAAATATCTTTAAGTGAATGAATGTCTGAATTCCGCTTTTTGTCAACTGATTTTTTTAAAATGCTTCTCTATTTAAAATGTTTTAAAGCAAGTACATTTTAACAACAACAAAAAGCTACCTCCTAAAATTTGTCACCACTCCTCTCCACTGATGCAGACCCTTACCACGATGCCTGCATTTTTCACCGCCAGAGGGAGTCCCAGGAGTCCTGTGCCAATGTTGCCTTTTAACAGGTGGATCAAGGTCTGGAACCATCTGAAGTGGAAGACAGCCAAGGAAATGATAACCATGACAGTTAACTTTTATTAGGATCTCAGTGCTTATATGCATTATCTTATTTTATTTCCACAACAACCCTGTAAGATTTTATCTTATAGATGATGAAGCAGTTTGCTCAAGGTCACATACCTAGTAAAGGGCTGGGGCAGGATTCAAATTTGGGCAGTCTGACTCCAGAGCTCCCCCTCTTATCCACTGTGCTGTAAGTCTCCACTCTCTGACATTTCTGAGAATCCCTTCTCTCAGAGATTAGACCAGAGGGGTGCTCCAACTCTCTTCAGACACTCTATCCTTTCCAAGTGTATTTGGGTCTGGTTCTAACCACTGAACTGACCACTGTAAAGGCTCAGACCTGGCCAGGCACAGTGGCTCATGCCTATAATCCCACTACTTTGGGAGGCCGAAGCGGTGGATCACCTGAGGTCAGGAGTTCGAGACCAGCCTGGCCAACAAGGCGAAACCCCGTCTCTACTAAAAATACAGAAATTAGCCAGGCATAGCGGCATGTGCCTGTAATCCCAGCTTCTCAGGAGGTTAAGGTAGGAGAATTGCTTGAACCCGGGAGGCAGAGGTTGCAGTGAGTTAAGATCGTGCCACTGTACTCCAGCCTAGGCAATAGAGGGAGACTCCATCTCAAAAAAAAAAAAAGACTCAGATCCCAAAACTGCAACAGAGGATGACAAACCAAACAATGACGGACAAACACTGGTAAGAGAACAGAGGAAATTAAAAAATAATAATAATAATAACAGAAGCCCCAAACCCTGTAACAGAAAGATACAAAGTGAACAGCATAAAAGTCACACCACACCATAAGAGGCCAGAAGTCCCTGATACATTTAGTATTTAAAAAAAAAAAAAAGTCAGGCCAGGTGCAGTGGCTCATGCCTGTAATCCCAGCACTTTGGGAGGCCAAGGCGGGCAGATCATGAGGTCAAGAGATTGAGACTATCCTGGCCAACATGGTGAAACCCCGTCTCTACTAAAAATATAAAAATTAGCTGGGCGTGGTGGCAGGCACCTGTAATCCCAGCTACTCGGGAGGCTGAGGCAGAAGAATCGCTTGAATCCGGGAGGCAGAGGTTGCAGTGAGCCAAGATTGTGCCACTGCACTCCAGCCTGGGTGACAGAGCAAGACTGTCTCAAAAAAAAAAGAAAAAAAAAATCCATTGGTGATCTTGCTCTTTCAATGGATCTTTTACCCATGCAGAATTCCTAACATCATACTTTGGTTGAGTTTACACAGATCTTCCAAATGTTAACATCTTCATTGTATATTAATAATATCAAAAAGTCATATTTGTTAATATCACCACTAATCTCATCAGAAAAGTCTTCAAGTAGAGGGGCTATCAAGCTCATGGTACTGGATACAAGTTGGTTTTTTTTCCTAATTTTGCTTGAAAGCTTGAATTTTATTCTGGGCAACAGATATGTATTATCTATTGTTTTCCTTGAGGTGATGGGCTGATTTCTTTCATTTTCAAGAAAATGTCTTACAAGTACTCAGGTCTGAATGACCTACAGTTTGTTAGTTGTTCTTTCTAGTTCTATGAAAAAAAAAAAAGGCAGCAAGTTTGGTTGACAACTCATATAATCACTCGAGGTCTTTGCCTTAAGACAAGTAACATATTTTGGTACTCATAGAAGTACTTCATGCATACTTCCCATTTTGCCACACAGAATATTAAAGACCTATACTGAAGGGTCTCAAATTTTTAAATATTAGTAATCCTACAGTTTCATCAAAGACATTATTAAGTGCAAAGGGCTTTTTTCTTTGCGCATGTGTGGCAGTGAAAAATACAACGACAACTAGTATAATTTGGTGCCACTGCCTTGATTCGTTCTACAGTGTAATTTTACCCACCATTGCTTCTACATTATAAGTGCAAATATCCACAAGTGAAAAAGCAGATAACATCTTAGTATTATTATGAAGAGAGTTTTAGCCTCATAGACTTCTTGAAATGGTCTTGGGAAGCCCACAAAGTGTGCAGACCACATTTTGCAAATGACTACTCCAGCTCACCTTTAGAGAGCCAGTTTCAGTCTGCTGGTTTCAGTTTGCATGGGGAAGAAGCACGGAGGCTTGATATATATAATGGAACTCAGAGGGGCAACAAGAAGAAAAATCTGCCCAACAGCATAAAATGAGGCTGTCTTCGAAGCAGTCAATAGCTTGGTAACATCAAGTGTTAGTAAATAACCTCACTGAACACACTAAGAAATAATTCACAGGTCAGGCATGGTGCTCATGCCTATAATCCAAGCACTTTGGGAGGCCGAGGCAGGCGGATCACTTGAGCCCAGGTGTTTAAGACTAAGTGGGCAACATAGCAAAACCCTATCTCTACAAAAAAAAAAAAAAAAATACAAAAAGTAGCCAGGAGCATGCCTGTAGTCTCAGCTACTTAGGAAACTAAGGTGGGAGGATCACTTGAGCCCAGGAGATGGAGGTTGCAGTGAGCCATGATTGTGCCAGTGCACTCCAGCCTGGACAACAGAGCAAGACCCTGTCTCAAAAAAATAAAAGGAAGTAACCCATGAAACTCATGGAAGTGTTTGGGGTTCCTATTTGCACCCCCTAACTAGGGGTTTTTGCTGAGCCCTTGACTTCTAGAAGAGCCAGGTGTGTGCATGCATATGTGCAGTAGGTGTAGAAGTACTTCCATGTATTTTGTTCCTTGGCAAACTAGATAAAAGGGTGGGGCAAACCAGAAATATAAAAGGAACCCAGCTCAAAAACTTGTCTCTAACACTTCCGACATATTAAAATATTAATTTAGGTTAAGAAGGTCCTCCAAATCAACCTCTACCTTAATCATACCTGGCATGTTTTCTATATAAATCCTTGCGTGGATCCTATGCCCCAGGCTGGAAGTACTCAACCAGTCCTCTAAGCCCCAGCAAATTACTTTATCTTGTACCACCTGTGATGGGACTGTAATACCTGCCATCAACTACAGATAGGCTTCCCTGGTCACCTACACTGTATCACAACATCAAGGCAGGAAGGGAAACTCGGAACAAAGTATACCCTGGAAAATGTCACAATACAAGCCTGAGGAAGGTATCTTCTGATTTGTTCGATTTCCAAGAAACAAGGACATAATTTTGTCCAAAACCTATGAGCTACTATCCTAAAGTTGCTAGTTGGTAGGTTTTGAGCTTCAGAGATGTCTCTATAAACATAAAAATCCAGACCTCATCTGCTAAATATTGCTTAGACAAGTTGATATCTGAGATCAAAAAGGAGCAAAAACTGCAAAGGAAACTACAGAGAAGGAAGCTTAGAAGTATCTTACGATAACAAGCATGACCTCTGAAGGGAAGCCATCACATGCCATTGGCTGTGTGTGGAGATGCTTCTGCATGGGGGCTGCCAATGCTGATAAGGTTGGAGGAAAGAGGGGCAGGGTGATCCACACTGCTGCCAGCTGTGCTCTAAGCAATCTACCACCAGCTAACTCCCACTGCAGGCTAATGGGGAATCTACAAAAGCATACCCCTGAGAAATAAGCTACAGAAACAGAATCTTAGAGGACTGGTTGAGTACTTCCAGCCTGAGGCATAGAAATCAGCTAGTGGTGGTGACGGGCCAGGAATGTGGACAGACATTCTTCTAGTTCCACCCCAGTTCGCAAGAGAAAATGCCCTGTACCAGCAGACAGTGCAGGCAGAGGGAGCTTCTCCAGTGATGAGCCCAGAAGCTTCCATGGTCCGCTTGGGCAGTCATCAGGAATGGCATAAGTCTAGGACATGAAGGATCTCTCAGTAAGTCACACTCAGTCCACAAGAAAACACAGAAAAGGTAATAGCTAAGCTTGAGGAATAAACAGGACTGCAAAAGCTGAGATGCTGGGACACAGAGAAAAGTCAGAGGTCTGCTGAAATCAGGAGTAGCTGGGAAACTAACTCAATGGAGTAGCAAAACTTCCTCTGAATTTTCTAATTCAAGTGGTGAGCCCCACACAGCCAGCATAGCTTTGTGGTGGAGTCCTCAATTTTTCTTTACATTTGGGGAAAGTGAGACCTGAAGCGGGCCAAACTCAGCCCAAATGAGTCTGGGGTCCCAGTTTCTGGAGACAAGAGATTAAGCCCTCTTTGGAGAATGCAAAGTCTATCTTTCCTTTCCTACCAACCCTGAATTTTTTAAGTGCAGAAGTTAATTCTTCTCTCTTCCCACTTCTTCAGTCAAATGAATACTGATTTGGTGATGGGGCAGAATTCGGGGGGAGACTTTGCAAAGGAAGCTTCCGATTATGCTTGGAAATTATTTGGGGTTCTAGCACAGATGACACACTTTTAAATTAAAAGAATGTCCTCTGTAGAAGCTTTTTTTAAGTCCAAGCTCTCACTTGGCACCAGCCTTGGGGGGCCAACACAGCTGAAAGGAAAAAAGAGTAAGAAACTGCCTAGAGAGTGGCAGCCCAGGAAGGCAAATCTCAGCGCAGTCACTCGCCCAATCTCTTCACTGCTGACCTTCATCTGTAAAGTGGAGGACTGATGAAATTGGGGGGAAAAATAAGTCCAAGGGAGGCTTAGGAACACGAATCCCACCCAGGAGAGGAGAAGGTAACAGCTACTCACGTTGTGCTATTGCTTTGACCAAAGCGCTGGTAGGAGCCCGGGGAGGAGAGGTTGTTGAGGCCTTCCGACGGGCTCTCCTCAGGGCTCACGTCCGTGGAGCTGTAGTCGTGGTAGTCTTCATTCCGAAGTCTCTGCGTGGACATGGCAGCTGGGGGGACAGGGCCAGCATTAAGACCTCCTGCAGCTGGAGCCTTTAGCTCCATATTTGGGGTGGCCTCTGGGGTAGAAGCTGTCATTGTCAGAGTTGCTCACTGTGACAGCTCCACTATGGATTAAGTATGAAAGTGCCTGGTACCAAGGGAAATGGAAAAGTGCAAAGTACACAGAGGCGGGCTGAGTTCACTTGACTTCTGACTCCCATCCTTCCCATTGGTATACGTGGTGCTACACTCATAAATTTCTTAATTTTCCGGAGTACAGCTAGACAAGGCAGAAGTGAGGCACTGCTTGGGAGGAGTGGGGGAAAATGAAAGAGAAGTGCTTCCTGGAATTCCGCATTCCCTATTCCTTAGGTCAGGATTATCTACTCCTTTCTGAGATAATGTCTTGGACCTTGTGCAATAGTTCAATCGTGTGTGTATATATATATATATAAATATCCCATATATATATATATATATATACGTATATACACGTGTATGTATATATATACACGTATACACATATACACACGTATATATATATATGTACAAGCTCTTGGGGGGATGGAAATCTGGGTATTTCTCATCGTATACTCTTTTTCCTCTGCCTTCAATAGAGAACACATTTCACTCAAGAAATCCTCTCTGGGCTGGGTGTGGTGGCTCACGCCTGCAACCCCAGCACTTTGGGAGGCCAAGGCGGGCGGATCACCTGAGGTCCGGAGTTCAAGACCAGCCTGAGTAACATGGAGAAACCCCGTCTCTACTAAAAATACAAAATTAGCCGGGCGTGGTGGTGCATGCCTGTAATCCCAGCTACTCGGGAGGCTGAGGCAGGAGAATCGCTTGAAACCGGGAGGCGGAGGTTGTGGTGAGCCGAGATCGTGCCATTGCACTCCAGCCTGGGCGACAAGAGCGAAACTCCATCTCAAAAAAAAAAACAAACAAACAACAAAAAAAAAGAAAACAGAAATCCCCTCTGGATCATCCAATTCTGCTGAAACTCCCACCAAATCCCAGAGCCACACATGCCGTTCTCTTTCTCTCTGCTGTGACCACAGGCTGATCCTATACTCTCTGGAGGCCACCAGTAACTCTTATACCCTGACCCTGGGACTCCTTTCTTGCTGCCAACCTGAGTACTGAGAAATGGTAGCTGAAAGCAGCTCAGAGGAGGACCAGGAAACTGAAAGGTGCTCACCCTGGCCCTCGTCTCAACATCTCCCATCCACAACTCTTCTTCCTTTTTATTTTTATAGATGTGCTCATTTTTAAAATGGTGAGAGAAAAAAATGTCCTTTCAATGTGTTGGGAGGGTGGTGAGAGTGGTGTCCCCTGGGTGGATTTACTCAGGAATACTATTAATACTACACAAAAGAGAAGAGCAAGGGCTTCTTAAAGATACACAATAAGGACACATTTTGGGAGCGATGTAGGCCCCTAGAATCCTAGAGACCATTGCTAAATGAGCCTTCACAGGTCACTCTAAGCCCCTTACTTTAAAGATGAAGAATCAATGCTAAAAGATGAAGTAACCTGCCCTGCAACAGCTAGGTAGTACCAAGCAGAAAACGTTATCTCCTGACCCCTGTCAGAATCTGAAAACAACCACTCTACAGAGTCCCAGTTGCTATGAGAGAGTATTACAGCACAGTGAAAGAGTCAACTTCCTGCTCTTCAAGAACCAAGTGACAAAAAAAGGGTACATTAATATAAAAAATGACAAAAATCCTCCCGACACTTGGCAGACTGGCACAGCTACTTGCCCGTCAGACTGTCCTCCGGCATGTGGCTGGATGCCCACCTTAAGCCTGGGCACTCTATCTCAGCTACCTTGAGAGGAGACAGGACCTCCAACTGCTGCCACAGCACCCCACCCTGCCCCGACACCCAGCACCACCTGCCAGAGGATGGTGCTCCGCCGAAGGCTCTCCTTAGGTCCAGTGCCAGGGTACTCCTTTGGAAACACCCCAGTCTGGCACCAGAGAGATCCACGGGAGATCGCATTTTCTCTCAACAATTGCAATGTAGGAAGGACCCCCAAGCTATCTCACAAGGGAAGTACCTGGCAAAATGCCAGCAAAGGACCTGGAAATCCCAGAGACGATCCTGCCTAGCTTCATTGCCAGAGCCACTTGGCTAAAAATCTATGAGAGCTTCATTTACTCATGAGCTAGAGGAATTCAAGGACGCCAACCAGCTCTGGGGCAATTAAACTCACTAGAGGGCCGGGAGAAAAAAAAAATCTCTGAAGTATCTTAATACCAGCATTGTAACCTCTTGCTATACAGGTATAAGCTCGTAAATCAGTTTACAGGTATGTCAGGAGGCCCAGGCGCCAAGCCTACCTCTGTCAACAGTTTGCTTAGTACCTGTGAACCATTTTCAAATGTGCAAAAAGCATGGGGCATAAACTAAAATATCTCTCAACTCCCTCTAGCACTAATATTCTAGGTGTCAATGAACATAATTATTTATGCAAACAGCAGCTGAGTGCAGTGTCTCACACCTGTAATCCCAGCATTTGGGGAGGCTGAGGTGGGAGGATCACTTGGGCCCAGGAGTTCAAGACCAGCCTGGGCACCATAGTGAGACCCTGCCTCTACTGAAAAAAAGAAAAAGCTGCCAATTTCTAGTCCCTTCCAACAAACCAAAAGCATCTGAAGATAGAACCTTCCAAGTGAATCTTGTGAGAAAGAAAAGAAACTTTTTATCTGAGGAATCCCTTTAAATTACGGGTCCAGAGAGGCACTAAAATGTGAGAGCAGTCATGTGTCACTCCCCCCTTGAGTTAAATAATTACCTCTTGAAGCCACTTGCTATGTGGGTTCTAGACTAACTGACACCACTAAGTCATAAAATGCTAACACTGGACATCATAACTCATACCCTATAGTCCAACAATGTACAGCCCATCAATAATCCATGCTATTTCTGTAAACTGATGAGAATTCCTGTCAAGTCACTTTGTATCAGTCCTCTCCTTGTTCGCTTTTGCCTTTAAGAATCTGTGGTAACAAAGGCCGAAGGACGCACTCCCCCAGGCAACTTGGAAGTGTGTCCCGGGCAGCTGTCCTCACTTGGTTCAAGTAAACAGTTCAAGTAAACTGTTAAAAATTGCATTTTGTGTCTCAACTTCTTCCTTTAGGTTGACACCTATATATTACTGAAGGTGAAAGGATGGAATACAGGGACTTATTAATTGCCCAATCCTTCCCTAGCAACCGAGAAACCTCTCTGTTGTCTACTTGGTACAGATGTTCAATTTATCTCAAACACTGCAGAGAGACTTCTTTATGTTGTGTATAAAAACTGAAGTTACCCACAGCAGAATATTGCTAAGAAAACTTCTCAACAAGAAGCTGAAATCTATAGATTTAAGGTCCAATAAGCCTGCGGGATATGGAAGATGTGGCTAAGCAACTGCATGCATATTGAAAACAGAAAAAAAAAATTCTGCTTGGGAGTTCTGGTTGATGATAAGCTCAACAGAAGGCAATAATATAATCCAAGATGCCAAATAAACCAACACAATTCTAGGTTGCATTAGGACATGAGAGAATCATGGGTAGACATCGGCTCCATCCATCCCACATGCTAGTAAGTGGACCTCGGCTCCATCCACTCTACAGGCCAGTAAGTGGACATCTGCTCCATCCACTCTACATGCTAGATGTTACACATGGGTACATGTTACACAACTCAGAATTGCCAGATAATGTGTTCTCTTCCAGGCAGCATGCTATAAAGGGGATAATGACAAATTGTGGTATATCCAGGGGTCAGAACTAGGATCAAGAGGGGTAGGAAACCAACTAAATGAGGAATGGTTGAAAGCACTGAGAAGGTTCCACCTAGCAACTTGAGGGGTACAAAAACTGTCTTTAAAAGCCGTCTCTACTAAAAATACAAAAAATTAGCCGGGCGTGGTAGCGGGCGCCTGTAGTCCCAGCTACTCGGGAGGCTGAGGCAGGAGAATGGTGTGAACCCGGGAGGCGGAGCTTGCAGTGAGCCGAGATCGCGCCACTGCACTCCAGCCTGGGCGACAGAGCGAGACTCCGTCTCAAAAAAAAAAAAAAAAAAAAGCTGTCACATGGATTAGACTTGTTATTTGGGGCCTCAAAGGTCAGGCAGGGCTAGGATCAGTACGTGGAGAGTCAAGAGGGCTGATTTTTTGCTAGGTGTAAGGAAGAACTTTCTATCAAAGACAGATCTGTTCCAAATAGAACAGATCACTCTGGGAGAAAGCCTGTTCCCTTATCCCTGAAAAAATCCAAGCAAAAGCCCTTTCTCAGAGCAGTTATGTAAGGATTCAAGCATCAGACAGTGGGCAGAGCCACTCCCCGGAGTTCTTTCTATGGCTCTTTTTGGAAACCAAGGCCTCCTCCTCCTGCTCTCTGTCTGTCCCCATGAGTGCTGGCATCCATGGCCACACTGCCCTTAGGCTCCCTTTGATGAAATCTGATAGCCAAGTCTATTGCTGCAATTGCCAGTTCCCGCCCTATGGGAGATTTTAATAGTACCTGTTAACTGTCTAAATGAGGGTTGTACTATGTGAGAGTTGAAGGCAAGCTTGTCCTTCAGATTACTGAGGACAATAAACAGAACACAAAGTCCAAATCTCCATTAGATATTTAGACTCAGAAGAGTGAGCAACTGAGTAAAAAAAGTCTGCAAGTTTGATGGCCAAAAAAAAAAAAAAAAAAAAAAAATTTAAGTGTACAAACCTTAAAACATTCCTTTTTTTTCCTTATGTAACTATTGTTTTAGCTGTATAAATAGACAAGTGTTGCTCTTCAATCTACAAAATATGCCATTTTTAGATGGGCACTAAAAATGAGCAGGTGGAATCACTTTGTGCAACGGATGCAATATGGAAAATGTATGTGCAAACTGAATTTTTATTTTTAAAAATAAAATAAATTTTATTCTATTTTTAAAAATAAAAATTTGTAGGTGTTAAATTTTTCAGAAGTGGGCAATTTTAAGGGGAATTCTACAGTGATTTTTTTTTTTTAAGGCAAGGCCAGAAATTTTTCTAATAAATTCAAATGCTAATGTTCCCATTTTAACAGCATGGGATTCAGGACTCAGGAGAACATAATCTGGCTGTCATTCTAATCCCAAAGTTGTTTTCTTATTTTGATATAGAATTGAGAAAACTGCATTAGATGATTTCTAAGTACACTTTCACTTCTAAAGTTTCAGGATTCCAATTTCAATTTTTTAGTGACTGGGTTTGTTCAAAATAAAGGAGGATTAAGATCAATAGATGGTAACATATTCTGAAGTTGTACCATCCAGTACAGTAACCACTAGCCATAAATAGCTATCTTACACTTGAAATACACTTGGGTAAAATTGAAATGTGCACACTAGATTTCAATGAACTGGTAACAAAAAAATTGTGAAATATCCCATGAATTAATAATCTTTATACTGATTATATATTGCAATGATAATATCTGGGATATATTGGGTTAAATGAAACATACGTCAAGGAAAAAAAAATAGATTTCTGGGCCCAACTTGATTCCACCTTAGCATTTTATTTTATTTTATTTTATTTATTTATTTTAATTTATTTATTGGAGATGGAGTTTCATTCTTGTTGCCCAGGCTGGAGTGCAGTGGTGCGATCTTGGCTCGCTGCAACCTCCGCCTCCCAGGTTCAAGCAATTCTCCTGTCTTAGCCTCCCGAGTAGCTGGGATTACGGACATGCGCCACCACAACTGGCTAATTTTTTTCTATTTTTAGTAGAGACGGGGTTTCATCATGTTGGCCAGGCTGGTGTCAAACTCTTGACCTCAGGTGGTCCACCCACCTTGGCCTCCCAAAGTGCTGGGATTACAGGCATGAGTCACCATGCCCAGCCTATGTTTTTTTGTTGTTGTTTTTGTCTTTTTGTCTTCTTTTTTTTTTTTTGAGATGGTGTCTCCCTCTGTTGCCCAGGCTGGAGTGCAATGGTGTGATCTTGGCTCACTGCAACCTCCGCCTCCTGGGTTCAAGCGATTCTCCTGCCTCAGCCTCCCGAGTGGCTGGGATTACAGGCGTCCATCACCATGCCCAGATAATTTTTTGTGTTTTTAGTAGAGATGGAGTTTCTCCGTGTTGGCCAGGCTGGTCTCAAACTCTTGACCTCAAGGGATCCACCTGTCTCAGCCTCTCAAAGTGATGGGATTACAGGCAAGAGGCGTTTTATTTTTAACTAGCTTCCTAGGTAATCTTGATTATAGGTAGATTTATATAAAGCACTACAAAAAATATATGATCTTATTATGATAGGTACACCCTAGGCCTCACCTCCTACCAGAATTCACGCATTGGCGCCCCTTGTTTGCAAGCTAAAAGTGTCATCCGTTATTCTGAAACAATTACATTGGTTTGGACTTTGGAACTCAGAGCAGCGGCAAATTCCCCAGATGTATTTTCTCCTCTCTGTCGATGGAATTCTAAAAACATGAACAAAGACACAGACTGTGTTGCTATGTGTGGTCTACAGTGAGGGAAGTAAAATGGTTTGGCTTCTACATAATTTGTTTTTAAAACAGCATCAGATAGAATTCCATCCAACTTACCAGAGCAGAACATTCCATAAATTGAGACTTTTTCCTGTAGGAGTCTGATGCTAGAACAGCTACAGGGCAGCTGCTGACCTCAGCAGGTTCTGCACAAAGCAGCTGCTGAACAGGCAAACACGCACACTTTTACTCCCAACCATGAAGATCACTAAATGTTAGGGCCAGGTATAGCTTTAGAGAAGGTCAAGCTCCAGCTTCCTTCTTAGGGGTCAGAAAACCAGGGCCCACACACAAAGGCTGACTCATCCAGGCCCCAGGATGAGTCAAATCAAAGATTTGAGATGACAGTCCAGCAAACCAGCATCCCAGTCCAGTATTCTTTCTACCACACCTTAAATTATATACCCTCCTTAAAATCTCCCTGCGAACAAAGCTGGCCCCAGAGCCTGGGGCAGGATTAGGTCTGCAGCGGGTATTCTGCATAATAAAAAGCACCTGAGTTTGCAGTCTGGTAGTGTGACTCTGAGCAAGTTAATTCATCTCCCTTTGCCACAGTCTCCTCATCTGAAAGATGTCATTAATAACATCTACATCACAATATTGTTATGAAGATAGGAGGAAAAAATAAATAAATGTTAGATATGTTGCCTGGAACATAATAAACCCTCATTAATGATAGCAATTGTGATTATTACTACAGAGAAGTTCAAGGACAGAAAGTGAGAAAGTTCACTAAACAAAGTCTGCAGTATGGGCTCCATTTAAAACTCTGGATTGTGAAGCCAGGTCCCTACCTTGGAGATGGTGATCTAAGTGACATGAACATCTCAGTAACCCACAGACAGATTTCCTAACTTCATGGAAAAGGAAAGCACAGAGTGGCTTTTCCTACTAGAGATGGTCATTAAGGACTAGCCCTGGGGCCAAGCATGGTGGCTCACATCTGTAATCCCGGCACTTTGGGAGGCCAAGGTGGGAGGACTGCTTGAGCTCAGGAGTTCAAGACCAGCGTGGACAAAATAGTGAGACCTCATCTCCAAAAAAATAATAATAATAAAATAAAATAAATAATAAGTAAAAAAAGAACTGGCCCTGGGTGTCAAGGCTTCCAAGAGAAATATTTTGGGGGATAAAAGAAGAGACAACCCCAAATGCAGCACCGTGTGGTTCCTATTTCAGCCTATTTACAATGCCCCATCCATCGGCCCCCATGCCCATTAAGTAGAGGCTACCTTTATGTGCTCATCACAGTAAGGCCTGGCCAAAGGAGAGAGGTACAGGATTCTTCCAAGGCCTGGGTGGAAGTAAACAGACTCAGTGAGAGCTTCTTCTATGGGAAACAAGAGAAGGCCTGGATGGAAATAAACGGATTCCATGTGAGTTCCTCTATGGGAAAAAGAGAAAAGCTGGCCTAGGTGTGAGTAATGCTAATCAGTCATGCACTTTGGAAGCGGTTATCAGCACCAGGCCAGGAAAAGCAGAAACAGAAGACTATTCACTCATCTGACCTTTGAAGCGATATCAAGCATTTAAAGAACTGAGATACTCACTGGAGGGGAGGTGGTGGTGATAAAAAGAAAGAAAAAGCAGGAGTACTTAATATGAGAATAGTTACCTGAGACAAGGTTATAAATAGAAACAAAGTAATCACAAAACTGGACATCAGCTCCATCCACTCTACATGCCAGTAAGTGGACATCTGCTCCATCCATCCCACATGCTAGTAAGTGGACATCGGCTCCATCCATCCCACATGCTAGTTAAGTGGACACCAGTTCCGTCCATCCCACATGCTAGTAAGTGGACATCTGCTCCATCCACTCTACATGCTAGTAAGTGGACATCTGCTCCATCCACTCTACATGCTAGTAAGTGGACACCTGCCCCATCCATCCCACATGCTAGTAAGTGGACACCGGCTCCGTCCATCCCACATGCTAGTAAGTGGACACCGGCTCCGTCCATCCCACATGCTAGTAAGTGGACATCAGCTCCATCCATCCCACATGCTAGTAAGTGGACATCAGCTCCATCCATCCCACATGCTAGTAAGTGGACATCTGCTCCGTCCACTCTACGTGCTAGTAAGCGGACATCTGCTCCATCCACTTTACATGCTAGTAAGTGGACATCGGCTCCATCCATCCCACATGCTAATAAGTGGACATCTGCTCCATCCACTCTACATGCCAGTAAGTGGACATCGGCTCCATTCATCCCACATGCTAGTAAGCAGACATCTGCTCCATCCACTCTACATGCCACTAAGTGGACACCTGCTCCATCCATCCCACATGCTAGTAATAAGTGGACATCTGCTCCATCCATCCCACATGCTAGTAAGTGGACATCTGCTCCATCCACTCTACATGCTAGTAAGTCCAGTCCTAGAATGTCACAGACTCTTGAGTTGAAAGAAAACTTAAAATTTTGTCTAGTCCAACCCTCTACCCAACAATCTAATTTCATCTACAACATCCCCGAAGTAATTGCCCAGAGACGATTACCTCCAGTGACAGGGAGCTCCGTGCTCAGTGTTCTAATACAGGAGACCACTAATTCTTTGAAAGTTTTTAACACTTACCAAACACCCTTCCCTTATGGCACTTTCATCTATTGGTCCCAGTTGTAGTCTCCAGAATATTATAAAATAAATGGAATCCCTTTTTCTTACACCGCCTTTGGAACAGAGAAAACTCTGAGCACTTCGAACTGCCACAAGAGGAGGCTGAATGAACAGCTACATGCCTTAAAGGGAAAACAAGGACTCCAGAGCAGGCGAATATAAACGATACAATCAGAAAACAAAGGGAGAGGCTTAAAGCTGTTATCAGCACAGCCTCTGCTGCACGTAGCCTCCATCCCCAGACAAACACAAAGTTTGTCCCTTTCCACTTGACTTCAAGAACATTTTTAACGAAAACATGTTCTAAATGTACAAGTAAGTTAATTACTGTAAACGAGGCTCTAGACAAGAGTCAGAAGAGGGCCCTGATCATGTTTAAAATAATAACAGACAGTTAAAAATCATTTTCAGCTGTTAGTATTTAGCTTAGACATAATACAGAGATAGGAAGAAAGAGGAGGAGGATTTTATAGCAACAGAGGAATAAGCAGAGGAAACTGCTTCCTACACAATTAGATTAAGTCTTGTTGCAAGGCTGATACTCAGTGTACACAGCGGGTAAAATCTCTCGGAATAAAAAAACAAACAGACCCTGGTCAGGGGCACTGGCTCACACCCCTGTAATCGCAATACTTTGGGAGGCCAAGGTGGGAGGATCACTTGAGCCCAGGAGTTTGAGATCAGCCTGGGCAGCATAGTGAGACCTCATCTCTATTTAAAAACAAACAAACAAAAAAACAAGCCTAGAAAGATGCACAACATCCAGATCACAGCAGAAGGGGCCCTTAAGAATTCAATTCCATCACTGTCTAGACTGAGAAACCCAAACGCGAGTCACTTAAGGTTGCCAGGTAAGCGGCAGAGCTAGGACAAAATATCCTGATTCCCCAATCTCTGTTCTGTCCATTGCACCATGATGCTATCTTCAGCAAAATTCAAATAACTGCAAAACGTCCATCCAAATAAGCAATCCCAAATCTGACAAGTTACAGAAAAAATAAAGCAAAGGTCTTTACATTCTTCAAGTTAACGTCAGGGCTCTCCACAACCTCGGCTCAGCCACCTATCTTCCCAGAAGCACATTCCGATTCATATTTCATATTTTGGTGTGACTTACATAGAATGCAGGAAGGTTAGAAACCAAACCTACAGAAGGATGAGTTTGCAGAAAAATAATGAACAAACAGGGAACCACACCCAGAGCAAATCCAACCCCAGCGGTGGAAAATGCAGACAGCTAAAAAGGGAGAGGACTAAAAGAGAAAGGGACAGAAAGGAGTGCCTTTTCACAGGTGAAGTTTCCCGCAGGAGGCGGTGTGGCGAAAAGCAAACAGCTGCTGAAGCTTAGGAACATTTGCATTCTAGTCGCAGGTCTCCGGGTCTCCGATTAACTCACTGGATGACCTTAGGCAAGCCCTTACCCCTTCCCGGAGTAAGGGCTCAGTTTCTCCAACTGTCCTAGGAGGGAGCTGCACCAGACGACTTCCCAGCGTCCTTGCAGTTCTGACCCAAAGACCCATTATGAGCCTGTCTCAAGCAGCGCTCCCGCAGCGGGCAAGACATTTGCTGGAAACGGGGAGACCTGTGCGAAGCGTGAAAGACGCCCTAGATGGTCCTTTGGGTTATCTTCACCATCTACCCCAGTTTCCCCCACCTGTCAGTCAAACAGGACGGTGAGATCCCAACCCCACGAGGTCAAGGGAGATAGCGCGAGGGACAAGGGATCTCCACGCTTCGCCCAATTCACAGAGGGGTGTCAGCGTCGTACCGCAGCTGCGGCCCGGGGACGCCAAGGAGTCGCGGACCCACAGCCCGGGCGGATCCAGTGCCTGACCTGGAGCATCTGCCACGCCGGGAGGAAGGCGAGGTGGGTCCTGCCCAAGGCGGCGAGCGCCGCCAGCCGGCAGCCAGTGGAGGAACTCACTGCTCGGGTTCTGGCCCCAGCTCCGGCTCCGGCTCTGGCTTCAGCACAGCCCACCCTTCCCGGGTTCAGTATCAGCCCCTCGCCATCCTCCTTTGCTGCCCGGCAGCCGCTTCCGGACCTCATCACGTGATCCCACCGCCCACGCCAGAGGCCGAGGTCACGTGCTCCCTTGAGCGGCCGCGCCTTTTTTCTCACTGAGCTCCGGAGCTCTGCTCCACAGCACCACCTGGCGACCTATTACTGCCACTGCTGGAAGGACTATGTTCCTGGGCGCTGGGGACTGCGAATAGGAACTGAACAGGGCATTGATCTTGGGCATGGGGCAGAGTCCAGTCGAAGAGCACTGTCCCTTGAGTTGTGGGTTTGTGAAATATTGCTAATTTTTACACTGGCTGTATTTTCTTTTACACATCTCGATGAGTTTGTATTGCTTTTATAATAAGAAATATGCATATTTTTAAAACTTCCAATTTTTCAGAAGCATACACAAACTATCATCTGTGGTTGCTACTGGAAATGGAACTGTGGGGTAGGGCAACATTATCTTTTAATACATTCAAATTTTTAAAGTAACATTTTTAAATGGATGGCAACATTTCAGTATTGTATTATCTAGGCTTCTCCTTTTACCTCCTTGTTACAGACTTTTCCTTTAACAATTATGTAACAAATAGGCTTCAAGTCAAAAACTGTCACAAGAGACAGAGAAGATCATTGTTTAATAATAAAGGGGTCAATTCATCAAGAAGACACAACTGTAAATATATATGCATGCAAAATTGGAGCACCTAAATACATACAACTAATATTAATGGCCATGAAGGGAGAAATAGATAGCAACACAATAGTAGGAGGGTCAATATCCCACTTTCAACAATGGATAGAGCAACTAGAGAGAAAATAAGGAAATAATGAACTTGAATTGCACTTTAAACCAAATGAACCTAACAGATATATACAGAACTTTCCATTCAACAGAAACAGAATACACATTTTTTCTCTAACACACTTGAAACATTCTCTAGAATAGACCATATGCTAGTCCAAAAAACAAGCCTTAAATTTAAGAAGATTGAAATCATATTAATATTCTTTCAGACCATAATAATATGAAGCTAGAAATCAATGACAGGAGGAATCTTGGAAAATTCACAAATATGTGGAAATTAAACAACACGCTTTTTTTTTTCTTTGAGACAAAGTTGCGCTCTTATTGCCCCATCTGGAGTGCAGTGGTGCAATCTTGGCTCACTGCAACCTCTGCCTCCTGGATTCAAGCGATTCTCCTGTCTCAGCCTCCCAAGTAGCTGGGATTACAGGCACGTGCCACCACGCGCGACTAATTTTGTATTTTTAGTAGAGACGAGGTTCACCATGTTGGTCAGGCTGGTCTCAAACTCCTGACCTCAGGTGATCTGCCCACCTCGGCCTCCCAAAGTGCTGAGATTATAGGTGTGAGCCACCATACCCAGTCCTATGCTTCGAAACAACCAGTGGGTCAAAGATGAAATCAAACGGGAAATTTAAAAAATATTTTCAGACAATTGACAATGGAAACATAACATACCAAAGCTTATGGAATGCAGCAAAAGTAGTTCTAAGAGAGAAGTTTATAGCAATAAATGCCTACATTAAAAGAGAAGAAAGAGACCAATTAAATAGTTTAACATTATACCTCAGGAAACTGGAAAAAGAAGAGCTCACAAGACCCAAAGTTAAAAGAAGAAAAGAAAGAGCAGAACAGAAATAAATCAAATAGACAACAGAAAAAAAAACAGACAAAATCAATAAAACTAGAGTTGATTTTTTGGAAAAAATTAAATTGACGTACCCTTTGCTAGTCTAAGAAAAAAAAGAAGACTAATAAAATAAAAAATGAAAGTGAAGACACTACAACAGAAGCTTCAGAAATAAAAAGAATCATATGGGGCTATTGTGAACAATTATTTGCCAACATATTGGATAACCCAGATGAAATGGAGAAATCCCTAGAAAAATACAACCTACCAAGATTGAAATCAGGAAGAAATGGAAAGCCTGAACAGACTAATAACAAATAAAGAGATTGAAGATGAGACAGGGACTATCTGACTTTCTGGTTTTCTGTTTAAACTTCCCAACAAGACCAGATGGCTTCACAGCTGACTTCTACCAAACATTCAAAGAAGAAGGTTTGTTACTAAACTCTTCCAAAAAATGGAGCTAGAGGGAATACTTCCAAACACATTTTATGAGGCCAGCATCACCTTGATACCTAAGCCAGAGAAAGACGCCACAAGAAAAGAAAATTACAGGCTGATTTCGCTAATGCACATTGGTACAAAATCCTCAATAAAATATTTGCAAACAGAATTCAACAACAATCAAAAAAATTATGTATCATGACCAAGTGGGATTTATCCCTGGCATGCAAGGCTGGTTTAACATACACTAATCAAGCAATATAATACATCATATTAACAGGATGAAAAATGAAAACCACATGGTTATCTCAATTGGCCTGGCAAAAGCATTTGACAAAGTCCAACATCTTTTCCTTCCCTAACCCCCACCCCAACATACCTTCTTGATAAAAAAAAACTCTCAATAGTTTAGGTATAGAAAGAACATTCCTCAACATAATAAGGTCGTTTATGAAAAACACACAGTTAACATTTTAATTAATAGGGAAAAACTGAAAGCTTTTCCACCAAGATCCAGTAGCAGTCAAGGATACCCACCCTCACCACTTCTATTCAACATAGTACTGGAAGTACTAGCAAGAGCAATCAGCCAAAAAAGCAAAAGAAAGAAAGGCATCCAAATCAGAAAGAAAAAAGTAAAATTATCTTTATCTGCAGGTGACATCATCCTATATGTAGAAAACCCCAAAGATTAAAAAAATACTGTTATAATTCATGAATTTAGTAAATTTTCAGGACATAAAAATCAACATACATGACTGGGCTCAGTGGCTCATGCCTGTAATCCCAGCACTTTGGGAGGCCAGGGCAGTGGGTCACCTGAGGTCAGGAGTTCAAGACTAGCTTGGCCAACATGGTGAAACCCTGTCTCTACTAAAAATACAAAAGTCAGCCCAGCATGGTGGTGCATGCCTGTAGTCCAAGCTACTTGAGAGGCTGAGGCAGGAGAATTGTTTGAACCTGGGAGGCGGAGGTTGCAGTGAGCTGAGATCGCGCCCCTTCAGCCTGGGTGACAGAGTGAGACTCCATCTCAAAAAAAAATTAAAAAATCAATAATATTTTTATACACAAATAATTACCTACCTAAAAAAGAAATAAAGAGAATGATTTTATTTGTGATAGCATTAAAAAATACTCAATAATCAATTTAACCAAGGACATGAATAGGGTGTACACTGAAAACTATAAAACAATGATTAAATAAATTGAAGAAGACACAAATAAATGAAAAGATATCCCATGCACATGGATCAGAAGAATTAACATTGTGGAAATGTCCATACTATCCAAAGCAATATACAGATTCAATGCAATCCCTATCAAAATCCCAACGGCATTCTTTACTGAGATATAAGAAACAATCCTAAAATTTGCATGAGACCACAAAAGACCCTGAATAGTCAAGACAATTCTGAAAAAGAAAAACAAACTGGATGCATCACACTTCCCGATTCAAAATTATATTACAAAGATATAGTAATCCAAACAGTATAGTACTGGCACAAAAACAGATATGATAGACCAATGGAACACAATAGACAGCCCAGAAATAAATTCAAACATATATGGTCAACTAATTTTAAAGAAGGGCATCAAGAGAACACAATAGGGAAAAGACAGTCTCCTCAATAAACGGTGCTGAGAAAACTGGTTTTTATGTGAGAAAGAATGAAATTGGATGTTTATCTTACACCGTACATAAAAATCAACTCAAAGTGGATAAAAGGCCTAAATGTAAGATCTGAAACTACAAAACTCCTAGAAGAGAACATAGGGGAAATGCTCCTGGACACTGGCCTTGGCAATGATTTTTTTGGATATCAGACCAAAAGCTCAGATTACAAAAGCAAAAATAAATAAATAGGACTATATCAAACTAAGAAGCTTCTGCACAGCAAAGGAAGTAATCAACAAAGTGTAACGGCAGCTTATGAATTGGAAAACATATATGCAAACCCTATGTCTAATAAGCGCTTAATATCCAAAATGTATCAAAAACTCATATAACTCAGCAATAGAAAAACAACCCAATTTAAAAATGGGCAAAGGACCTGAATAAACATTTCTCCAAAGAAGAAATAAAAATGCTCAGTGAGCATATGAAAAAGTGTTCAACATCATTAATCATCAGGGAGATGCAAACCAAAATCATTATTAGATATCACCTCATACATGTTAGGTTGGATATTATCAAAAAAGTCAAAAGACAACAAATATTGGTGAGGATGTCGAGAAAAGGGAATTCTAGTACACTGTTGGTGGGACTGTAGACTGGTGCAGCCATTATAGAAAACAGTGTAAAAGTTTCTTTTTTTAAAAAAAACAGTATAAAGGTTTCTAAAGAAATTAAAAATAGAACTACCATATGACCCATCAATCCCCTTTCTGGACATATACTCGAAGGAAATGAAATCACCACCCCATAAAGATATCTGCATGCCCATATTCATTGTAGCTTTATTCACAACAGCCAAGATATAGAAACAATCCAAGTGTCTATTGACAGCAGAATGAATAAAGAAACTGTGGTATATATACAAACATTTTTCTAAAAAAAGAAAGGAGTCCTGCCATTTGCCACAACATGGATGAAACTAGAGGACATCATGCTAAGTGAAATAAGCCAGACACAGAAAGAAAAAATATTGCATGCTCTCATTTATATGTGGAATCTTTTTTTTCAAGTCAAATACACAGAGATAGAGAATCAAACAGTGGTGACCAGGGCCCAGGAGTGCTGGAGGAAGGAAGTGGAGAAATGCAGCTGAGAGGATACAGAGTAGCAGATATGTAGGATCCATAAGTCTAGAGCTCAAAGGGACAACATAAGGACTATAGGTTATACAATTGTACTGTACAAACAGTAGAACAGAGGTTACTAGTAGCTGAGCAGGGTGGAAGGAAAGGATAGGGAGAGATTTGTTAAAGGATACAAAATTACAGCTAGATAGGAATCAGTTCTATAGCTCTGTAGGATGAGCATAGGTAACAATAATATAGGATGTATTTTCACATAGCTAGAAGAGGGGTTTTGAATGTTCTGAACACAAAGAAATAAGCGTTTGAGATGATGGATATGTTAATTACCCTGATGTAATCGCTGTACATTGTATACATCACTGTGTACCTCATAAATATGTATAGTTATGTCAATTAAAAATAACTTTTTAAAAATAAAAAAATCACACTGTATTTAAAATTCCTGTGAAATGAGTAAATTTTAGCTGCTCTTGCCACAAAAAAAGAAACCCCAAATAATGGGTAGCTATGTGAAATGATGGAGATGGCAATTCACTTCACTATAGTTACAATTTTACTATCTATAAGTATCGCATAACATCATGTTGTAAATGCTAAATATACACAAAAACATTTATTTGAAAAATAATTTTAAAACAAAAATTATGTTCTCAACCAAAAAATACTATTAATACAGCTACAAAATGGATGTCAAAATAATTATACATGGATAAATCAAAAAATAATTATGCTAAGCAAAAGACATTAGGAAAATATTTCATTTATATAATATTCTAGAAAATACAAAATAATATAAAGTAATGGAAAACACACATCAGCCATTGCCTGGGAATGCGGAGGAGAGACAGGAGAGAGGGTGATTATAAAGCGGCATGAGGAAATTTTCAAGGGGACAAATTTGTTCACCATCTTGATTGTGATGATTTCACAGGTGAATATATATGTTGAAACTTATCAAGTTACATGCTTTAAATACGTGCAGTTTATTGTATGTCAATTATACTTCAATAAAAGCATTAAGATATTCAGTAAAAAATTATATAATAGGTTAATATATTCTTAAAAGTTAGACAATATAGAAATATATAAATTGAAAATCCCCTTTCCCCAAATTCACTCCCCTCTCCAAAGGTTTACAGGTGCCAGCATGTGTGTATTGTTCTCCAAACCCTATATTATACAATTACAGAAATATATACGTATGTATAGAAATATACAGGTTTATGGTGTTTAAATTTAAAATCATAAATACCAGTACTTATTGTTTTGCTTAAGACTTTTACTCTTCACAATTTTCTCATTTCTCCCCCTTCTACCCACTTGTCTCCTCCACTTTCAATATGTGCAGAACTGTTTTTTCATAGGTCTTCTTAGAAGCTCTGATGTATATTAACATACATTAAATACAACCTCTTGTTTATAGCACATACTATTAAAAACTTTGCCTTAGAGTATGCACTCCATTTCTTTGCCTTTTGTTTCATTTTTTTAGAAATGAGGTCTTGCTATGTTGCCCATATTGGAGTGATCATAGCACACTACAGCCTCAAACTCCTGGGCTCAAGTGATCTCCCATCTCAGCCTCCTGAGTAGTTGGGACTACAGGTGCATGCCACTGCACATCACTAGCATGCATTCTGTTTTAACCATTGTGCCAGTGCTTCTCAAAGTGTGGTCCCTAGACCAGCATCACTTGGGAACTTGCAGAAATGCAAATTCTGGGTCCTACTCTACACCTACTGCATCAGAAACCCTGGGTTGTGGGGGCACAGCAATCTGCATTTTGAAAAGCCCTCTAGGAGAGTCTGATGCTCTCTCGTGCTGTAGAACCACTGCCCTAAAGGACAAGCTTCTGAAGGGACTTGCTTTAGCCATGTGCTAACATGTTGTGTGGCCAGCCCCTGGTAGTGACTTATTTCTGCTGAGTGGTAGAAAGTAATTTGAAGGTTTTTTTCCCCTTATTTCCCAGCTGGGTGACCTGGGCAAGACTTTTGATCTCCATTTGGTTTCATCATCAGGAAAGTGAGATTGAAAACCCTCCTTGGTTCTGCCTCCCTCCCTGGATTGCTGGAAAAGCAGATGAGATCAGGCGCTTAAAGGTTCTATATATAACATGAGGGGTTATGCTGCTGAGAGATATTAGGGAAATTAATCCTTTTGCATTCCATAGTCTTGAGGAATGTAACTTCCTTTTTTTTTTTTTAACCACTCTACCCATCCCAAGCCCTCAAGAGTACCAGCCCCTGAGATGTCATAGCAACCCTACCCAGTGTCCCCTTTCCCTCTCCTTCTCTCTTTTTGAGACCCCTTGGGTCCCTGATCCATCCTCCTGAACATTCTGTGACTGATGGCCCTACTGTCAAGCCTCTCTCTGTTAAGACCACTGCCCCCTACAGTGGCTTCTAACTCTAAAATTCTCAGGTTTTGTATCTTAAAAAATAAAAAATAAAGAAAATATGCTTACAATGTGCCAGGAACTAGTTTCTTGTTGATTGAGTCAATCCTCGTGGCAGCCCTATGAGGCATTTAGGAGATGCTGTAGGTGCCCTTCCTGTATCTCCTTTACCAGAGCTGCAGCCCCATCCCTAGCTGCGGTGAGTGTTGCCTGCTACACTGTAAAGCATGCTACACTGTTACGTAGGGATACAAAAGGCCTACCTACTTTTGTCACTATACAGAGAGCAATGCCGTTATTCACACTCATGAAACTCCTGTGGGTGGTCTGGGTAATTCTTCGCTGTAGTATAAGCATTCATCAGCATTATGATTTCAATATTTGGCAACCCAATCACAACAAAATTCAAGAATTTATTAAGTGGCACAAGTGCTGAAAAATGAATTTGAAAATTCCTTAACTTTGGAGTGGAAATTAGAAAAAATAAAATTCCTATAAAGAAGACCAAACACCATCAGATATGACATGCTGGTGCCTTAGGAGGGTGTCTCCTATAAAGTAAATTAGCACTGGAGTGGAACAGATGAAAAACAGCCACTGAAGCAAGAAATCATCAGCTCAAGTACATAGGAAAAGTGCTGGGGCCAGATCAATACAACTGGAATGTGCCTCAGGCCATGCTATTGTTTTAAACATTTCTTTTTCTTTTTTTTTTTTCTTTTCTTTTTTTTTTGAGATGGAGTCTCACTCTGTTGCCCTGGCTGGAGTGCAGTGGCATGATCTCAGCTCACTGCCACCTCCACCTTCCGAGTTCAAGCAATTCTCCTGCTTCAGCCTCCCAAGTAGCTGGACCTACAGGCACACACCACCACGCCTGGCAAATTTTTGTATTTTTAGTAGAGATGGGATTTGACCATGTTGGCCAGGATGGTCTTGATCTCCTGACATCATGATCTGCCCACCTTGGCTTCCCAAAGTGCTGGGATTACGGGAGTGAGCCACCATGTCCAGCCTGTTTTACACATTTCTTATTGTGATTTTTTGATGATTTGAAAGGAGGTAATTATGATATAATATGGTTTGGCTTTGTGTCCCCACCCAAATCTCATCTCGAACTGTAATCCCCATGTGTCAAGGGAGGGGCCTGGGTGGCAAGTGATTGGATCATTAGTGGTTTCCCCCATGCTGTTCTAGTGATACTGAGGGAGTTCTCAGATCTGATGGTTTAAAAGTGGCAGTTTCCCCTGCACTCTCTCTCTCTCTCTCTCCTGCTGCCATGTAAGACGTGCCTGCTTCCCCTTCACCTTCTGCCATGACTGTAAGTTTCCTGAGGCCTCCCAGCCATGTAGAACTGTGAATCAATTCAACCTCCTTTCTTCATAAATGATCCAGCCTCGGGTAGTATAGCAGTGTAAGAACAAACTAATACAGTGTTAGAACGAACTAATACCCAATAAAACATTATATCAATAGTATTTTTGTGGTAAATGAAATATGTTTAAAGAAAAAAAATGTGGCAAAGGTAATAGATGCATGCACTCTGAGGACTCAGAAAAAAATGTTGCAAGTAATTCAAAATTCTGTCCTGTGATTAAACAAGACTGCTCTGCCACCAATGCCAGGTCTCTGGTGCCTGGGAGAGTGCATGAGAGATGGTGAATTTTGCAGTGACAGAGACCTGCAGAGCATATGTCAAAGGATGCCAGAGAACACCTCTGCCTGACAACCTGCAGGCAGGATCACAATGACAGGAGTGTCAGAGCACATGTATGAGACCCAAGTACACTCCTCTTCTTGGAACAAAATGCTGCTCACACAGGAGCTCAACAAAAGAACAAGCTTTAAACACATTATATTGCTTTAACATAAGGAAGACTTTCCCAATCATGTGCAGTGGCCAATGGTGTACCATGAATGAGTTATAGGGGGTGCTGAGTGCCAGGTGGGTCCTAAGGTAGCTAGAGCACCTGAGGTGTTTTTTTTTTTAATCTCTAGTTAAGAACAGCCTGTTCTTTGATCTCAAGGACATATAAAGTGTTATTTCCTTCATGTTATGTGAAAAAGATTGGGAAGCACTGGGTAAGTAGGGTGTTCATATAATTTATTTGTTCAAGTGGAGACACTTTTAAGAATAAAAAGGCTGTGTTAACATTTCACCAGAACAACGGGCACACAGTGAAATTGTCCCAGGTAAAGTGGAATGTATGGTGTGGTAGGCAGAGTAACAGCTCCCAAAGACGTTAATTAATCTCGGGAACTTGTTACCTTAGATAGCAAAAGGGACTTTGCTGATGTGATGAAGTTAAGGATCTCGAGGTGAAATGACTATGCTGGATTATCTGGGTGGTCCTAGTATAAATCACAAGGTTTTTTAATAGGAGGGAGGCAGGAGGGTCAGAGAGGAGAGAAGTTTCTATTCTACTGGCTTTAAAGATGGAGGAAGACGCCATGAGCCAAGGAAACGCAGGAGGCCTCTAGAAGCTGGAAAAAGCAAGGAAACAGATTCTACCCTACAGCCTCCAGAAGAACACAGCCTTGTCACACCTTGATTTTAGGACCTCTGACTTCTAGAACTATAAGAGAATACATTTGCATTGTTCTAATCTACTAAATTGTGGTAATTTGTTATAGCAGCAACAGGAAATGAATATTATTTATAATCTAAAATAAATGTAGCTTTATGTTTATATCATTATTAAAGTTATGAAGGTAAGCAATAAAGAACTAAAACAGTAAAATAATTATATTGAGAAGTAAAGTACGAGAATTTAAGAGGTACAAATTTTCACCTAATATAATGTTGATCAATTGAGAAATATCATTATAGCTATATTGTATAGAGAAATGAAGAACTAAAGAACTAAAACAAACCACTGGTTTTACTACACTTGATCTTAGCCAAAAGACTAAGAAGCAATCAAACCACTGATTAAAAAACAGAAAGATAGTCCTAAAAAGAGCAGCTTTAGATAGAGTAAGTCAGATAAGGAGACTATAGCTTTTCATTATAAATTCTTTGGTTAAAATAAATCATAGTTTAAACATGAGCATTTTTAAAGATGTGAATATTAATTGTTAAAGTAAGATTGTGTTAGGGGACAACTTCAAGAGCTTATTGGGCTCAGGTTCTCCAAAGCTGTAGCCCCTTTCTACCTAAATTGTGTTCATGGCTTCCACCCAACTCAGAGCCTCCCCTAAACTCTTACTCAGCCAGCAGCTTCCTTGCTGTCAGTCTTGGCACAAGATAGGGCCAACTAGTAGATCCTTCTGAAACAAGGCAAGAAAAGACACCATTGAAAGGAATAGTTCCAGGGTTGGGCCCAGGCGGATGAAGAGCTCTGGAGCAAACCCCCAAAGCCCCATCTGTAGGGTGGGCAGACCTCAGTGTTACCTCACAATGGGAACAAAGGGCCTGGGAGTGCTCAGATGAGAGGAGAACCACCCATTGCCACTGAAAAAGTGAGGATGTAGGAGCCAAAAAAAAAGTCTGAGACCAGCCCTGCCACTTACTAGCAGGTCCCGTCAGTTTGGGCTTCTGTTTCTCACCAATGAAATGAATAGGAGAAGTTCAGCTCTCAGATCTTGCAACTCTGAGAGTCCTTTTCCCAGCTTCAGCTACCTTTCTCCTACCAAACGTGACTGGATAGTCCTAGGACATATATAATGTATCATTATATATGATACTGTGGCTTTAGGGTTTAGAATTTATTTGAGATGGTCTATGGCAATTCATTCATTTTACTCATTGGAAACTGAGCCTCAGAGAGACAGAGGCATTTGTTCAAGGTTACACTTTACAACCAGCTTGAGAATCTGTGGGTTCTCCTGTGACCACTCACATAGACCCTAAGATTCCTTGGTCACAATTTGCCATATGGTTGTGTGAGAACCTGTGACCCCTCACTTAGACCCTTGGAGTCCTTGATCATAATTTGCCATAGGAAGGTGCAGAATGGTGGATATGGTGGGGTGGCCCTCAACATCCACTCCAACCACCCTTCAATCTGCCTTTCAGTACTGTAGAGGCTAGAAAGAGTAGAATACATGCTGTATTATCTCATTAATATAAAGTTCAAGAGCAGGCAAAACTAATTTATGGTGACAAAAATCTAGACAGTGGTTATTGGGTATGTGAGGGAGGTGATGTTTGACTGCAAACAAGCAAAAAGAAACTTTCTGGGTAAGTTGCACCAGTGTATTCATTTGTCAAAACTCATTCAACTGTACACTTAAGATCTGTGCATTTTATTGTATATAAACTACACTTTAAAAATTTCAAGTAACTACCTTAGAGGGATGTTCATATATGAATAGGCAATTCATATATTGCCTATTACATAGTAGGTGCTCAATAAACAGTAGTAGCAGGGGCACTAGTAATAATTATTGATATTAATATTAATATATTGGCTTTCTTTTGGTAAAATTTGCCTGCTAAATCTTTCCTATCCCTTTTACTTTAAACTTTCTGCATTCTTATGTTTTAGATATGTCTTTCATAAATATTATTTTGATATTTTCAAAATTATTCTATTTATTGTATTAATAATTACAGATATATTTATAGTCATATTTACCTTGTTATTTTATTCTATATCTTCCACCTATTATGTTTTTTCTCCTTTACTGAGTTTCTTTTAGATTAATTTTCCCTTATTTTATTTTGTTTTATTCTCTAGTAATTTGGAACTTAAAGACTTTATTTCTATTCTCTAGCCATACCCTAGTAATTTTAACATGTATAAATTAATAAAGTATTAACAAAAAGTTAAGCAATATCTTTAGTCACTGCAGAAAATATAGGCACTTAAAAAAATCTCTATTCACTGCATTCCATTTTTTATAATAATAATGTCACATATTTTAAGTTTCTTTTCCTTATGCTCCATAATACTTTATTATTAGAATCAAGATTTACCCATACATTTACCTCTCTTGGGTTCTTTATTTCCTTTTGCATCTCAGATCTTCTTCTGAATATGGACTTTAAATTTTCCTTTAGTGAAGTTCTCTCCAATTTCTTTTGTTTGAAAATGTCTTCATTTTGCACTTAACAGATAGTTTATATCCTCTCAGCATATTGAGGTGATCATTCCAGTACCTTGTGGCTTCCACTGCTGTTAAGAAAACAGCTGACAGACTGACTGCAAATCTTTTCTTTTCCTTTTGAAATTTCTTTTACACTGCAACCCTTTTGAATGTAACACTTTTCACCAATCTGGCTGACTTTAGATCCCTTTAAAGTTCTGAAGTTTCACTATAAAGTGTCCAGATACGTGTGTCCTTTATTTATCCTGCTTGGAATTCACTGGGTCTCTTGAATCTGTGGGTTGGTGTCTTTCATCATTTCTGGACAATTCTCAGCCATTATCTTTTCAAATATTTATTCTACCATATTCCCTCTTAACTTTTCTTCTGCGAGTCTGATTTGATGTTGCCTTAGTCAGTTTGGGCTGCTATAACATATTACCATAGGCTGGGTGACTTAAACAACAAACATTTATTTCTCACAGTTCCGGAGACCGAAAAGTCCAAGATCAAGTTGCCAGCCGATCCTGTGTCTGGTGAGAGCTCACTTCCTGGCTTCCATGTGGCTGTCTTCTCATTGTATCCTCACATGGCAAAGAGCAGAGAGGACACAAACTCTCTCATGTCTCTTATTTCAGAGCACTAATTCTGGGCTCTACCTCATGACCTAATTACCTCCCAGAGATCCCCCTTCTTAATACCATCACACTGAGGGTTAGGATTTCAATACACAGTCCATGACAGATGTAGGATATATTTAGGTCTTTCATTCTATTCTCTATTTTCCCTCACTTTTCTTTTAGATTTTTCATCCCTTGGTCTCTGTGGACTATATTATGAATAATACCTTTCCCAGATCTAGTTCTGATTCACTAATTCTGTCTTCACTGTGCATAATCTCCTATCAAGCCCATCCATTTCAACTAAAATTAACTCAACTAAATTTTTAAAATTCAATTAATATTCAGTTTTAAATTTCAACTATTATAATTCTATTTTCTAGAAGTTTTATTTAATTAACTTTCCATTTCACCTGATTACTCTTCAGAGTATCTTTCTCCTTGTACATATCTTCCAGTACATTTTTTTCTGTTACTAAATATGTTAAAAAGAGCTACTTTTCGTTTGTATCATACATTTCTCTTTTGCAAAGTTCTTGTGCTATATTTAAATTTTCTCTTGTTTTGCTGTTTCTTGGAATTTTACTTACATAAATTCTTTAAGATCTGAAATGAAGGTGAGTCCCTCCTGAAAGACTTTGTATTTGCTTCTGCCAGCAGCTGGCAACTATCAGTCTAGGTTCTTGTGAACTACATTCTGGGCTGGAGGTATTCTGGACCACCATGGTAGATGAAGTAGACTGTGGAACAGAGTGAAACTTGAATTCTCATTCCACATTTTAGCCACAATTTTACTCCATCCTCTGGGCACTAGGTTCAGGACAGTCACTTTTTTTCCAAGTCCCTTGATTGGGAGGTAGGGAAGGAATAGGGTGGGGGTGGGATATTGATTTATTTCCAGTTCACTCTTACTCTGAGGAAGAGGTCCTCAGCTCCGGAATTTGTCTCATGCCCCATAAGGCCATGATATTAAAGCTCAACTTCACTGGGTTGAGCAAATACCCGTGGGAGTGAAGCTGTAGCTGCATTCCACTCAGGTCTCAGAGTTCCTGTCTTCACCTGGCTGAGTGAGTACTCACCTAGAAATTCCTTGCTCTCTTGATCTCCCCTCAATATTATTAAGAATTTTTTTAAAATATGTTATTCAGGCCGGGCGTGGTGGCTCAGGCCTGTAATCCCAGCACTTTGGAAGGCCAAGGCGGGCGGATCACCTGAGGTCAGGAGTTTGAGACCAGCCTGGACAACATGGTGAAACCCTGTCTCTACTAAAAACACACACAAAAAAAAACAGCTGGATGTGGTGGTGGGTGCCTGTAATCCTAGCTACTTGGGAGGCTGAGGCAGGAGAATCTCTTGAACCAGGGAAGCAGAGGTTGCGGTGAGCCAATGGCCTGCCATTGCATTCCAGCCTGGGCAACAAGAGTGAAACTCCGTCTCAAAAAAAAAAAAAAAAAAAAAAAAAAAAAAAAAATATATATATATATATATATATATATATATATATATATATATATATGTTATTCAGAAGTTTTAGTTATTTTCAGCAGGAAAGCCAACCTGGTTACCTAGCCTGTCATATTACCATGGTAATAATTATAATGAGTATTTTATTTTGAAAATTATAAACTGGAATCCCAGAATCACAATGCTTTATTGAGTATGTTCATTTTCTACCTCCATGTAACAAACTGCCACAAACTCAGTAGCTTCACATAACACATATTTATTATCTCACCATTTCTTTAGGTCAGAAGTCCAGGTATGGCTTTCACTGGGTCCTCTGCTTAGGATTTCATAAGGCTGCAATTACAGTGTTTCCAGGCTGTATTCTATATGTAGAAGTGACTGGGGAAGCATTTTCTTCCAAGCTCATTCAAGTTCTTGGCAGTAATAGAACTAAGGGCTCAGGCTTCTTGCTGTGTGACTGCTTTTTGCTTCTACTTCCTGAATTCCTTGAAATGTGGCCACCTCCATCTTCAAGCCATCAAACCCTTCTCATGCTGCTGGTCTCTCTGGCCTCCCTTTCTGCCCAACCAGAGAAAATTGCATTTAAAGAGTTCATCTGGTTGGGTCAAGCCCACCTGGATAGCTTCCTAGCTTCCACATCTTAAGGTCAACTGACTTGAGACTTTAATGACATCTGCAAATCCCCTTCACAGCATTACCTAGATTAGTGTTTAATTGAATAACCAGGGGATAAGAGTTTTGGGGATCTGAAAGCAAGGGGTAGAAAGGATGCCTACCCTCTCCTGACCCTGTGATGTGAATATGAGGGGGGTGAGGAAAAAAGACACTTCTCTCAGAGGCCTGCAAAAACAGCAGTGACCTCACGGGGAGCCACCTTTGAGTGGGAGCAAGAAGGTGGGGAAGACAGTGCAATGCAAGGGATTTTCCTTGTTCTCGGGGAAAGCTTTGCTGACCGCCTTTGCAAGAGCAACTGCTTTTGTTATACACTCATGCCTCTTTTCATTTTCCTTCAAAGTGCTTTATCACTGTTGAATTTTTAAAAACTTATTTATGAGAAACTATGATTAATATTTATAATTTCCAAGTTCATCGCCTCCAGGGACTGCAGTACCTGGAACTGTTTCATTCCCGGCACCCATCAAAGTGCCTGGCCTGTGATATTCAGTCATTTGGCAGAAAAAAAGAAAGAAAAGAAGAGATTGTCAGAGCAACTGTGAGGGCCTCTGTGTGTGCGGTGGAGAAGCCCATTTATCCATCCATTCATGCTTTTGGCCATTCATTCTTCCTAAGCTGCCGAGTCTGTGCCACTCTGGGCAAGGAGGGTAAAGCTGTATTTAAGCTCCTGAACTTATTAAGGCCCAAGAGCTGAGATCATATTTTGCAGCTCCTGCATGCCAAAGCTATTCTTGCTCACAGCCTCTGCCAAAGCCATGTGTATTAGTTCATTTTCACGCTGCTCATAAAGACACACTCGAGACTGGGTAATTTATACAGGAAAAAGGGTTTAATGGACTTACAGTTCCACGTGGCTGGGAAGGCCCCACAGTCATGGCGGAAGGTAAAAGGCAGTTTCACATGGTGGCAGAGAAGAAGGTTTGTGCAGGGAGACTCCCTTTTTTAAAACTATCCAATCTCATGAGACTTATTCACTATCACGTGAATAGCACAGGAAAGACCCACCCCCATGATTCAATTACCTATCACCGGGTCCCTCCTACAACACATGGGAATTGTGGGAGTTATAATTCAAGATGAGATTTGGGTGGGGGCACAACCAAACCATATCACCATGGCTGCTCCACACCCCTCACATGCCCAATACGTGGAGCTAAACAGTGAGGTATCCACCTGCCTGGGCCTGTGGGTGCCTCCACCAGCTGCCAGTCCCTGGATGATGCAGCCCAAAGAATACCCTGCCAGCCCCGAGGGAGGGTTCAGCAACTCCTCCACCCGGAGCTCCTGCTGCCAGGACAGGGCCAGCAGGACCTCGTAAGTGTCCTTTGCTCCACAGAAGCTTCTGGGCTTGAGACCTTGCACCTGAAAACTTTTGTGGAATTTTTCTTCTTTCTAGTAATCCAAAGAGCTAAATCTGTGCTCTCCTGTAGTTCTTGACAGACAAGCAAAGAGGTGTAGAGAAGTTGTGTTAGTAGCAAAAATAATGCTCCATGAAGTGATGCTTTGAATCCTAAGCATAACTCCTTAGAGGCGCATTCATTCAACATTCAACACCTGGGAACTGTGGAACTAAAGCAATGAACACAACATACCATTTGGGTCCCTGCAGCTAAGGATCTCACAGCCTAGGGAGGAAGATATGTACACACAGAAGTGAAATTCCAGGGAGTGAACTCAGTGTTCTACAAGGATTCAGAAAAGGAAGGTGTTATTTCCAGATGGTGAAAATGGGCAAGGCTTTGTGTTAGAGGAGCCAAGACTGATCTAGTCCTTGGAGAAATGATGTTGCCAGTGAGGATACCCAAAAAGCATTATCTACCTCCACTGAAGAAGATAGATCAAGCTTTATCCAGCAGAATAGTAACAATGGTATTGATTTCAGACAATAAGCATCAACTGAAATAATCCATGCAACAAACAACACAGTACCTGGCACACAGTAACTGTTCAGTAAAGGGTTAGCTAATTCTACGGACAGGCACGGTGGCTCATGCCTGTAATCCCAGCACTTTGGGAGGCCAAGGCAGGTGGATCATGAGGTCAGGAGTTCAAGACCAGCCTGACCAACATGGTGAAACCCCATCTCTACTAAAAATACAAAAAAATTTAGCCAGGCATGGTGGCGGGCACCTGTAATCCCAGCTACTCAGGAGGCTGAGGCAGAGAATTGCTTGAACCCAGGAGGCGGAGGTTGCAGTCAGCCGAGGTCACGCTACTGCAGCCTGGGTGACTGAGTGAGGCTCAGTCTCAAAAAAAAAAAAAAATTAGCCAGGTGTGGTGGCGCACACCTGTAATCCCAGCTACTCGGGAGGCTGAGGCAGGAGAATTGTTTGAACCCAGGAGATGGAGGTTGCACTGAGTCAAGATCATGCCCCTGCACTCCAGCCTGGGTAACAGAGCAAGACTCCGTCTCAGAAAAAAAAAAAAAAAAAAGTTTAGCTAATTCTAGCCTGACTCAGACTAGCTGCCCGGATGGTGAGAAACCCAAAGGCAATGACCAGGCCTTATTTACCTCTATATCCTCCTAATACAGAGCCTGAGCACAAGGAGCTCAGTAAAGGTTTGCAAAATGAATGCATGAACAAAAAAGGGATCTTCTATATCAATCTCTTAAATTACACAGGAGGGAAGATCTTTTTTGAGAATGAGTATCGTTGAATCTTGGAATGGGTTTCTGAAGAAGTCTATGTTATTGCCAAAGGTCTTCTAAGAAGATAAAATGGTCATCTGTCCTTGAAGGTCTAAGAGGCCAGCCTGCTTGAGGTCTGTTTCTACGTGTGTTCAAGCATTGGCTGTAGTAGGAAAAAGTCAAGCATTTTATGAGAGGAAGAGAATGTTGAGCTAAATGGCTTCTAAGGATGCAGGATAACATGTGGCTAAGACACAGAGAAACACTCAGATTCCAGTCCCAGTTTTGCTATTCCTATATTAGTTGTGTGACCTTGAGCAGGCTGTCCCCATTCCTGAGCCCAAACCTTTTAAAATCATAGGTAACAATGATAGACTGGATTAAGAAAATGTGGCACATATACACCATGGAATACTATGCAGCCATAAAAAATGATGAATTCATGTCCTTTGTAGGGACATGGATGAAACTGGAAACCATCATTCTCAGCAAACTATCGCAAGGACAAAAAAGCAAACACTGTTATGTTCTCACTCATAGGTGGGAATTGAACAATGAGAACACATGGATACAGGAAGGGGAACATCACACTCCAGGGACTGTTGTGGGGTGGGGGGAGGGGGGAGGGATAGCATTAGGAGATATACCTAATGCTAAATGACAATTTAATGGGTGCAGCACACCAACATGGCACATGTATACATATGTAACAAACATGCACATGTACCCTAAAACTTAAAGTATAATAATAAAAAAAATTTTAAAAAATAAAAATAAAAAAATAAAATCATAGGTAAAATGCTGAGAAGAATATCCACTGCTTAGAGTTGTTGAGAGAGTGAAATGAGGCCATAGGGATAAGCATCATGCAACTAGCACTTATACCTGGGATTTCTCCCTACAATCCTGTGCAGAGCAGTATCTCAAACTGGTTCAGGCATTCTGTGGATTTTCTGCCTATTCCAGAGATGTGACAGCTTTACCCATTTCACAAGGAGCTTTCTCCTCAAGAGCTCAAAATGCAGCAGACGGACGGCCAGGTGCAGTGGCTCACGCCTATAATCCCAGGACTTTGGGAGGCCAAGGTGGGCGGATCACCTGAAGTCAGGAGTTCGAGACCAGCCTGGCCAACATGGTGAAACCCCGTCTCTACTAAAAATACAAAAATTAGCTGGGTGTGATGGCGCATGCCTGTCATCCCAGCTACTCAGGAGGTTGAGGCAGGAGAATTGCTCAAACCCAGGAGACAGAGGTTGCAGTGAGCCGAGATCATGCCACTGCACTCCAGTCTGGGCAACAGAGTGAGACTCGGTCTAAAAAAAAAAAGTCAGCAGAGTAAGGAAATGCTCTTTATCACTTGTCTCCAGGATGCTCCCCAAGTGAAGGCCAGGCTGCCTGTTCTGGAACCTTGGATGCAATGAGATCCATAGTTGGCAACGGTGCCAAGAGAACAAAGAAGAACAATGCATCTGAGAGAGCCACTGTGACACCTAGAGCTCACTTCTGCATGGCCAGCTAGGGCCTGGAGATGCAGCCAGGGGAATGAGTTGGGAGCTAGGCCACCCCTTGCTCCTCCCAGGATTGCCTCCCTCAGTAAAAACACCTGGTTTTTGAAGACTGCTTTTTTTCTGCTGAGGGACAATATCATGAGGTCACAGAAATTGCAAGTGAGACAACACCATGGAGGTCATCTCATCCTGTACACCCCTGCCTCCTATCAGTCAGGATTTAGAGTAGAAAACATACTACTTGAGGCAGAAAAATATCAGAAATATATTTAGGAATGGTAATTAAAGGCTTACATAGCCATTAGAAAGATTGGAGGAGAGAATTCCAGGCTGGACTTCCCAGAAACATGTCTCTGGAGTTGCCGCCAGGGAGAGCCACCACCTCCACCACAATCGGGAGGCTGAAGCCTGAGTCCCTGGGGGACCGGGGTCAGGAGCACGAGGCTGTAGCTGTGTCCCAGGGATCTGCTGGTGCTGCTGCTGCAGTGGCCTCTGGACACCCATTTTGACCTTCCTATTTTCTATCTAGAACTGTAGCTTCCAGGAGTCTGGGAGATGTAACTGTTCACTCTCCAGCCTCTGCAGTAGAGGAACGCACACCAAAATAATGTAACTGTCCTTCAACCCTATCCCACATCCCTCCATCTCTGTCTGAATACCCTGAGTGGCAGGGAGCTCGCCTTATGTTGGAGAGATCTGAGTGCTGTGATTAGGGTGAAAGTTGCTGCACAGGGGTCCCCACTGGAACGCATGGCACTGTCTCCCCCTCGCCCCAGTGACAGCACTTCCGAGAGGGGCAGGGTGTGAGTATGTATGGCCATCCTAGTTTCCAAGAAGTCCTTTCAGGCTCTACTCCTAAGACATAGTTTCCTGGCCCCTGACAACTTAACTCACCTCTGAACAGGTTTCAGTCTGACAAAACTCTTAACAAAGTGAAAAATAAGGAACTAAGCCCCAAAAGGCAAATGAACCCCACAGGGAGCTGCGACTCAGGACAGAAAGTGTGACACATGGTGGTTGCCAGAACAGGTGCAAATAGTCCCTGTCACCCTCTGCTGGTGGAGAAGCAATTGAAACAGCTCCCTGGGGGTAATTTGCCGATGTCTCTCAAAACTCTAAAAGCACTTACCCTTGACCCACTCACTATCTCCACTTCTGAGAATGTATCCAACAGACAAGCCCTCATGTATATATAATGTGTATATGTGTATGTGTAATATGTATAATATATCCACAATTATTCATTTCAGCTTGGCTGAGAGTGGCAAAAGACTGAAGCAACCACATATAGGGGGCTGGCTAAATAAGCCATGATACTGTGGGGTAAAGAAAGAGAGATCAGACTGTTACTGTGTCTATGTAGAAAAAAGAAGACATAAAAAACTCCATTTTGTTCATGTACTAAGAAAAATTCTTCTGCCTTGAGATGCTGTTCATCTGTACCTGTAGCCCCAACCCTGTGCTCGCAGAACCATGTGCTGTGTTGACTCAAGGTTTAATGGATTTAGGGCTGTGCAGGATGTGCTTTGTTAAAAATGTGTTTGCAGGCAGTATGCTTGGTAAAAGTCATCGCCATTCTCCAGTCTCGAGTACCCAGGGACAAAATGCGCTGCGGAAGGCCGCAGGGACCTCTGCCCAAGAAAGCCTGGGTATGGTCCAAGGTTTCTCCCCACTGAGACAGCCTGAGATATGGCCTCGTGGGAAGGGAAAGACCTGACCATCCCCCAGCCCGACACCCATAAAGGGTCTGTGCTGAGGAGGATTAGTGAAAGAGGAAGGCCTCTTTGCAGTTAAGAGGAAGGCATCTGTCTCCTGCTCATCCCTGGGAATGGAATGTCTCGGTGTTTAACACCCGATCATATGTTCTATTTACTGAGATAGGAGAAAACTGCCTTATGGCTGGAGGTGAGACATGCTGGTGGCAATACTGCTCTTTACTGCACTGAGATGTTTGTGTAAAGTCAAACATAAACCTGGCCTACGTGCACATCAAGGCACAGCACCTTTCCTTAAACTTATTTATGACACAGAGACCTTTGCTCACGTTTTCCTGTTGACCCTCTCCCCACCATTATCCTATAGTCCTGCTACATCCCCCTCACCGAGATAGGAGAGATAGTGATCAATAAATACTGAGGGAACTCAGAGACCAGTGCTGGCGCAGGTCCTCCATATGCTGAGCACCGGTCCCCTGGGCCCACTGTTCTTTCTCTATACTTTGTCTCTGTGTCTTATTTCTTTTCTCAGTCTCTCGTCCCACCTGATGAGAAACACCCACAGGTGTGGAGGGGCTGGCCCCCTTCAGACACAACCAACAGAATAGCATGCAGTTGTTAAAATGAAGAATGAACACATCTATTGTGCACTGATATGCACAACATCCCTCCTTAAAAAAATAAGGGTAGAAGTGAGTTTAATACTGCAAAGAAAAGTATGTGTGTATGGACATAGGTATAGATAGATAGATAGATAGATAGATAGATAGATAGATAGAGGGAGAGAGAGAGGGACTATCTCTGGAAGGATACATGAGAAACTATTAACAGTGATTGCTTCCAGAAAGGGGAATTGGGACTTCAGGGGTCACAGGAGGGAAGATTTACTTTTTATTCTATAAACTTTTAAAATATTTATATTTTTACCATGTATAATATCACTTATTCTGGTAAACTATGTATCTATTTAAAAATAACTAGGCCTTATAGTCCAAATACGGCCTGTGTTCTGAAGAGAAAAGTCAGGCTGTGAATTTCGTTTCTAGATAACATTTTTTGTAAATACAGACTTGGGACACGATGGGTTTTATTTTTGTTTCAGTCATTTACCTAATTAATTTATTCACTCATCATCCATCCATCCATCCATCCATCCACTCATCCACCAACCTGTCCATCCATCTACCCATCCATCCATCCATTGGTCCCCCCACATTCACACAGTGACTCTCTACACTGGGTATTTGCAAGAAGCCTGTCTGCCAGCTCTTCCCCAGGCAGTTGGCTCTGGGGCCAAGGTCAGCAGTGGCCAGCCTCTCTCTTGCCTTCCTTCTCTTCCTCCCTAGGTGGTTGCAAACCCTGATCTACATAGTAAAAGGCAACATTGACTTGCAGCTCCTGAGCCTGCCCCAACCATGAAGAATGTGGGCATCTTGGTAAGAGGGGCTGGGAGTGGTCCTGACAGCGGCGCGGGGCGGGGCGCCGGGGCGTGGAATGTGGGGTGGGGATGTCTTTGGTGATCGTACATTTGCCTGAAAGCAAACCTCACCTGAGTGACATGGGACACAGTTTGACATCAAGTGTCCTTGTGACCATTTCTCTCTCAGGAGTCCCCATTAACAGGTTGACTCTGCTGCACAACTTGGGATCAGAAAGTCTGAGTTCACCCCAGCTCTGCTGCTTGTAAGCCAGGTGAGCTTATGTGAGCCTTAGCCCTTTTTTTGTTGTTTATTTTTTAACAGCTTTGTTGAGGTATCCTTTATACACCATATAATTTATTCATTTTTAGTGTACAACTCAATGAATTTTCAGTAAATTTACAAAGTTGTGCAACCATCACCACAATCTAATTTTAGAACAAATTGCATTGCCCCTAAAAACTTTCTGTTTATTTACAGTCACTCCCTCTCTAGCTCTTTTGAGCCTCAGTTTCCTCACTTGTAAAATGGGAATTGACAGCTTAGTTATTAGAAAGATTAAATTAAACAATTTTGTAAGATTATTTTGTAAACTTTAGAATACTCGACAATCAAATGGTTTCTATTATTATTATTATTTATTAATGATTATTCTCATCTCATTTATTCCCTAGGCCAGAGGATCATACCTGGGTCTTAGGAATTCCATAAGACTCATGAAATTGTAGGCAAAGTCTAGTGATTAATATCTGCTCTTTTTCTGGGAGATAAATTTATTTCATGCAAAATGAGTCTGTGACAAAACAAAAAAAGCAGACAAGGTTATACATGTCTCTAGACTGTCATGTGGAGTGATAACCCTTTTCTTCCCTTTTGACTTGGAAGTCCATCTTGTCTTCCCTTCCTACCTTCTTAGCTTCGCTTGTCTGCCTTCTTAGCTCTGGAGATCAGTTTTGTCCCTAAAACCTGTCCTCTGCCTTTCTTCCTCCAGCATCACTGAAACCCCCATCCCTTCGCCTTCTCTGAAGTTGCTGCACACTTTGGGTTCCATCATTGTTCTCTGTGATATTAGAGGTGACTGGGAGAGTCTCCATGTTCAAACCCATGTCCTGTCCAACATAATGTACTTTTATTGCCAGACTCTCCACTCTCCACACCCAGGCAATGAGAGGCTGTTTCTGCAGAGTGGTTGAGAGGGAGGGTGGCATAGGCAGCCCCGCCTGCCATGGTGTCTTATTGCCCATTCATGTGAGGCGACTTGTACATTTGTACCAATATTATCAAATGGCAGAGTTCTTAGTCTTCCCGTGTACATTTCTTAAATATTCAAGGTTTTTGTTTTGTTTGTTTGTTTTTTAATAGATCGTATTTTTTCTAGTAGTTTTAGGTTCACAGCAAAATTAAGAGGAAGGTACAGAGATTTCCCATATACCCTCTCCCTACACACACTCACTGCCTCTCCCATTATCAACATCCACTACCACAGTAGTACATTTGTTGTATCAGGGAAGCTACCTTGACACAGCATTATCACCCAAAGTCCTTAGTTTACATTAGGGTTCACTTTTGGTGTTGCACATTCTATGTTTTTTGGACAAATATACAATGGCATGTGTCCACCATTATAGTATCATACAAAGTACTTTCACTGCCCTAAAAATCCTCTGTGCTTCATCTGTTCATCTCTCTCTCCCACAACCCCTGGCCACCACTGATTTTGTTTACTGTCTCCATAGCTTTGACTTTTCCGGAGTGTCATATAGTTGAAATAAGCAATATGCAGCCTTTTCAGATTGGTTTCTTTCACTTAGCAATATGCATTTAAGGCTCCTCCATGTCTTTTTATGACTTGATAGCTCATTTCTTCTTAGTGCTAAATAATACTCCATTGTTCCTGTGTGTCATTGTTTATTTATCCATTCACTTACCGAAGGACATTTTGTTTGCTTCCAAGTTTTGGCAATTATGAATAAAGCTGCTATTAACATTCACATGCAGGGTTTTTTGTGGGTGTAAATTTTCAACTCATTTGGGTAAATACCAAGGAATGCAATTGCTAGATCATACGGTAAGAGTATATTTCATTTTGTAAGAAACTGCCAAACTATCTTCCAAAGTGGCTGTACCATTTTGCATTCCCGAACCAGCAACAAATGAAAGTTCCTGCTGCTTTACATTCTCACCAGCATTTGGTATTATCAGTATTTTGGATTTTGATTGTTCTAATAGGTTTGTAGTGGTAGCTCATTGTAGTATGGATTTGCAGTTCTCTGGTGACATATGATGTGGAGCATCTTTTCATATGCTTATTTGCCATCTTCTTTGGTGAGGTGTCTGTTCAGGTCTTTTGTCTATTTTTGTGTTGTGTGTGGGGAGTGGAGTGGGGCACAGGGTCTCACTCTGTTGCCCAGAATGGAGTGCAGTGATGCCATCTCAGCTCACTGCAACCTCTGCCTCCCTTGTTCAAGCGATTCTCCTGCCTCAGCCTTCCAAGTAGCTGGGATTACAGACACGTGCCACTACTACCCAGCTACTTTTTGTATTTTTAGTAGAGACGGGGCTTCACTATGTTGGCCAGGCTATTATTATTATTATTTTTAGATGGAGTCTCTTTCTGTCACCCAGACTCAAGTGTAGTGGCGTGATCATAACTCATTGCAGCCTCAAACTCCTGGACTCAAGCAATCCTCCCACCTCAGCCTCCCAAGTAGCTGGGACTACAGGCAGGCACCACCATGCCCAGCTAATTTTTTAAATATTTTTAAGAGGCAGGGTCTTTCTATGTTGCCCAGGCTGGTCTTGAAGGAAGACTGAATACTCTGCCGTTTCAGAGGTTCCTGCCTCCACTTCCCAAAGTGCTGGGATTGCAGGCATGAGCCACTGTTCCAGGCCCTTTTGTCCATTTTTTAATCTGATTGTTTCTTTTCTTATCTTTGAGTTTGAAGAGGAATAACAGCCCTTCATCCCACGTCTTTTACAAATACTTTTTCCCAGCTTATCGCTTGTCTTCTTATTCTCTTAACAAATCTATTTTTGTCCTATGTTTTTCATTCTAACATACCTCTTCAACTCTCTTCCTTCTGCCCACATCCCATCTCCAGCTGGTTCTTGTCAGCCTGTTGGTAACATGCCTCCTGGCCATGCACCGTGTGGGTGTCCTGGTGAAATGTGCCTGCACTTTCACCACAGGTGAGAGCCTCTAAGTCCCTTTGCAAACACAACTTTCTTTGCTTTACTCCCCAGCATGTTTTTCCCACTCTCCTGCTATCTGTGTTCATGCACCTGCCAGAATAAGGCCTCTTGATCACACCCCACCAGCCACAAGCTGGCTCTGTTTTTTTCCTGCAGTTTCCATCACAAAAGTGGTGTCCTTTTTTCCACTTTCTACACAGTTTAAAAAATAACATGAAACATGCTTTTAAAAACTCTACAAGACAGCCGGGCGCGGTGGCTCACACCTGTAATCCCAGCACTTTGGGAGGCTGAGGCGGGTGGATCACAAGGTTAAGAGATTGAGACCATCCTGGCTAACATGGTGAAACCCTGTCTCTACTAAAAATACAAAAAATTAGCTGGGCATGGTGGCACATGGCTGTAGTCCCAGCTACTCAGGAAGCTGAGGCAAGAGAATCCCTTGAACCCAGGAGGCAGAGGTTGCAGTGAGCCAAGGTCACACCACTGCACTCCAGAGCCTGGGTGACAGAGTGAGACTCTATCTAAAACAACAACAACAAAAAAAAAAAAAGAAAGAAAGAAAAAGAAAAAGAAAAAACTCTACAAGATTTGCCTGGCGTGGTGGCTCATGTCTGTATTCCCAGCACTTTGGGAGGCTGAGGTGGGTGGATCACTTGAGCACAGGAGTGGAGTCCAACCTGGGCACCATGCTGAAACCCCATCTCTACAAAAAAATACAAGAACTAGCTGAGTGTGGTGGCTCATGCCTGTATTTCCAGCTACTCGGGAGGCTGAGATGAGGGGATTTCTTGAGCTCAGGAGGTGGAGGTTGCAGTGAGCCAAGATCATGCCACCACACTCCAGCCTGGGCAACAGAGCCAGACCTTGAAAAAAAAAAAGAAGAAAGAGAAAGAAAAAGAAGGAAAGAAAGGGAGGAAGGAAGGAAGGAAGGAAGGAAGGAAGGAAGGAAGGAAGGAGAGAAAGGGCGTGGTGGCTCACGCCTATAATCCCAGCACTTTGGGAGGCCGAGGCGGGTGGATCACGAGGTCAGGAGATCGAGACCATCCTGGCTAACACGGTGAAACCCCGTCTCTACTAAAAATACAAAAAAAAATTAGCTGAGTGTGGTGGCGGGCGCCTGTAGTCCCAGCTACTTGGGAGGCTGAGGCAGGAGAATGGCGTGAACCTGGGAGAAGGAGCTTGCAATGCACAGAGATCGTGCCACTGCACTCCAGCCTGGGCAACAGAGCGAGACTCTGTCAAAAAAAAAAAAGAAAGAAAGAGAAAGAAAGAAAGGAAAAACTACAAGATTTCTTAAAAAATAATCCCTTTTACATTTATTATTTATAAATATATTTTAAAAGGTCTGGACTTAATCACTCCAAACTATTAAAAGAAGTGGTGAGGAGAACTACATTGGGATGAGGCAGGGGAGGATACGTATAGGGACATTCCTTTCTTACTTTATAGACTTCTGTACTGTTTGACTTTTTATAATAGGTACTATTACTGCTATATTTTTAAATGAAGTTGGGAAAATAAGCACATTCCCTCTCATTTCCTGAAATTCTGATGCACTCTTAGGATTATGAGCTCCTGCGCTCCTGGTAAAAATCATTACTCCAAGGGGCGGCATGCACGATCATCCCCATCATTAGCAGGAAGACCAGCAGTGTGCATGGTCTCTGGGAAGCAGCAGCGTGTCATAGGAAAATCACTGTTATGGGAGTCAGGAGGCCTAGGGTCAGGTCCTGACTCTGTCCTCAGCTCACTGTGTGGCTTCGGAAAAGTGCCCTGCCCGCCATGGGCCAAAGTGACCCAAGGCATTCAGTGAATGCATGGGACTCATTAATTCATTTGACTGACAGCTCCAGAAGGATGGAGCCCTGCCTATTTTATTCACTGACATGGACCCTAGGGCCTTGTATAACTCCAACACTCAGTAGCCATTCAATACTTGTTCAACGAGTTGGCACATGATTTTTGGAGCCCTTCAGGGAAATGAGGGAGGCTCAGTGGGCACCAGTGGGTATTGGCACCTACCACTTCTGCCAAATTTCCTACTATACATCTTTCCATTCAGCCTTGTACTAGGAAAAGATCTACCTTTCTCTCTCCCTATGTTATACTTCTGAACCTAACAAAGTATCCTGCTCTCCCCCACACTCAATAAGCCCTTGATGGACTATGGAGATACTGCAATGCAGTGCTAGAGGCCAGCCCCCATGCCTGGCTCCCTGACCACGCCCACTGGGGGAGGTATCTTGTCCTCTCCTTGCCTGGGATGGGGAAGGATGGCAGATCCCGTTGAGGTCCCACAAATCCTGTAGTCCAATGTTGATATCTGTCCCTCTGGAAATACAGTTATAATTAATTTTAATACTTTCAGATATCCTAAAGAGTTGTTCTCAAAGTTGATCCCCAGTCCAGCTGCATCAGCACCACCTGGGAACTTATTAGAAATGCAAATACTTCAGCCCCACCCAGACATACTGATCAGAAACTCTGAGGATGGGACCCAGAAATCTGTATTTTAACAAGACATCCAGATGATTCTAATTCACACAAAAGTTTGAGAACCACTGCCCTAAAGAAACTACTTTACATTCTTGACAACAAAGGCAGCTTCTGGGGGCAAATTAATATATCAGAAATTGCTATTTCCTGTGCTTAGCTTGAGAATTTTCTTTAGTCCTAAAATCAAGACAGCCATGGGACAATAATCAAGACTCAAGATGTGTACATGGGTCCAGATGGATTCCTACAGGGACACAGCCAGAGCTGCTAGAATCCAACCTACTAAAAGTACAGATGGGGAAATCAGGCCCTAAAGACAGAAAGCAACCTTCCCAGGGGTACACAGCAAATCATGATAGGGTTGAAAATTGTGATCTGAGCAAAGGTGTTATCGAAATATGGTCAACTCCTGGTGTATTAGTCCATTTTCACACTGCTATAAAAAACTGCCCAAGACTGGATAATTTATAAAGGAAAGAGATTTAATTGACTCACAGTTCAGCATGGTTTGGGAAGCCTCAGGAAACATACAATCACAGCAGAAGGCGAAGAAGAAACCAGGCACTTTCTTCATGTAGAGGCAGGCAGGAGAAGTGCCAAGTTAAGGGGTAAATAGCCCCTTATAAAACCATCAGATCTCATGAGAACCCACTCATTATCACAAGAACAGCATGGGGGAAATGGCCCCCATTATTCAATTACCTCTACCGGGTCTCTCCCTTGACATGCGGTGATTATGGGGACTACAGGGTTTACAACTCAGGATGAGATCTGGGTTGGGACACAAAGCCTAACCATATCATTCCACCCTGGCCCTTCCCAAATTTCATGTCCCTTTCACATTTCAAAACCAATCATGCCCTCCCTAGAGTCTCCCAAAGTCTTAATTTATTCCATCATTAACCCAAAAGCCTAAGTCCAAAGTCTCATCTAAGACAAAGCAAGTCTTTTCCACCTATGAGAGCCTGTAAAATCAAAAACAAGTTAGTTACTTCCTAGACACAATGGTGGTACAGACATTGGGTAAATACACTGATTCCAAATGGGAGAAATTGGCCAAACAAAGGGGCTACAGGCTCCATGCAAGCCCAAAATCCATCTGGGCAGTCAAACCTTAAAGCTCTGAAATGATCGCCTTTGACTCCATTTCTCACATCCAGGTCACACGGATGCAAGTGGTAGGTTCCTATGGTCTTGGGCAGCTCCACTCTTGTGGCTTCACAGGGTACAGTCCCCCTCCTGGCTGCTTTTCATGGGCTGGTGTTGAGTGTCTGTGTCTTTTCCAGGTGCACAGTGCAAGTTGTCAATTAATCTACCATTCTGGGATCTGGAGAATGGTGGCCCTCTTCTCACAGCTCCATTAGACAGTGTCCCAGTGGGAACTGTGTGGCAGCTGCAACCCCACATTTCCCTTCCTCACTGCCCTAGCAGAGGTTCTCCATGAGGGCCCCTCCTCTGCAGCAAACTTCTGTCTGGACACCCAGGCATTTCCATACATCCTCTGAAATCTAAGCAGAGGTTCCCAAACCTCAGTTCTTGACTTCTGTGCACCTGTAGGCCCAACACCACATTTAAGCTGTCCATGCTTGGGGCTTGCACCCTCTTAAGCAATGACCTGAGCTCTATGTTGGCACCTTTTAGCCATAGCTGGGGTGCAGGCCACCAAGTCTTGAGACTTCACAAAGCAGTAAGGCCCTAGGCCTGGCCCACAAAACCATTTTACCCTCCTAGGCCTCCAGGCCTGTGATGAGAGGGGCTGCCATGAACACATCTGACATGCCCTGGAGATGTTTTCCCCATTGATTTGGTGATTAACATTTGGCTCCTTATTGCTTATGCAAATTTCTGCAGCCAGCTTGAATTCCCCCCACCAAAACTGGTTATTCTTTTCTATTGCATTGTCATGTTGCAAATTTTCTGAACTTTTATGCTCTGCTTCCCTTTTAAATATAAGTTTCAATTCCAAACCATCTCTTTATGAATACATAAAACTGAATGCTTTCAAGAGCACTCTAGTTACCTCTTGAGTGCTTTGCTGTTAGAAATTTCTTCCACCAGATACCCTAAATCATGTCTCTCAAGTTTAAAGTTCCACAGATCTCTAGGTTGGGGGCAAAATGCTGCCAGTCTCTTTGCTAAAACATAGCAAGAGTAACCTAGGCCTAGGAGGAAAAAATGGTTTCGTGGGTAGGGCCCAAGGCCTTGGTGCTTTGTGCAGTCTCAGGACATAGTGCCCTGTGTCCCAATTCCCAACAAGTTTCTCATCACCATCTGAGACCACCTCAGCCTGGACTTCATCGTCCACATCACTGTCAGTATTTTGGTCAAAGCAATTCAACAAGCCTCTAGGAAGTTCCAAACTTTCCTACATCTTCCTGTCTTCTTCTGAGCCCTCCAAACTGTTCCAACTTCTGCCCATTATCCAGTTCCAAAATAATTTCCACATTTTCAAGTATCTTTATAGCAGTGCTCCACTACCTCGGTACCAATTTACTGTATTAGTTCGTTTTCACACTGCTATGAAGAACTGCCCAAGACTGGGTAATTAATAAAGGAAAGAGGTTTAATTGACTCACAGTTCAGCATGGTTGGGGAGGCCTCAGGAAGCACACAATCATGGCAGAAGGCAAAGAGGAAGCAAGGCACCTTCTCCACAAGGTGGTAGGCAGGAGAAGTGCTAAGCGAAGGGGGGAAGAGCCCCTTATAAAACCATAGGATCTCATGAGAACTCACTCAATATTGTGAGAACAGCATGGGGGAAATGTCCCCAGTGATTCAATTACCTGCACCTGGTCTCTCCTTTGACATGTGGGGATTATGGAGATTTTGGGGTTTACAATTCAAGATGAGATTTGGGTGGAGACACAAAATCTAACCATATCACCTGATCATCCTGGATTATCCTGAGTGTGGATGGACAGATTCTGGTAGCTAAAGTTTGTAGTCACCTATCTCCGCAGCCAGGGGACACCCTGACACCCTGACACCCTGACAACAGAGCTGTTTTGTTTTCTTCAACAGCTCTTCTTTTTTTTTAGTCTTTAGTTATTAGGTGGCAACAGATTGAATAATGAGGTTATTTCTTTGATACTGCTCTCATAGTGCAAAATAAATCATTGTCAATTTAGCAAAGGTCCAGTTTTGATAAAGCATTTACCAGCAATCATGTATAAGAAATACATTTTGGCACCACATTGTGTTGTAACTGCCCTTCGGAGTGGTCTTGGAACAATTTCCTCACTTCTATTGGCTCTGTTACTTGTGATCAAAGCAGAAAGAGTCCAGATCCAAGGCAAGCTAGGCCCCAGGACTTGGGCAGTGGAGATCATCCAGCTCTAGTTGCTGCAGTAAGCAGGGCAGAGAAGCTAAGAGGTGCATGTAAACACAAAGAGGACAGGATAAGGAGGCTCCTGGGATGCCTGAGATGGTTTCTGAACCTGGGCATTAGGGGATGCCAGGCAGCATGTGGGGACTTAAAGTCAGATAGACTCTGTGTACTTTCTTTTTTGTTGTTATTTTTTGAGATGGAATTTCACTCTGTCACCCAGGCTGCCAGGCTGGAGTGCAGTGGCACGATCTCAGCTCACTGCAACCTCCGCCTCCTGGGCTCAAGTGATTCTCCTACGTCAGCTCCCCAGTAGCTGGGATTACAGGCACCCACCACCACACCTGGCTAATTTTTTGTATTTTTAGTAGAGACAGGGTTTCACCATGTTAGCCAGGCTGGTCTCGAACTCCTGACCTCAGGTGATCCACCCACCTCAGCCTCCCAAAGTGCTGGGATTACAGACATGAGCCACTGTGCCCAGCCTGACTCTGTGTACTTTCTAGAAGATCAGTCTATTCATAGAGAAACGGGGCCTCATTCACTCCTTAATTCATTCATCTAGTGACTGGACAAACATCAATCGAGTAGCCACTATAGGCTGAGCATCATGCTGTGTGCTAGGAAAATAGAGACAAACAAAATAGACACAATCTCTACCTCAATGGAGTTTTATGACCTTGTAGTAGGGACAGAAAATAAATAAGAAAAGATACAAATGTATAATTATGAATTAGGATAAGAGCTGCAAAGAGGTGGGGAAAACTTCTCTGAGGAGGTGAAGTTTAAGCTACGAGTTGAAGGGTAAGTGAGAGCCAGCCCTTTGAAGAGGGGTAGGAAGAACTGCCTAGGGAAAGGTATCAGCAAAAGACTGTGAGGTGGAAAGAGCTCAGAGGACTGCAGGAACTGGCAGAGCAAGGAGGAGAAGTAGAAGAGAAGAATGGAAAGGTCAGCAGGAGTCGAACCACTCAGTGACTTGTAGGCAAGTTAATACATCAGAATGCTGTTCCCAGAGTAGAGGGAAGCCCCAGAAGGCTTCCAAGCATAAGAAGGACATAATATAATCAATAGTCTTCAAAAGATCAGTCTAGATGCTGTATGGGACATAGATTGAGGGGCAAGAGTGGAAGTTGATTTTTTGCATGGGGGAAGGGACAGCCAAGACCAAGCAGAGTATTCAGTGTCAAAGTCAAATCAGTCAGAATTGAGAACAGAGTCCCTCCCTCTCCAAGAAGATGAGGTTGGGTGGTGGATGATAGGAAGGGAGATCAAGGCAGGCCCTCTTGACTCCATACCTTGACGCAAAGGCTCTGCCTGGAAACATACCTGGACATAAATGTAATGAGCCTGCCAGGGTATTCCTGCCCCTTCTGGAGCTGGAGGAGGTCTGAGGCTACAAGCCAGGCTTCTATCTGTGGCTGTGAGAAGTGAGGGCATCAGATAAGTGAGGTAAGGCTGGAGCTGAAAACACCAGCACATCAGATGGCCACATATTCACTTTCCCTTCCGTCTTTTTAAAACAATCTTCTCCCAATGCCCAGGGACATTGTGTTCTTCCTGACTGTGGACCAGCTGGGCTTCTGCTGTGTGTTCCTGATGCTTCTGGCAGATAACCTCAAACAAGTAGGGCAGAGAACTCAAGCAGAAATACAAGATGGCACGAGATAGCCCAGCTTGAGTTTTAAGCAGCTCCATCCAAATCAACCAGGTTTGTGAAAGCCTGTGAAATTCAGCCTTTGCTTAGGACACTCCAGGTCCTTCTCTCTGAGCAACGACAGATGAAACAGGATATTTTTTCAACTTGAAAATTGTCAATATCTCCTTATTGGACAAGATATATTCCAAATACCTTAATCTGGCTCACAAGACCCTAGGTGCTCTGGTCCCTACCTGCCCTCCAGCCTGATCTTTTACTTCTCTCTATATGCTTCAACACGTCTGGGCTATCTACCATTCTCAAATAGATTGTGCATTTTCCCAACACTGAGCCCTTATTTATGCTGTTTTTCCTATAGGTAACATGCTCCCTTCTTGTCTCTCATCTCCACGTATCCAAATCATACCCATCCTAAATGCTCACCTCCTCTGGGTATCGTTCCCTGAGTCACACAGCGGAATCACTACCTTATTTTTCTCTTCTTAATTTAATCCTACTGTTTAAATATATTTATAGTTTTCCTTGAATACAGTTATGTCTTCTTTATAGCTAGCCTGTGAGCTCATAGAGGGTAGACAAGTTGCTTTGGAGCTCTTATAACAAAGTAAGTACTTGGCAAGTATTTGTTATATGTGTATTTTGAGCAAATAGGTCTGTACATTCTAGTGCTTGAAGAATTTCAAGTGGTATAGCCACTTAAGGCAGGCCACAAAGCACTGTGTTCACTTAGATCTTATGTTTGTAAATATATTATGTTGGCATATGTATATATATACATATATATACGTGTATAAATAAATATAATATCTACTGCCAATATATAATATACCTTTCCGAAATGAATCTACAGGTGCATCTTTTATATTCATTTTAAACTCTTGTTTATTTTTTATGATGTCTCTTGAGTGATACAAAATCTTCATGGTTGGTTTCTTCCCCTCAGTACACAAAAGCAACACAGCTCTTTCTTAAACAAAAGGAAACAATAGCATGAGACTATAAAATATAAAAGGTCTCCATAAATTTCTCCTCCTGCAAAAACACACATTAAAAGTTATGTGACCATCAGTAAAATGAGGGAATAAAAAATAAAAAGGCGAAAGTTATGTGAATAGTTTTTCAGTTTTTTCATAAATATTCAAACATGCATATATAATAATTTTTCAGACTATGATATTGATATGCTATTTGTTTTTTTCCATGCTTAATATCATGGACTCACTATATATAATGTATTCACCAAGTCCTTAAGGACAGACATTTTGGTTATTTCCATTTTATTTTATGTTATTGATATCATAAACAATACAAAAAAACTCTGTAAAGAGTCTCCAAAGACAATTTTTCACTCTTTATATTTTATATTTGCTTCTTTATATTTTCACCATCATAAAACAAAATCCATATTTGGAAAAAAAAAAAAGATGCCTAGGTCATCTCTCTGTCCCTGTTCAGAATTTCACCACTCTCTTTCAATGAATGAATTAATTCATTGAACAAATACATATTGAATATCTATCCTTGAGCTGGCCACTGTGCTGGTAATACAGCCGTGAACAAATCAGATAAAGTTCCTGCCCTCAGACACTTACATTCTAGTGGGAAAGATAAACATTTAGCAATAATCATGCTAGTGTAAAATGACAAAGCATGATAAGCCCTATTGAGGCAATGGACTGGTGCTATAAGAGTAGGGGTCTGATGGAGTTTGGAGGGAACATTGACTCTGAAGGCTGAGCAGTCACTAAGAAGGGAATTTTGGGAGACAAGGTTTTTGGCAGTGAGAAAATCTCCAGATGCTGGTGCTTTTAAGGGCTGAAGATTGACAGGAATGGCTGGAGGACATAGGGATGGGAACAGGCAGGTCGCAGCTAAGGTTCACATCATCCTTTTTTATCCATAGGTGATCAAGACAACTGATGAGATCATAGCTGACTGCCAGGGCAGAGGCGTGGCGATTCCCACACCCACCGTGGATGTCACATCTACACAGTGTTCACATTTCCCTTGCTGGTGCTGCTGGTGTTCCTCCAGAGCCTCTGTGCGCTGCCTACTTTCTAGATGCTGAACAAAGTCTTCACGCTGGGAAGCCTCGTCCTCATCCTCCAGCATCTCCTCCAGGTAGATTCCCCACCCCATGCAGTCACCTTGAGAAGGGTGTGCGTGTGTATGTGTGTGTATGTAGAACAAAGCCTGGAAACACATCCTCCAGATTGTCAATGATTTCCTCTAGAGAGGGAAAGTTCAGGTTGTTGTATATTTTCCTATATGTGTCTCTATTGTTTGACATATATATGGAATTATCACACAGAAAATTTCTGCATAATGCCCAAACTCCGGGGAATGAATATATCTCTCTCATTATAATTTTTCCCCATGTTTATATAGGAAATATTTACATTTCTGTCCCCAAATGCAATATAACATATTTAACAAAACAACCCATGGGAAATATCTTGAGACATTCCTTACATTGTCTTACCTTACAGATTTAGTTAAATGTTAGGACCCACACAGACAGTTTGGAAAGAGAACAAGCATCCACAAAGAGGATGTGGAGGATGTTTGCAGACAAAAGCAATTTCTTGTGACAACCATATTCATTTGTGTTTAGTATCAAGTTTTAAGCATTCATAGACTAACGTCATAGTTTGTTGCTTACATACAGGCATTTTACTTGTTTTAGTTACGTCTTAAGAAATGGTTGAGTATTTGGGGTGGATGTTCATGTCACAATTTCTCCTATTTAAAATAGTAGGAACTTGGTTGTCAGTGATTTGCCCAGATCATCAGATTTTTAGAGCATATTAATGCTATGAAGGAGGTTTGGTTTGGTTTGGTTTGGTTTCAACAAGCAGGTATTTTCTTATCCGTGGGAAAAACTGTACTAAGGACCCTTGTTCAACTCAAGTTGAAGTAACTGGGGGAAAAAGAGACTATTAGAAAGATTCTGGGAGGTGTCAAGGAACAGTCAAGCCCTAAAAGGATCCTGAGGCAGTCAGTCTTTGCAGGTCACACCAACTCAGGGGTGGACCCCCATTAGGGCTCCCGAAGCCTTTGCTCAGTTTGGCTCTGTGTATTGGCTTTATACCTCTCTCTTAATGTGAGCTGGCTCTGTCCACAGCTTCTGAGTTTTACATTTTACAATTTAGCCACCAGAAGGAGACTAATCTGATGTTCTCTCAGGTCTCAAAATTTCAGGAAAGGAATTCATTGGTTCAGCTCAGGTCAGGTGCCACCCCTGGATCAATCTCCTATAGTTGGGGGCAACACCAATAGAAACTATACCTGATACAGAAGGAGTTCAGGTCACTTAAGGCATGTGGGTGATGGTTGCTGAGCAGATCATCCCGTAGGTATCCATGACAAAGCCTTGAAGAAATAAGATAAATCGGGAGTAAATATTTCTCCTTCTGCTTTGCTCATTTATGAGGCAGAAATCTTCCTCCTGACACCCACCATGGATGAGAATCAACGGATAGGTTTGAAATGTGAATATGAGTCCTAGCTTTGCTGCTTATAAGCTCTGTGACCCTGGATAAGTCACACTTTTAAAATAAGGCTAGTAACTTCTCTCTTGATAGGCTGTTTTGGTGTAAAACTACAAGTGAGAACACAGTAGTTCTTAGAGTCAGCAGAATGGGTACAAGTATAGACTTTAGACCAGTGGTTCTTAATTGGAAATGACTTTGCTCTCCAGTGGACATTTGGCAATTGCTGGAGATATTTTTCGTTGTCACACAGCGGATAGAAGCAAGAGATGCTGTAAAATAGCCTGCAATGCACAGGACAGTCCCTCCCAACCAAGAATTATCTGGCCCTGAATGTCAAGAGTGCTGAGGTTGAGAAACTCTTGATACAGTTGCATCTCATGCAAACAATAGCATGAGACTATAAAATATAAAAGGTCTCCATAAATTTCTCCTCCTGCAAAAACACACATTAAAAGTTATGTGACCATCAGTAAAATGAGGGAATAAAAAATAAAAGGCGAAAGTTATGTGAATAGTTTTTCAGTTTTTTTCATAAATATTCAAACATGCATATATAATAATTTTTCAGACTATGATATTGATATGCTATTTGCTTTTTTCCATGCTTAATGATATATCATGGACTCGCCATATATAATTTATTCACCAAGTCCTTAAGGACAGACATTTTGGTTATTTCCATTTTATTTTATGTTATTGATATCATAAACAATACAAAAAACTCTGTAAAGAGTCTCCAAAGATAATTTTTCTCTCTTTATATTTTATATTTGTTTGTTTATATTTTCACCATCATAAAACAAAATCCATATTTGGAAAAAAAAAAGATGCCTAGGTCATCTCTCTGTCCCTGTTCAGAATTTCACCACTCTCTTTCAATGAATGAATGAATTCATTGAACAAATACATATTGAATATCCTTGAGCTGGCCACTGTGCTGGTAATACAGCCGTGAACAAATCAGATAAAGTTCCTGCCCTCAGACAGGAGCCTGGTAACTCTGGAGCCAAGTTACCAGAATTCTGATTACAGCTCCACCATTTCAAACTTTGGCAAGTTATCTCTGTGCCTCAATTTTCCCAAGTGGAAAAGGAGACAATGCTAATACCTATCTCCGAAACCTATTGTTAAAATCAAATGGATTTATTCATGTAAAGGGCTTAGGATTCTGCCTGGTATATAGTGAGTGCTCCCTAAACAAATGCAAGTTGTTATTTCCCCAAAACCTGGATGAGCATCAGAATCACCTTGAGATTTTGCTTAATAACAGATTCCCAGGCTCTGCTTTGGTTGTCTTGGATCTGAATCTGTGGAATTCAGAACCCAGGAAACTTCCTGTAGAAATACATTTCCCCAGCTGATTTGGATGATCAGCCAAGTACAGAGATGCTGTGAATCCCTGCTTTGCAGAGTGTGGCCTTTGGACCAGCGCAATTGAACTACTCAAAGTCTGATGTGCACACAAATTTCCTGGGGGCCTTATTACAATGCAGATTCTGAGTCAGGAGGTCCAGGGTGGGGCCTGAGATTCTGCATTCCTGACAAGCCTCTAGGTAATGCTGATGCTGCTGGTTCATAGCCCACATTTTGAGTCAAAAGCTCCAAAGCACTTTGTACATGTATGTTGTGGTTTCCATGCCCTCAATCATGTGAGGAGACCAAAACGCCTGTTGAACACTTGGTTATCAGTGTTTTGGAGATCAAGAAATGAGATCAAATAGTTGCCACTGTTTCTTCTTTTTGATAGTCAAAAGCAATGTAAGTAAAAGGAGGCTTGATGCAAACTCCTCAGATAGTCTTTGCCTCCTGAGGGCCCTCCTGCCTGAGCAACAATGAAAATCTATCCCCCCCACCCCAACCAGATGCAGTGGTTCATGAATGCCTGTAATCCTAGCACTTGGGAGGCTGAGGCTGGTGGATCATTTGAGCCCAGGAGTTCAAGACCAGAGTGGAAAACGTGGCAAAACCCTGTCTCTACCAAAACACAAAAAATTGTCTAGGCGTAGTGGCATGCACCTGTAGTCCCAGCTACTTCAGAGGCTGAGGTGGGAGGATCACCCTGAGCCTGGGAGGTTGACACTGCAATGAGCCATGATCACACCACTGCACTCCAGCCTGAGCAACACAGTGAGACATTGTCTCAAAGAAAAAAAAAAAAAGAGGAAAGAAAAGAAAAGAAAAAAAAAATCACCCTCACCACGTTTCACTCCAGGAAGTCATTCACTTACTACTCCCCTGGTTGGAAAAGTTTCTAACTGTTCTCAGAAAAAACAAACAAACAAACAAATCCTTCCTGGAAACCAGTTGCTATAAATATCCTGGAGGTCATCCTGTTTGCAAGTGGATTTTTATTGGTGTTTATTTTCATGGCTGATATCTCTTTAAAAGCATTGTTCTCCAGCTGTCAGTCCTCGTCAGACTCCAGAATTCTGCATTCTTATAGAAGCAGAGATAGGGCTGGATTTACAAGTCATTTAATTCAGTGGTTTTTCAAGGTGCATTTCCATGCTTCTGGTGGTGTATGTAATAAATTTGGGGAGGGGACATACAATGTTTGTTTTCTTAATTACGTATTTGTAGTATGTATGTATATTCTCTTCTATTAATGGAAATGAGAGAATTGCATCATAATGCTTCTTTGTAAAATTAATCTTATGTTAAAACACTGACTTGGCCAGGCACGGTGGTTCACGCCTGTAATCCCAGCACTTTAGGAGGCCGAGGCGGGCAGATCACAAGGTCAGGAGTTCAAGACCAGCCTGGCTAATATGGTGAAACCCTGTCACTATTAAAAATACAAAAATTAGCCAGGCGTGGTGGTGTGTGCCTGTAGTCCCAGCTACTTGGGAGGCTGAGGCAGGAGAATCACTTGAACCCGGGAGGCAGAAGTTGCAGTGAGTCAAGATCGCACCACTGCACTCCAGCCTGGGTGACAGAGTGAGACTCCGTCTCAAAAAACAACAACAGCAGCAAACAAAAACAAAAAAAACACTGACTTGATGAGAAAAATACAATAAATGACTCAAGATATGCTGTTTTAGTTCAACTTTCTTACTTTATGGAAGGAGAACCTAAAGCTAGAGTGACCGTGAGCCTCGATTTCCTTATCCTTAAAATGAAGATAATAATCCCTGCTTTGTAGGGTTGTGGCGAGAAGTAAACAGCGCATTTAAAGCACTAGCACAGTGCCTGGCCTATCACAAGAACCTACAAAATGTTCACTGCTTATATTATCTTATTAGAGGAGGAACTTTATTATGATAATCACTGTTAGCCTTCCTGGGCTTCAGGTTCCCAGGTGTAAAATGAAGCATCAGACCAGAGGATTTCTAAGGACCTTCCTTCTCCTTTCCTAAGCATCTCTGGTCATCCAGCATTCTCATTCTCTCATTGACCCCAAAAATTGGCTCCAGAGAATGGCAGAGGGCAGAAGGCCAACTTCCATCCCCAGACCCAACACCCCACTGTATTATATACACGGAGAAACTGAGGTTTAAATGCTTGTGTGGCCCTAATGAGAGGTGAAGCCGGCTGGGCTTCTGGGTCGGGTGGGGACTTGGAGAACTTTTCTGTCTAGCTAAAAGATTGTAAATGTACCAATCAGCGCTCTGTGTCTAGCTAAAGGTTTGTAAGCACACCAATCAGCACTCTGTAAATATGCACCAATCAGTGCTCTGTGTCTAGCTAATCAGGTGGGGACTTGGAGAACTTTTCTGTCTAGCTAAAGGATTGTAAATGTACCAATCAGTGCTCTGTGTCTAGCTAAAGGTTTGTAAACGCACCAATCAGCACTCTGTAAAAACGCACCAATCAGCGCTCTGTGTTTAGCTAAAGGTTTGTAAACGCACCAATCAGCACTCTGTAAAAATGGACCAATCAGCAGGACGTGGGTAGGGCCAAATAAGGGAATAAAAGCTGGCCACTAGAGCCAGCAGCAGCAACCCATTCGGGTCCCCTTCCAAGCTGTGGAAGCTTTGTTCTTTTGCTCTTCACAATAAATCTTGCTGCTGCTCACTCTTTGGGGCCATACTACCTGTATGAGCTGTAACATTCGCTGCAAAGGTCTGCAGCTTCACTCCTGAAGTCAGCAAGACCATGAACCCACTGGGAGGAACAAACAACTCTGGACGCGCCACCTTTAAGAGCTGTAACACTCACTGCAAAGGTCTGCAGCTTCACTCCTGAAGTCAGCAAGACCACGAACCCACCAGAAGGAAGAAACTCCGGACACATCTGAACATCTGAAGGAACAAACTCCGGACACACCATCTTTAAGAACTGTAACACTCACCGCGAGGGCCCGTGGCTTCATTCTTGAAGTCAGCAAGACCAAGAACCCACCAGAAGGAACCAATTCCGGACACACTAGAACTGAGCCTCTCTCACTCTCAATTCCCCTCTGAGCCTGAGGGTTTCCTGCTGCTGCTGTCTTCTTAAAGAAACAAAGTCCACCCACCAAAGGATGAAGGTCAGCAGAAAGTTCAGCCCATGTGGAGCTCTGCTAGCTAGCTGTTTCACTTTTTGCTTTATTTCCACTGGGTTTTCTCAAGTCCAGTTTTAAGGTAGCCATTACCATTTTTCCTGTGTTTCTCTTTCAAGAAATCCCAGACGCCAGCAGTCTGCCCCTAGTGGCAAACTGGAAGACCTAGTCCCTGTTCTTTGGGACAACTGTCTTTGCCTTTGAAGGTACTGAAGTGGTAAGGTTTGAGATAGAATGAGTGCCCCCATCCCCTATGCAGAGTGAAGAAGGTGCATGGGGTAGATAAAGAGCACTGGCTCTGGAGCCTGACAGGCGTGAATTTGAATACTGTTTTTTTTCATCCTTTCAAGCTATTGGATCTTGGACAGCTGTTTTAAAATCTCTCTGAATCCACAGACATACTTCGAAGCCTGCTCTGACTCTGCCAAGCTCAGAGGACCTGCAGGTTTCTAGGGATCTGCAGGTTTCCTGGTGACCTAACCTTCAGCTCAAGCCACCCCAAGAGAGGAAGCTGTGCAAACTGCCAGGGCCCTTCCTGGGGCTAAGGAAATGCATGTGCAGCACCAGTGATTGGAGGGGGCACTCCTAATGCCCAGGAAGAGACTTGTTGAAGGGGTCATCTTTTACCCTCTCATCCCCCGCTTTCCTAAAGTGTTGCTGCAAAGGCACTGAAACACAAAAGAGGCATGCAGTTGAGTAACAGCCTATCTGTAAGCCCTCACTCTTAAGCACTATCTACTGGGTTGCAGCCTGAATTGTACTACCAAAGATAAATTTCTTCACCAAGCAACATCTGTAAAACCCAATGTAGGTAAATAACCAAAACTAAGGAAGCCAAACAGAGTCTTGGCCCTCTAAAAGCACCCAGAAATGAAGCCAATCAACTATACACAATGTATACTACAGTCAAACCCCCAAAAGTAAAAAAGAACACAGAAACAAAAAGCCCCATCCAAATAACAGCAAATTCAAAAAGATAAAGAAACACCAGCCCCCTAAGATGAGAAGGAATCAGCATGAGAAAAGCCAGAGCATTTTCTTATCTCTAAAGGTTTTCTTATCTCTAAAGGTTCACACTAGCTCCCCAGCAAAGGATCCTAACTAGATTAAAATGTCTGAGATGACGGATATAGAACGGCAAGAAAGCTGAATGAGATTCAAGAGGTGTTGGGTGCAGTGGCTCATACCTGTAATCCCAGAACTTTGGGAGGCCAAGGCAGGCAGATTGTTCAGCCCAGGAGGTTGAGGCTACAGTGAGCCATGATCTCGCCATTGTATTCCAGCCTGGGTGACAGAGCAACACCCTATCTCAAAAAAAAAAAAAAAAAAAAAAAAGAGAAAGAGAGGGAGAGACTTAAGAGAAAGTAGCAACTCAACCCAAGGAAGTCAGTAAAGCAATTCAAGAGTTGAAAGACAACATAGCCATTTTAAGAAGGAACTAAATTATTCTGGAATTGAAAATTTTACTACAGGAATTTCAAAATACAGTTGGAAGCCTTAATAACAAACTAGACCAAGCTGAAAGAATAATTTCAGAGCTTAAAGACCAGTCTTTCAAATCAACTCAGTCCCACAAAAATAAAAGAATTTAAAAACTGAACAAAGCCTTTGGGAAATATGGGCTTATGTAAAGAGACCAAACCTACAACTCGGCATTCTTGAGAGAGAAGTAGAGAGAGTATGCAACTTGGAAAACATATTTGAGGACATAGTCAATGAAAATTTCCTCAATCTCACTAGAGAAGTCTATGTGCAAATGCAAGAAATTCAGAGAACCCCTGCAAGATACTATACAAGACACACAGTCATCAGACTTTCAAGGTCAATGAGAAAGAAAAAATCTTAAAGGCAGCTAGAGAAGAATCAGATCACTTACAAAGGGGAAACCCCATTAGGTTAAACAGTAGTCTTCTCAGCAGAAACCTTACAAGCCAGAAGTAATTAGGGGCCTATTTTCAGCATTTTTAAAGAAATTCCAACCAAGAATTTCATATTCCACCAAACTAAGTTTCATAAGCAAAGGAGAAAGAAAATATTTTCTAGAAAAGCAAGCACTAAGGGAATTTGTTACCACTAGAGCAGCCTCAAAAGAAATCTTTAAGGGAGTTCTAAACATGGAAATGAGAGAATGATACTAGCTACCACAAAAACACACTTAACTACATCGCCCACAGACCCTATAAAGCAACTACCCAATCAAGGCTACAAAGTAACCAGCTCACATCATGACAGGATCAAAATCTCACCTATCAATATTAACCTTGAATGTGAATGGTCTAAACACCTCATTTAAAAGGCACAAAGTGGGAAGTTGGATTAAAAATTAAGACTTAAACATCTACTGTTTTCAAGAGACCCATTTCACATGTAAGGACACCCATAGGCTCAAAGTAAAGAGATGGAGAAAGGTCTATCACACAAACAGAAAACATAAAAGAGCAAGGATCACTGTTCTAATATCAGATAAAACAGACTTAAAACCAACAGCAGTAAAAAAAGGGCAAAGAAGAGAATTACATAATGATAAAGAGTTCAATTCAAAAAGAAGACTTACTATCCTAAATACATTCACACCCAATATTGGAGCACCTGGATTCATATAACAAGTACTTCCAGACCTATGAAAACACTTAGCCACACAGTAATAGTGGGAGTCTTTAATACCCCACTCACAGTGTAAGACAGATCATCAAAGGAGAAGACTAACAAATTCTGGACTTAAATTTGACCCCTGACCAATTGGACCTTATAGACATCTACAGAATAATCCACCAAACAACCACAGAATATACAGTCTTCTCATCTGCACATGGCACATACTCTGAGATCAACCACATGCTTGACCATAAAGCAAGTCTCAATACACTTTAAAAGACAGAAATTATACCAAGCATACTCTTGGGCCACAGTGGAATAAAAATAGAAATCAATACCAAGAAGATATCTCAAAATCACACAATTCCATGGAAACTAAGCAACTTGCTCCTAAATGACTTTTGGGTAATGTATTAGCCCATTCTTGCATTGCTATAAAGAAATATCTAAGACTGGGTAATTTTTAAGAAGAAAGGTTTTATTGGCTTATGGTTCTGCAGGCTGTACATTGCTTCTGGGGAGGCCTCAGGGAACTTTTACTCATGGCAGAAGACAAAGCTGGAGCAGGCAGGTCACACGGAAAGAGCACAAGCTTGGTGCTGGGAGCAGGGGGAGGTGCCACACGCTTTTAAATGACAAGATCTTGTGAGAACTAACTCATTATTGCAAGAATAGTAGTACCAAGGGGATGGTACTAAACCATTCATGAGAAATTCACTCTCATGATTTAATCACCCCCACCAGGCCCCACATTCAACACTGGGGGGATGACAATTGAACATGAGATTTAAGTGGGGACACAAATCCAAACCATATCAGGTAAACAACAAAATTAAAGCAGAAATCAAAAGATTCTTTGAAATAGATGAAAACAGTGACACAACATAGCAACATCTCTGGGGTGCAGCAAAAGCAGTGTTGAGAGGAAAGTTTTTAGCACTAAATGCCTACACCAAGAAGCTAGAAAGATCTCAAATTAACGCTCTAACATTGCACCTAGAGGAACTAGAGAAACAGAAACAAACTAACCCCAAAGCTAGCAGAAGAAAAGAAATAACTAAAATCAGAGCGGAACTAAATGATATTGAGACCGCAAAAATCCATACAAAGGATCAATGAAGCCAAAAGTTGATTTTTTGAAAGGATAAACAAGACTGACAGACCACTAGCAAGATTAATAATGAAAAAGAGAGAAGACCCAAATAAGCACAATCAGAAATAATAAAGGTGAAATTACAACCAATCCCACAGAAATACATATGATCCTCAGAGATTATTATGAACACCTCTAAATACACAAACTAGAAAATCTAGAGGAAACTGATAAATTCCTAGAAACAAAACACCATCCAAGATTTATTCAGAAGGAAATCAAGACTCTGAACAGACCAATAATGAGCTTCAAAATTGAATCAGCATTTAGAAAAACCTACCAACCAATGAAATGGTTGGTTTTATTTGACCCTAGACCAGATGGATTTACAGCCAAATTCTATTAGATGTACAAAGAATAGCTGGTACCAATCCTACTGAAACTATTCCAAAAAATTGATGAGAGACTCCTCCCTAACTCATTCTATATAGTCAGTATCATACTGATACCAAAACCTGGCAAAGACACAATGAAAAAAGAAAATTACAGGCCAATATCCCTAATGAACATTGACACAAAAATCCTCAACAAAATACTAGCAAATCAAATACAGCACACATCAAAGATTAATTCACCAGGATCAACTAGACTTTATTCCTGGGATGCAAGGTTGGTTCAGCACACACCAACCAATAAATGTTACTCACCAAATAAATAGAATAGAATTAAACATAAAAAACATATGATCATCTCGATTGATGCAGAAAAAGCTTTTGATAAAATCCAACATTGTTTCATAATTTAAAACCTTCAATAAACTAGGCATCGGAGGAATATGTCTCAAAATAATAAAGCCATCTATGATAAACCCACAGCCAACATCATCCTGAATGGGCAAAAGCCGAAAGCATTCTCCTTAAGAACTGGAACAAGACTAGTATGGCCATTCTCACCACTCCTATTTAACATAGTATTGAAGTCCTAGCCAGAGCAATCAGACAAGAGAAAGAAATAAAAGGCATCCAAATAGGAAAATAAGTCAAATTATCTCTCTTTGCCAACTATATGATTCTACACATAGAAAACCCTAAAGACTGCCAAAAGGCTCTTAGAAGATTTTAAAATACAAAATCAATGTACAAAAATCAGTTGCATTTCTATACATTGATAATGTTTAAGCTGACAGCCAAATCAAGAACACAATTCCATTTACAATAGCCACAAAAAGAATAAAATACCTAGGAATAGATCTAACTAAGGAGGTGAATGGTTTCTACAAGGAGAACTACAAAACTGCTGAAAGAAATCATAAATGACACAAACAAATGGAAAAACATTCTATGCTCACAGATTTAAAGAGTCAAGATGACCATACTGCCAAAAGCAATATACAGATTCAATGCTATTCCCATAAACTACAAATTTTATTTTTCACAGAATTAGATAAAACTATTCTGAAATTCATCTGGAACCAAAAAAGAGCCCAAGTAGCCAAAGCAATCCTGAGCAAAAAGAAAAAAGGTGGAGGTATCACATTACCTGACTTCAAACTACACTACAAGGTTACAGTAACAAAAACAGCATGGTATTGGTACAAAAACAGACTCATAGACCCATGGAACAGAACAGAGAACACAGAAATAAAGCCACACACCTACAACCAACGGATCTTTGACAAAGTTGACAAAATTAAGGAATGGGCAAAGGACTCCCTATTCAATAAATAAGAGGTGCTGGGATAACTGGCTAGAACATATGCAGAAGAATAAAACTGGACTCCATACCTATCACTATATACAAAAATTAACTCCAGATGGATTAAAGCTTTAAATGTAGGACCTGAAACTATAAAAATCATAGAAGAAAACCTAGGAAATACCATTCTAGGCATTGGCCTTGACAAAGAATTTATGACTAAGCCCTCAAAAGCAATTACAACAAAAACAAAAATTGACAAGTGAGACCTAATTAAAGAGCTTCTGCACAGCAAAATTAACTATCAACAGGATAAACAAACAACCTACAGAATGGGAGAAAATATTCACAAACGATGCATCCAACAAAGATCTAATATCCAGAATGTATAAGGAACTTGAATAATTCAACAAGCAAAAGAACTAAATAACCCCATTAAAAAGTAGGCAAAAGACATGAACAGACACTTCTCAAAAGAAGACATACAAGTGGCCACCAAACATGAAAAAATGCTCAACATCACTAATCAGAGAAATGCGAATCAAAACCACAAAGAGCTACCATCTCACACCAGTCAGAACGGCTATTATAAAAAAGTAAAAAAACAAAACAAAACAAAACAAAAAACGGGTATTGGCAAGGCTGTGGAGAAAAGGGGATACTTATACACTGTTGGTGGAAATGTAAATTAGTTCAGTCACTGTGGAAAGCAGTTTGTAAATTTCTCAAAAAAATAAAAATAGAACTACCATTCGAGTCAGCAATCCCACTACTGGGTATATACCAGAGGAAAATAAATCATTCTACCAAAAAGACACATGCATGCATATGTTCAACACAGCACTGTTCACAATAGCAAAGACATGAAATCAACCTAGATGTCCATCAGTTGTGAATTGGATTTTAAAAAAGTGGTACATATACCACATGGAATACTATGCGGCCATAAAAAGAATGAAATCATATTCTTTGCAGCAACATGGATGCAGCTGGAGGCTATTATCCTCAGCAAATTAACTCAAAAACTGAAAACCAAATACCACATATTCTCACTGATAAGTGGGAGCTAAACATTGGGTACTCATGGACATAAAGATGGGAACAGTAGACACTGGGAACTACTAGACGGGGGAGGAAGGGGAGCAAGGGTTGAAAAACCACCCATTGGGTACTAAGATCGTTACCTGGGTTATGGGATCGTTCATACCCTAAACCTCAGCCTCATAATAATATACCCATGTAACAAACCTGCACATGTACCCCCTAAATTTAAAAGTTGGAAATTAAATAAATAAATAAAAACCTCTTTGAGACTCACTCTCATCTGTAAAATGGGGATTATAATACCTACGAAGCATGGATGTTGTAACAACTCAAAGAAACAAGGAAGGCAAAATGATTAGCACATTGCCAGGCACAAAGTAAACAATGATTATTATTATTTTGCTTCATGATCCCTTACTATGTGTATGCAGAATATGCTAATGTGCTAGAGAAAATATCTGATAGAAAGCTGTGGAATGTTGGGCAAATCTTCTCTTTTCAGTGGGTCTCATTTTATTCATCTGTAAAATGAGAGAACTGAAAATCTCTGTATGACAATCCCTGCCAACAAGTCACCCTATTTACACACTATGATGTTCATATTTAAAATTACTATTTAATTGGGTATGGCCTCATCAGCATATTTGGGAGCTACAGCTATTTTAATCCAGCATGAGAAAAATTACTAAAAGTCAGCACTAAAAGGAGTTTAGCAGTGGTTTTCAAATATTTCTTATCCTCTGAACCTTTCGAATTAAATCACAAAAAGAACAAAGTATTTAAAATAAATCAGGGTTATTCTTACATAGCTCAGAAAAAATACACACATCCCTCAAACATATATGTATGGGGATATAAATATATATGTACATTACGGTGGCTCACGCCTATAATCCCAGCACTTTGAGAGGCCGAGGTGGGCAGATCACCTGAGGTCAGGAATTCGAGACCAGCCTGGACAACGTGGTGAAACCCTGTCTCTACTAAAAATACAAAAATTCGCCAGGTGTGGTGGTACACATCTGTAATCCCATCTACTTAGTAGGCTGAGGCAAGAGAATCGCTTGAACCTGGGAGATGGAGGTTGCAGTGAGCCGAAATCGCACCACTGCACTTCAGCTTGGGTGATAGAGTAAGACTCTGTCTCAAAAAAAAAAAAAAAAAAAATATATATATATATATATATTTACACACACACTCATATATATATACACACATTAAAATACACACATGCAGAGCGAGAAGGAGAATATAATAAAGCAAATGTGCTAATCTTTGGGGAACTGGCAAAAAGCATATGGAAATTCTTCGTACTATTCTTCCAACATTTCTGTAAGTCTGAAATATTTCAAAATAAAGTGATCATAATTTTATCCTCAATTTGAAGTGGTGCCCACACCCATGCACAGATAATGAAGCCAAGGGCTAAAAGTGACATGATTGTCCAAGAGCATGTGTTAAATTCCAAAGCCAGGGCTTGCACCTGCACCCACCAGCTCCCAGACCAATTCATTTCCCACTCAAATTCTTCCCCTGTTGCTCTTTTTAAACAGTTTTCCTTTTAGTTCTCTTTTAACAAGACTGAATTATTGGGAGCTGATGCTCCCACATTACCACACTGGAACACAGAATCACAGATCATGAACAGCTGGGGCTGGAATAAAGGATGAGCAATTGGAGCTTTTTCTAGACAACCATCTCAAACCACAAATAAGGAAACAGGTTTCTTCAGTTCTGGTTCCAGTACAGTATCTACTCCTTTTCCATCCTTTGTTCAGGAGCTGCTATATATTCTGATACATATGATACTTTCTTTTTAACACCCCAAGCAAAAGGAATCCAAAATTATATTTCAGCCCGCACACCTGCATTACTGCGGGTCACCTTACACCCGAAATTGGGATGGTGCTCTTCCTGGTGGACTGAGCGTAGAAACAGAACTCCTGCAAAGACACCAGCTTGTACATTCTAATTGCCATTTTCCATAACAAAAATTATAATAATGATGATAGTCCTTACCCATGGGACGCAAAGCTACTCGGAGGCAGAGGTAGAGGGTGATTCCTGTTAACTCAAGGGGCAATGGTTGCTGCGTCAGTTAATCCAACGACTGTCCATGTATAATTTTTTCTTTTGAGACAGGTCTCACTCTGTCACCCAGGCTGAAGTGCAGTGGTGCGACTTTGGCTTACTATAGCCTCAACCTCCTGGGCTCAAGCGATCCTCCCACCTCAGCCTCCTGAGTAGCTGGGACTACAGGCACATGCCACCATGCTTGGCTAATTCTTATAATATTTTGTAGGGATGGGGTTTCACTACATTGCCCAGGCTGTTCTCAAACTCCTGGACTCAAGCGATCCTCCCACCTTGGCCTCCCAAAGCACTGAGATTATAGACATGAACCACTGTGCCCGGCCACATGTAATAATTTTAGTTAAATCTGGAGGCCACAGATAATTTGACTTTTTTTTTTTTTTTTTTTTTTTTGAGTTGGAGTTTTGCTCTTGTTGCCCAGGCTGGAGTGGGATGGCGTGATCTCAGCTCACTGCAACTTCTGCCTCCCGGATTCAAGCGATTCTCCCGCCTCAGCCTCCCCAGTAGCTGGGACTACAGGCATGCACCACCATGGTTGGCTAATTTTGTATTTTTAGTAGAGACGGGGTTTCACCATGTTGGCCCTGGTTTTGAACACCCACCTTGGCCTCCCAAAGTGCTGGGATTACAGGCATGAGCCACTGCGCCCTACCCACTTGACATTCTTACCACTTCTCAGTAAGTCAGGCAAGATGTGGGAATATTTGAGAAGGGTGGTGAGTGGAATATCACTATAGAGTGGCTAGCAGCTTCTTCTGCCTTTTGCTCACCTTCTTGACTTTCCAAAAGCACTCACGTTCTCAGGCACATAAACCCTTTTTGTTCCGCTCCCCGCTTTGTGCTCTTATGTTAACATCCTCACTGGGAATGGGCTCCATGTGTATGCATGGGGTGAATACAACAGAGAGTGTCTGGACCTTAAAGGCAGAGGTGGGAAGTTTTAAGTGTGAGCTTCAGCTGAGAGCTGTCTACATGGAGCCAGGAGCTGGTATAACGATCATGTGCAGTATCGGGAATGAAAGTGCTTTATAAACTCCACAAACGAGATTGGGTGGTAATTGCTATTAATTTTACCAGGCCTACAGAGAAGTCCATGTGGACTGATGCTGCTCTGTCCAGAGTGCTTATGGCACACAATTCACATCACTAACAGTGATGGTGGGTCACAGAGAACTCAGATGAAAGGAGAGGTGGCCTAGCTGAGCCCTTACAGAATACTTAAGAGTGTGACTTCTGAAGTCAGTGGGAGTTGGGTCCAAGTTCATGTTCCTCACTTGCTAGCTTCAAGAACTTGGGAATATTGCTTAACCTATCAAAGGCTCAGCTTCCTTACCTGTAAAATGGGATAACAGTGCCTGTTTCCTAGGGTTGTAGTCAAACAATATAAATCCAAGTGCAGACCTTAGCACAGTGCTTGTCACATAGAAGAGACTCACTAAGTTATTATCTTCCCCTTGGAAATGCAATCCCATTCATGTTTATCCCATTCATATTTAATCCCATTCATATTTAATCCCATTCATATTTAAAGAAAATTTTTATTTTCTTTAAATAAAAAATCTAAAACAACATACTTCTTTTTTCTTGTGTGTGACCCCTAATTAATATTTGGCTACTGTAAGTCAATGGCCCTAAAGAACAGAAATCTACATTCTTGATCTAATTTATAAAGAATAAAGACTTAGAAAAATATAATGGGGTAACTTGGATTTCGCTTTCTGAGTAGTTTATACCCATCATTAATAATAATAAGAGAAGGCCGGGCATGGTGGCTCATGCCTGTAATCCCAGCACTTTGGCAGGCCGAGACGGGTGGATCACAAGGTCAGGAGTTCGAGACCAGCCTGGCCAATATGGTGAAACCCCATCTCTACTAAATTAGTCGGGCATGGTGGTGCACACATGCAGTCCCAGCTACTTGGGAGGTTGAGGCAGAAGAAATGCTTGAACCCGGGAGGTGGAGGTTGCTGTGAGCCAAGATTGTGCCAAAATATATATATATGTATGATAATAATAATAATAGTAAGAAGAAGAAGGAGGAAGAATAAGTCCAGGTACAGTGGCTCACGCCTGTAATCCCAGCACTTTGGGAGGCCACGGTGAGCAGGTCCCTTGAGGTCAGGAGTACGAGACCAGCCTGGGCAACATGGTGAGATCCCATCTCTAGTAAAAATACAAAAATTAACCAGCCATGTTGGTGCACACCTGTAATCCCAGCTACTAAGAAGGCTGAGGCATGAGAATTGCTTGAACTCGGGAGGTGGAGGTTGCAGTGAGCCCAGATTGTGCCACTGCACTCCAGTTTGAGTGACAGAGCAAGACTCTGTCTCAAAAATAATAATAATAATAAATAAGAAAGAATAACAGTAAGTATTCACTGAGTGTTTCCTATGTCATAATTGGTTTCCAAGCATGACCTCATCCTTATCACAGCCCATCTACCATTATGTCTTGAAGACAGAGTACCAGGTACAAGGAATCCTGACATGATTTGGCCACAATCCCTAGCTTCATGGAAACACTGATGCACACACACCAACTCACATTCCATGTGAGAGTCTCTGTGACATGGATGAGGACTGGTGTTATAGAAACTCAAAAGGGGAGGTGGCTCCAAGATGGCTGAATAGCAACAGCTCCAGTCTACAGCTCCCAGCATGAGTGACGCAGAAGACAGGTTATTTCTGCATTTCCAACTGAGGTACCAGGTTCATCTCACTGGGGCTTGTCAGACAGTAGGTGCAGGACAGTGGCTGCAGCCCACTGAGCATAAGCCAAAGCAGGGTGAGGCATCACCTCACCCGGGAAGCGCAAGGGGTCAGGGAATTCCCTTTCCTAGCCAAGGGAAGCTGTGACAGACGGCACCTGGAAAATTGGGTCACTCCCACCCTAATACTGCACTTTTCCAATGGTCTTAGCAAACAGCATACCAGGAGATTATATCCGGCGCCTGGCTCAGAGGGTCCCACGCCCACAGAGCCTCACTCATTGCTAGCACAGCAGTCTGAGATCGAAGTGCAAGGTGGCAGTGAGGCTGTGGGAGGGGTGCCAACCATTGCTCAGGCTTGAGTAGGTAAACAAAGCGGCCAGGAAGCTTGAATGGTGTGGAGCCCACCGCAGCTCAAGGAGGCCTGCCTGCCTCTGTAGACTCCATCCACCTCTGGAGGCAGGGCATAGCCAAACAAAAGGCAGCAGAAACCTCTGCAGACTTAAATGTCCCTGTCTGACAGCTTTGAAGAGAGTAGTGGTTCTCCTAGCACGCAGCTGGAGATCTGAGAACAGACAGACTGCCTCCTCAAGCGGGTCCCTGACCCCCGAGTAGCCTAACTTGGAGGCACCCCCCAGTAGGGGCAGACTGACACTTCACACGCCTGGGTACCCCTCTGAGACGAAGCTTCCAGAGGAACGATCAGGCAGCAACATTTCCTATTCAGCAATATCTGCTGTTCTGCAGCCTCCGCTGCTGATACCCAGGCAAACAGGGTCTGGAGTGGACCTGCAGTAAACTCCAACAGACCTGCAAATGAGGGTCCTGACTGTTAGAAGGAAAGCTAACAAACAGAAAGGACAGCCACACCAAAACCCCATCTGTACATCACCATCATCAAAGACCAAAGGTAGATAAAACCACAAAGATGGGAAAAAACAGAGCAGAAAAGCTGAAAATTCTAAAAATCAGAGAGCCTCTCCCTCTCCAAAGGAGTGCAGCTCCTCGCCAGCAATGGAACAAAGCTGGACGGAGAATGACTTTGACGAGTTGAGGGAAGAAGGCTTCAGATGATCAAACTTCTCCGAGCTAAAGGGGTAAGTTCAAACCCATCACAAAGAAGCTAAAAACCTTGGAAAAAGATTAGACAAATGGCTAACTAGAATAACCAGTGTAGAGAAGTCCTTAAATGACCTGATGGAGCTGAAAACCATGGCATGAGAACTACGTGATGAATGCACAAGCTTCAGTAGCTGATTCAATCAACTGGAAGAAAGGGTATCAGTGACTGAAGATCAAATGAATGAAATGAAGCGAGAAGAGAAGTTTAGAGAAAAAAGAGTAAAAGGAAACAAACAAAACCTCCAAGAAATATGGGACTATGTGAAAAGACCAAATCTACGTCTGATTGGCGTACCTGAAAGTGATGGGGAGAATGGAACCAAGTTGGAAAATACTCTGTAGGATATTATCCAGGAGAACTTCCCCAACCTAGCAAGGCAGGCCAACATTCAAATTCAGGAAATACAGTGAATGCCACAAAGATACTCCTCGAGAAGAACAACTCCAAGACACATAATTGTCAGATTCACCAAAGTTGAAATGAAGGAAAAAATGTTAAGGGCAGCCAGAGAGAAAGGTCGGGTTACCCACAAAGGGAAGCCCATCAGACTAACAGCTGATCTCTTGGCAGAAACTCTACAAGCCAGAAGAGAGTGGGGGCCAATATTCAACATTCTTAAAGAAAAGAATTTTCAACCCAGAATTTCATATCCAGCCAAACTAAGCTTCATAAGTGAAGGAGAAATAAAATCCTTTACAGACAAGCAAATGCTGAGAGATTTAGTCATCACCAGGCCTGCCCTAAAAGAGCTCCTGAAGGAAGGACTCAACATGGAAAGGAACAACTGGTACCAGCCACTGCAAAAACATGACAAATTGTAAAGACCATTGATGCTACGAAGAAACTGCATCAACTGACGAGCAAAATAACCAGCTAACATCATAATGACAGGATCAAATTCACACATAACACTATTAACCCTAAATGTAAATGGGCTAAATACTCCAATTAAAAGACACAGACTGGCAAATTGGATAAAGAGTCAAGACCCATCAGTGTGCTGTATTCAGGAGACCCATCTCATGTGCAGACACACACATAGGCTCAAAATAAAGGGATGGAGGAAGAACTACCAAGCAAATGGAAAACAAAAAAAGGCAGGGGTTGCAATCCTAGTCTCTGATAAAACAGACTTTAAACCAACAAAGATCAAAAGAGACAAAGAAGGCCATTACATAATGGTAAAGGGATCAATTCAACAAGAAGAGCTAACTATCCTAAATACATATGCACCCAATACAGGAGCACCCAGATTCATAAAGCAAGTCCTTAGAGACCTACAAAGAGACTTAGACTCCCACACAAGAATAATGGGAGACTTTAATACCCCACTGTCAACATTAGACAGATCAATGAGACAGAAAGTTAACAAGGATATCCAGGAATTGAACTCAGCTCTGCACCAAGCTGACCTAATAGACATCTACAGAACTCTCCACCCCAAATCAACAGAATATACATTCTTCTCAGCACCACATCGCACTTATTCCAAAATTGACCACATAGTTGGAAGTAAAGCACTCCTCAGCAAATGTAAAAGAACAGAAATTATAACAAACTGTCTCTCAGACCACAGTGCAATCAAACTAGAACTCGGGATTAAGAAACACACTCAAAACCACTCAACTACATGGAAACTGAACAACCTGCTCCTGAATGACTACTGGGTACATAACGAAATGAAGGCAGAAATAAACATGTTCTTTGAAACCAATGAGAACAAAGACACAACATACCAAAATCTCTGGGACACATTTAAGGCAGAGTGTAGAGGGAAATTTATAGCACTAAATGCCCACAAAAGAAAGCAGGAAAGATCTAAAATTGACACCCTAACATCACAATTAAAAGAACTAGAGAAGCAAGAGCAAACACATTCAAAAGCTAGCAGAAGGCAAGAAATAACTAAGATCAGAGCAGAACTGAAGGAGATAGAGACACAAAAAATCCTTCAAAAAAATCAATGAATCCAGGAACTGGTTTTTTGAAAAGATCAGCAAAATTGATAGACTGCTAGCAAGACTAATAAAGATGAAAAGGAGAAGAAGCAAATAGATGCAATAAAAAATGATAAAGGGGATATCACCACCAATCCCACAGAAATACAACTACCATCAGAGAATAGTATAAACACCTCTACGCAAATAAACTAGAAAATCTAGAAGAAATGGATACATTCTTGGACACACACACCCTCCCAATACTAAACCAGGAAGATTTTGAATCCCTGAATAGACCAATAACAGGCTCTGAAATTGAGGCAATAATTAATAGCCTACCAAGCAAAAAAAGTACAGGACCAGACCGATTCACAGCTGAATTCTACCAGAAGTACAACAAGGAGCTGGTACCATTCCTTCTGAAACTATTCCAATCAATAGAAAAAGAGGGAATCCTCCCTGACTCATTTTATGAGGCCAGCATCATCTTGATACCAAAGCCGGGCAGAGACACAACAAAAAAAGAAAATTTTAGACCAATATCCCTGATGAACATTGATGCAAAAATCCTCAATAAAATACTGGCAAACTGAATCCAGCAGCACATCAAAAAGCTTATCCACCATGATCAAGTGGGCTTCATCCCTGGGATGCAAGGCTGGTTCAACAAACACAAATCAATAAACGTAATCCAGCAAATAAACAGAACCAAAGACAAAAACCACATGATTATCTCAATAGATGCAGAAAAGGCCTTTGACAAAATTCAACAGCCCTTCATGCTAAAAACTCTCAATAAATTCGGTATTGATGGGACGTATCTCAAAATAATAAGAGCTATTTATGACAAACCCACAGCCAATATCATTCTGAATGGGCAAAAACTGGAAGCATTCCCTTTGAAAACTGGCACAAGACAGGGATACTCTCTCTCACCACTCCTATTCAACATAGTGTTGGAAGTTCTGGCCAGGGCAATCAGGCAGGAGAAAGAAATAAAGGGTATTCAATTAGGAAAAGAGGAAGTCAAATTGTCCCTGTTTGCAGATGACATGATTGTGTATTTAGAAAACCCCATCATCTCAGCCCAAAATCTCAAGCTGATAAGCAACTTCAGCAAAGTCTCAGGATAAAAAATCAATGTGCAAAAATCAGAAGCATTCTTATACACCAATAACAGACAGAGAGCCAAATCATGAGTGAACTCCCATTCACAATTGCTTCAAAGAGAATAAAATACCTAGGAATCCAACTTACAAGGGATGTGAAGGACCTCTTCAAGGAGAACTACAAACCACTGCTCAACAAAATAAAAGAGGACTCAAACAAATGGAAGAACATTCCATGCTCATGGATAGGAAGAATCAATATTGTGAAAATGGCCATACTGCCCAAGGTAATTTATAGATTCAGTGCCATCCCCGTCAAGCTACCAATGACTTTCTTCACAGAATTGGAAAAAAACGACTTTAAAGTTCATATGGGAACAAAAAAGAGCCTGCATTGCCAAGACAATCCTAAGCCAAAAGAACAAAGCTGGAGGCATCATGCTACCTGACTTCAAACTATATTACAAGGCTACAGTAACCAAAACAACATGGTACTGGTAGCAAAACAGAGATATAGACCAATGGAACAGAACAGAGCCCTGAGTAATAATACCACACATCTACAACCATCTGATCTTTGACAAACCTGACAAAAACAAGAAATGGGGAAAGGATTCCCTGTTTAATAAATGGTGCTGGGAAAACTGGCTAGCCATATGTAGAAAGCTGAAACTGGATCCCTTCCTTACACCTTATACAAAAATTAATTCAAGATGGACTAAAGACTTAAATGTTAGACGTAAAACCATAAAAACCCTAGAAGAAAACCTAGGCAATACCATTCAGGACAGAGGCATGGCTAAGGACTTCATGTCTAAAACACCAAAAGCAATGGCAACAAAAGCCAAAATTGACAAATGGGATCTGATTAAACTAAAGAGCTTCTGCACAGCAAAAGAAACTACCGTCAGAGTGATCAGGCAACCTACAGAATGGGAGAAAAATTTTGCAATCTACTCATCTGACAAAGGGCTAATATCCAGAACCTACAAAGAACTCAAATTTACAAGAAAAAAACAAACAACCCCATCAACAAATGGGTGAAGGATATGAACAGACACTTCTCAAAAGAAGGAGTTTCTGCAGCCAACAGACACATGAAAAAATGCTCATCATCACTGGCCATCAGAGAAATGCAAATCAAAACCACAATGAGATACCATCTCACATCAGTTAGAATGGCGATCATTAAAAAGTCAGGAAACAACACGTGCTGGAGAGGATGTGGAGAAATAGGAACACTTTTACACTGTTGGTGGGACTGTAAACTAGTTCAACCATTGTGGAAGACAGTGTGGCAATTCCTCAAGGATCTAGAACTAGAAATACCATTTGATCCAGCCATCCCATTACTGGGTATAATACCCAAAGGATTATAAATCATGCTGCTATAAAGACACATGCACATGTATGTTTATTGCGGCACTATTCACAATACCAAAGACTTGGAACCAACCCAAATGTCCATCAGTGATAGACTGGATTAAGAAAATGTGGCACATATACACCATGGCATACTATGCAGCCATAAAAAAGGATGAGTTCATGTCCTTTGTAGGGACATGGATGAAGCTGGAAACCATTATTCTCAGCAAACTATTGCAAGGACAAAAAACCAAACACCGCATGTTCTCACTCAATGGTGGGAATTGAACAATAAGAACACTTGGACACAGGAAGGGGAGCATCACACACCAGGGTGTTGAGGGGTCGGGGGAGGGGGGAGGGATAGCATTAGGAGATATACCTAATGTAAATGACGAGTTAATGGGTGCAGCACACCAACATCGCACATGTATACATACGTAACAAACCTGCACATTGTGCACATGTACCCTAGAACTTAAAGTATAATTTAAAAAAAAATTAAAAGAAAAAGAAACTCAAAAGGAGGATTAATTATTACCAGGGGACGGGAGGCATTATAGGAGCCTCAGGAACTTGAACAATAAACAGAAATATCACAGATTACAAAGGGAGGGAAAGAGCCTTCTTAGCAGAGGGAACAGCACATGGAAAGGCATGAAGTTTGAAGGTGTATTGCATGCTTCAGACATTCTCTGGAATGGTTACAACATCAGGCACAGGAAGGTGGAGACAGAGGGAGGAACAATACTCTCAGCATTGTAACCAGGCCAGACAGTTAGAACCACCGGACCTGAAATACTATGGACTTTGAATCCCAGGCTCAAGTTTGTAACTCTTTCCTGTAGGCGATGAGATATGATTAAAGGCTTTTTAAGTATTGGAGTAACATGGCACTAATGTTTCCTCTGCCTTATGTCCCTTAAAAGCAGTGGGGTTTTTTTTCTATTTTTGATAAAAATTAGTTCCAAGTGGTTAGTGTTTTATGATTGTAGACTTTCAGAGACCATCAGATCCAGCCCCTACCTTCTAGCAGGTAAAGAGTATATCTGCATTTTATAGATGAGGCATATAAAGTTCAGGGAAGTAAAGTGACCTAAATACTTAGAGGTAGAGGCCGAGTTATTTCAGGTCCCCTAAATTTCAATTTTTTAGTTTTTCCAGTATAAACATCACACACTCTCTGATCTCACGTGAATTCAATTAGGAAAGTGTTGACGAAAAGAGTCAAACTGTAAAATATTTGAAGAGATTTATTCTGAGCCAAATACTAGTGACGGTGGCCCATGACACAACCCTCAAGAGACACTGAGGACATGTGTCCAAGGTGGTTGAGCCACAACTAGGTTTTATACATTTTCTGGGTTAAGACTGTGGAGACCAAAGTTCTTTTTTTTTTTTTTTTTTCTTTTGAGATGGAGTTTTACTCTTGTTGCCCAGGCTGGAATGCAATGTTGCCATCTAGGCTTACCACAAGCTCCACCTCCCAGATTCAAGCGATTCTCCTGCCTCAGCCTCCCAAGTAGCTGGGATTACCGGCATGCGCCAACACGCCTGGCTAATTTTGTATTTTTAGTAGAGAGGGGGTTTTTCCATGTTGGACCGTCTGGTCTTGAATTCCCGACCTCAGGTGATCCGCCCACCTCGGCCTCCCACAGTGCTTGGATTACAGCCATGAGCCACCGCCAAGACCAAGGTTCTTATCATGCAGATGAAGCCTCCTCCAGGTAGCAAGCTTCAGAGAGAATAGATTGTAAATGTTTCTTATCAGACTTAAAAAGAGGCCAGACTTAGTTGAATCTCTCCTGGATCTGAAGAAAAAGGCCTAGAAAGGGAAGGGGGTTCTCTACAGAATGTAGACTTTTTTCCCCTGCAAGAAACAACTTTGCAGGGCTATTTCAAGATATGGCAAATAAATATATTTGGGGTTACGATATTTTGATCTCCTTGCCTGTTATGTGATGTCATGCCAGTGTCAGGTCCAAAAGCAAGCCACATTATATAAGGTTAAATAAAACCCTTCTAGTGAGACTTTATGCTCTGTAGGGCATGGCTTCCCAGGTCCCTTAAATAGGAATTTGCGCAAGAGAAGAAAAAAGGTAAGAGTTTAGTTCTCAAAAAGACAAAGAGTCCTTAAATGGCAGACAAGCTGGGCATGGTGGCACATGCCTGTATTCCCAGCTACTTGGGAGGCTGAGGTGGGAGGATCACTTGAGCCCAAGAGTTCAAGGCTACAGAGAGCTAGGATTGTGCCACTACACTCCAGCCCTGGGAATAGAGTGAAATCCTGTCTCAATAAATAAATAAATAGCACAGGCAGTTTCACCCACCACCCCACTCATTGAAGAGATGTCTGTGCAGGAGTTGAGATGGAGAACATGAATCCACCATCTTCTCTGTAGGTCTTGGCACCTTCATGCCCTTCATAGAGAGTGAGACTCTTGCCACTTGAGTGAGACTCCAGTGCCTAAAGACATGTTTGCAATTGTTTCTACTAGATAGCCTCTTGGCACCTTGCTATGTTCTCTAGCAATTAGGGGGTTATTGGAAGCAATTTTAACTATTCCCAATTTCTGTCTCATGCTCTGGCCTGAATGATCTCCCGACTAACCCCCATGGGTCCTCCAGAGCCTGCTGGTGTCTGTGCGTGGATCTTTCCTGATCCCCTCTGCCTTGCACAGGTTGTACCAGTCTGTTGAGCTCCTCTACTTGGGTGGCATCTGCCTTACCTACCCCCTGCAGTTCTATGTCTCTGCCAAGATCATTGTGCCTGTCACTGTTTCCTGGGTGTGCAAGTGCTGAACCCTCATGGTAGACTTGGGCATTGGCTCTGCCATGCTTTGTAAGACATGTGAGTAAAAGGCAGAAAGATTTGCTTCTTTTCTGTCCCTCCACCAGGCCCCAGGAGTTTACAGGAGTTGGGCCACCAGGACCTCCCTAGAGCAAGTGCAACATTCCAGGCTTAGTAAATGTTTGTGGAATTAAGCTGAACCTAAGAGAAGCACATTGGTTAGGTTCTTTGGAGGCAAACAACAGAATATAACTCTGGACAACTTAAATTAAAACAAATGGATTTGAACATGCCTCACAGAGTCAAGGGAAAGCTAAAGAAGCAGACATTGAGAAAGACAGGGACCGGGCAGAGCCTGAGACTGAAGTCAGTGGGACTGTGCCTCTGGGATGAATTTCCACCAATTGTTTTCTGTTCTTGAGTGCAATGCTCAAGACGCAAATTCTATGGAGAGAGTGTCCAATTGCACAAGCCCATCTGTTGGGCAAGGAAAGTCAGGGCTTTTTGATTGACAGTGCCACCAAGACACCCATGCAGTGAGAGGGATGGTATCTCAAAGCAAAAATGGGTTCTACACCAAGAATGGGGAATTGATGAGTGTTAAAAGCAACAGATGTCCACACAAGTGGACATCACATGACAGAAGTCACCAGGTAAGGGTAACTGTGAAAAACAGGATGGATATGACATTAACCAAGTTAGAGAAATGGTCAGAGTTATTATCTTCAAATACTAAAAGTAGTTAAAGCTCTGGATCAGGAGGAAACTAAGTTCAAATTAAAGTTTGTATCTCTCAAACTTCTCACTCAGTAGTGCTTATTCCAACCTCAGAGTATAAGCCATTCCACACTTGCCATTTATAGACATGAAGCCAGCTTGGTGAACAGCCAGTAGGGGACCCTGAAGATCTGACAACAAAATATAAAGCCAAAAAGATACAGAAGGGGCCGGGTGCGGTGGCTCATGCCTGTAATCTCAGCACTTTGGGAGGCTGAGGCAGGTGGATCACGAGGTCAGGAGTTTGAGACCAGCCTGGCCAACATAGTGAAACCCCCATCTCTACTAAAAATACAAAAAAAAAAAGTTAGCGAGACGTGGTGGCGGGCGCCTATAATCACAGCCACTCGGCAGGGTAAGGCAGGAGAATCACTTGAACCTGGGAGGCGGAGGTTGCAGTGGGCTGTGATCGCGCCATTGCACTCCAGCCCGGGAGACAGTGCAAGACTCTGTCTCAAAAAAAAAAAAAAAAAGATACAGAAGGAAACCTCTGTTCTTAAAAGGTTTCATATTAGAACCTGAACAATGACCCATAAACTTCCTAGAATTGTGTGCAAAAATGGTATGTAAAGGTAGTTGTTGCTGTTTGTTTGGTTTGGTTTTTGTCTCTTTTTTTATTGTTTTGTTTTATTGTTTTTTTTATTGGGGTGTTGCCCTAAGATTCCCTAGTTCTCCCCATTTTGGCAAAAGGGGCTGTGAAAGGTTTTGCACTTCTGCCAACAAAGAGCTGCCCTCTCAGATGGTCTCAGTCAGAATCTGCTTCCTCAGAGCTACCTGGCCCCATCCTGGCCACTATTACTACCAGAGACAAGGATGAAAATGTAAATCATTTCTCAATTTGGAAAATGAGAATTTGTTGGAAGCCCTCTAAGGCATTTCCAATTTGGATGGCGATTCTGGGTTTTTTCCCCTTGGAAATTCCTAGGAGCCCCACAGTCTGCTCAAAGAACAAGGTTTAAAAATGTGACTTTCTCTCCCTGCCTGACATGGCCAGGTGGGAAGGGTAAGTGAGTGACTGAGCAGGGGCCATGCCCAGAAAACAGCACATGGCTTAGTCTAAAGTTACCCATCTCCAGCTAGAGAGGGTCCATGCTGGGTCATTTCCAAGTCTCAAAGAAGCCAGGAATTTTGGTTTTGTGTATGTCTGTGCAACTTTTCCAGTTTTTAAATAGTGGCAGCTAATTCAAAAAGCGTGGTACTCAGGTGGCCAATTTGCAACCAGGACCTAGATTTTATTCCCAAGGTATTTATGAAGGCCTTTAAGCACCCTCCTGCCCCTCTTTCTCTCTGTCTCTCTCTCTCTCTCTCACACACACACACACACACACACACACACTCTCTCTCTCTCTCTCACACACCCACACACACACACATACACACCTCACTTAAAATAAAATTGCCTAATAAAACAAGTTTCTTTCTGCATCTTTTTGACTTTATATTTTGTTACTGGAAGATCTTCAGGGTCCCCTACTGGCTGTTCAGCAAAATGGCTTCATGTCTGTAAATGGTGAGCGTGGAATGGCTTATACTGTGAGGTTGGAATAAGCACTAATGAGTGAGAGGTTTGAGGGTTGCATATTTTAAGCTCAACATAACAAAGAGCTTTTTTATACTGGGTGAGAAGAGTATAGTGAGTGCCCGATCTCCGAAGGTATTTAAGCAGAGGCAGGACAACCACTTTCCAAGAGAGGAATAGTTTTGCTATATAACCTATGAGAAGCTCCTTCCAAGTCTGAGATTCTCTTCTTTGGTTTTCTTTATAAGTGAAAATCAAAAATGAGTGATTAAATTACTGAATCTGAAGGATGATGCTTTTGAGCTATTGTCTGATGCATTGTAAACTGCAGATTATAGAAGGCATGAAACATATATGTTTGCCTTGAAAATATTCACTCTAGATGTGTAAACTGCTAGCTCTCATTTGTTTTAAATATACAACCCATAGATTTCTCTTCCGGCATTGTTTCTTCCTGGCTCACACCTAATATGTAAGAACTGTTTTGGAGGCACCCTGAGTCAGACCTCTCAGGCAAGTAACTAATAATTCATGGAGCACAGATAAGGAAACTGAAAGTGCTTCTAGAGCCAACACCCGGAAAGGAGAGGATACATGTTGGATCTCCCAGAAAGTTAGTTTCAGAGCAAGGACTAGAACACAGGTCTCCTGATGCCCAATCTAGGGTGCAACATGTTATGCAGCTCATACTAGGAGATTTTTTTTTTGGAAGATACAAACATTTTAGAGAGAATAATTTGAAGAATTTCAGAAATGAAGACATTTGCCTTCATGGCATAGGGTTCTTTTTTTTTTGTCACAAAACACTATGATTTTATTAGCAACCACATATGTATCATTTTCCACTACGTTTTACAATGGACTTGTTTCACAGAGAAGGTGAACTAATTCTAATGAAATACCAATAACGTACCTTAAACAAGTAACATGTTGCTGAAAAAAATTTAAGTTAAAGGCTGGGTGCGGTGGCTCACGCCTGTAATCTCAGCACCTTGGGAGGCCGAGGCGGGCAGATCACCTGAGGTCAGGAGTTTGAGACCAGCCTGGCCAACATGGTGAAACCCCGTCTCTACTAATAATACAAAAATTAGCCAGGCGTGATGCCAGGTGCCTGTAATTCCAGCTACTTGGAAGGCTGAGGCAGGAGAATTGCTTGAACCTGGGAGGTGGAGGTTGCAGTGAGCCGAGATGGTGCCACTGCACTCCAGTCTGGGCGACAGAGCGAGTCTCTGTCTCCAAAAAAAAAAAAAAAAAATTTAAGTTAAAATGCACTACATTATGTAGTGCAGAAAAAAAAGTGCAGCTGGCAATTTAAGACATGATAACAATGCTGAATCAGTAGTGTTTGGAGTGATATATTTTGCCCATCTTTGGCCAATCCTAGAGTAGTACTCATCACAAGCTGTATGACAAATGTGAACATCATAAGCTGTACGACAAATGTGAACTAATGAGGCTACAATACTGCAGACCAAATAGAACCATTCTAGAGTCAGTTTCACAATGAAATACTCCACCCCCGGCCTGGAAACAGTGATCTGCTGTCGTTGCTATCCTGCTGTGGCACCTATCCCTGCTGCCGTATTTATTACCAGATCAGGTGTCCTCCAGCCAGCCAGCTTCCAGGACAAGTGGTGCCCAGTGAGTCACAACCCAAAGAGGAACAGCTGCAGGTTACCGATTTGTATTCCTGTACATACTCAACTTGGGTGGCAAGGATTTGCTCATTTAACTTGAATATATTTACTTCTAAAAAGACTGTGGGCCGGGTGCGGTGGCTCACTCCTGTAATCCCAGCACTTTGGGAGGCCGAGGTGGGTGGATCACGAGGTCAGGAGATTGAGACCATCCTGGCTTTAATGCTGTTTTCAGATATCCCCATTCCTAGTTTTAGAGGCAGCCATGGAATATATAGTCTCCTCTGGCCTTGGGGTCAGGAAGAAAGGGAAATCTATTCATAAAAGGAATTTAAATTCTGGCCTTGGCCTCTCAAACATGCTTCAAGTGAAAGATGGCTCAACTAACAGGTTCCTCCAGGCAAAATTATTCTGGTACCAATGACTCACTCATGTTGTCACTCACGGCCATAAAGAGAATGGTTAAAGCAACCTAGGTTTTCTGAGAATCAGATTTGGCGCAATGAGTTGGGGTACTATGTGCCACAATTGATTTCTTTAACACAGGCTCAAGCACATGTGCCCACATGCACACTATGGTTACACACCAGGGCAGAACCTTCTTAACAAGAGAGTCTCCAGCACATCTTTCCAAGATGCTAAGTTGGTGGGGAAAACACACTTTGCACTCATTTGGCTGATGACCTAAGCAGGGTCTGGGAAAAATGCATTTAACCCCATCTTTGATTCCTTGCTTCTATGCTAGAAGACTAACACATCTATCCCTACTGAGCAAGGAGCTTGCCTGGAGTCAGGGCATTCTCATCAAAAGGCATCTTTGATATTTTTGAGCTGGCGCATGGCCAGATCTACAGGGAGGCTGAACTTGAGGCTGCTGAGGCGACTGTGCAGGTTGAGGGCACTCTCAAAGCCTGTGTGTGCTATGTAGCTCCCAGGCTGGTAGTGAGTCTCGATGAGTGACCCGCACTTGCAGATGAGGTTCACCCAGGACATCAGACGCTGCTCATTCAGTGCCATGCACACCAAAGCCTTCAATTCAGAGTCTGCACTGTGCTTGAAAGGGTCGTGCTCTGTCAGCACCATGTGGATGACTGTCAGTAGGCTCTCTTTGGGGGTTACATCAGTGCCTCCTGTAACAGGAAGGGCAAAGACTGGGAGAGCTCCCGGGCTGGGCATAAGCACTGCCATTTTTAGCATGGTAGTACTGTAACCCCCCAAGGGGTTCACCTTGCTGACTGCCTAGACAGAGCAGATTCATCAAGACAAGGGAATTGCGACAGAGAAAGAGTAATTCACACAAAGCTGGCTTTGCGGGAGACCAGTCTTATTATTACTCAAATCGGTCTCCCCAGGCATTTAGGGGCAGTTTTTAAGGATAACATGGTGGGTAGGGGGCGGGGCCAGTGAGCCAGGAGTGCTGATTGGTCAGGGTTGAAATCACAGGGAGTCAAAGCTGTCTTCTTGCACTGAGTCAGTTCCTGGGTGGGGGCCACAAGATCAGACAAGCCAGTTTATCAATCTGGGTGGTGCCAGCTGATCTGTCAAGTGCAGGGCCCACAAAATATCGCAAGAACTGATCTTAGGACCAGTTTATGGAGGGTCAGAATCTTGTAGCCTCCAGGTGCATGACTCTTAAACCATAATTTCTAATCCTGTGGCTAGTCTAGTCCCCAGATAAGAAGGAGGTCTGCTTTGGGAAAGGGCTGTTACCATCTTTGTTTAAACTATAAACTGCAAACTAAGTTTCTTCCATAGTTAGTTCAGCTTGTGCCCAGGAATGAACAAAGATGGCTTGGGGGTTAGAAGCAAGATGGAGTCAGTTAAATTAGATCTCTTTCACTGTCTCAGTCATAATTTTACAAAGGCGGTTTCAGTACTTTACAAAGAGCTCCCAGGGGTGCATGGGCTCAGGGGCTGAGGAGAAGGCTGGCAGCAAATGAGCAATAGGAGCCATGATGAGGCTCATTCCTGAGGAGGAGGCATATAGTCCATGGGCTAGCAGGTCCCTCACAGCCACCATCAGCTCCTTCCACACAGCCATGGCCAGCTCATCCTTGCCTGCCAGAGAGAGGTCCTGGAGGATGGCAGAGGTGGTGACATGGTCGTGTGGCTGGTGCCTCAAGGCTAGCTGCTTCTCTCTGTCCACTGACACCTCCCGCCTCTTCAACAAGAGAGCATAGTCTGTCAGCCTGGCCCCTCTGTTATAGGGTTGGAGGGATCTGGCCTGTCACACAACCAAATTAGCTAACAGCAAAATCTGGAGCATTGCCAATGCTTGCGGCATCAGGTGCAGCCCCGTCCCTTGGACTTTCTTCACATCCCTTGCCTTTGTTTTGCTGTGTCCTGGAGGCAGTGGGTCTGCTGCTGCCAGTTCTGGTGGAACCATTTCCTGTCTTCCCAGAGGCCTTGCGCTCACAATGTCCACCATCTGTCTGCAAGGGGCTTCCCACTTCATCTTGGATGAGGTCGATGGACATCTAGAGGTCTCCGATCTGAGTTTTCAGTTGCTCAACCAACTGATCTTTGACTAGGGCTGGGTTGACGATGTGAGCCACTACTGCATCTACAAACTGACGAAGTTCTTCAGTGGACAGGGAACTGATGTCCTCATTCAGACGCATGTCCAGTTTCTTTATTAACTTGTCTAGGATCACCCACTGTCTTTCCAACACACGAACTGCCGCAGGGCATCATAACTGCTCTTGGATAGGCACATGTTTCCAAGTCATCTAGCTAGGTCTTGAGCTACAGTATCCATTCTTTCTGCTTCTTCCTTTGGGTTTCCACACGCTCTTGTTTTTCCTGCTCACTCTGGTCCTCGCCCCACAACTGTGGCCGGTCTCCTGGCAGCTAATTTGTATGTTTTTGGTAGAGAGGGCGTTTCACCACGTTGGCCAAGCTGGTCTCGAACTCCGGACCTCAGGTGATCCGCCCGCCGCAGCCTCCCACCTAGGGTTCTTTTTAACATTTCCTTATTATCCTTTTAATGTCAATAGGATCTAGAGTGATGTCCTATTTTTCATTTCTGATATTGGTAATCTGTGTCTTCTTGTCTTTTCTTTCTTGAATAGTCTGGTAGATTTTATTGATCTTTTCAAACAAATAATTTTCTGGTTTATTAATTTTCCTGTATCGTTTTTACACTGTTTTCAATTTTGTGCATTTTTTCTTCTTTTTCTCCCCTTCACCTTGCTTTGAGTTAATTTTTTTTTCTAGTTGCTTGACATCAGAGTTTAGATTATCGATTAGAGACCTATTTTCTTTTCTAATATAAGCACTTAATGCTATAATATTTCTTGTATGCCTGCATTAATATAGTTGCTAGCCACATTGAGCGCTTGAAATGTGACTAATCTGAATTGAGACGTGCCATAAGTATAAAATAAATATTAGATTTTAAAACTGTAGTACAAAACATGTAAAATATTTTAATAGTTTTTATATTGTTACACATTGAAAGAGTAATATTTGGGGTATATTGTGTTAAGTTAAATATAATGTTAAAATTTACCCCAGAGAGGGCAAGCAGGTCCCTGTGGCCACAATTAAAGTGAAGAGCGCCGGGCACGGTGGCTCATGCCTGTAATCCCAGCACTTTGGGAGGCCGAGGCGGGCAGATCACCAAGGTCAGGAGTTCGAGACCAGACTGACCAAAATGGCAAAACCCCATCTCTACTAAAAATACAAAATTAGCTGGGTGTGGTGGCGCATGCCTGTAATCCCAGCTACTTGGGAGGCTGAGGCAGGAGAATCGCTTGAACCCGGGAGGCGGAGGTTGCAGTGAGCCAAGATCGTGCCATTGCACTGCAGCCTGGGCAACAAGAGCAAAACTCTGTCTCAAATAAATAAATCAATAAATAAGAAAACCTATAAATTTCAATTAAAGTAGGAAAAAAACATCGCCTACTTGGCTCATAAAATGGTATCCAGGCAGTGAGGCAGCAGGAGGGCCAACGTTAGGCTGGCTCAGCAAGAGACAACACAAAGATGGAGCCAGAGAATGGTCTGAGTCTGCAAATTCTGCCACCATTGAGGAGACTATAGGCTTAAGGACATTACCACTGCCAGGCTGGGGGCCTGGGCTTCTCTCCCCATTCTCAGCTTTCCTGACCCTGTGCAAGCACCTCCCCACCTGGGAGAAATTTCCAGGGCTTGGGCTTTGCCAACTCTGACCCAATTTTGATTATTTATTGTGTAATTTATTATTGTTCCTGTGAAAAGGCCACACATCTCCTCTCTTCTTCCGAGAGATACGGGTGTCCATCCATTGGCTCCACGGTCCAGCCTGCTGGGTGAGTGCAGCATGGCCCTCCCCTTCTGGCCCTCAGGCCCAGGTGGCTGTGTGCCAGCCAAGTGACAGTGGCTGCTCATGGCAGTGGCAGGGGGTGGGTAGAGGTGGCAGGTGGCCCAGCAACCTCCTTTTCCTCAACTCCTCCAACCACCACCCACCTCTCACCCTCCCCGGTGTCAAGCGTTTTTATCTGTGGTTGGCGGTGGCAGTAATGGCAGATGGTGGCTGTGGTGCTGGTGGCAGCTACTATGAGAGATGATGAATTCCTCCTTCATGATGAACCAGGCCAGCCTGGAAGATGGTCACCATGACCTCTTCTGCCTGGCTGACTCGACAGGGATTAAATGGAAAAGATATGTATGGCAAGGCCCAACTTCTGCCCCTATTATGTTTCCCACGACTCAAGGTGACCCTAATTTGAACAGCTTTAATCGCTGCCTTAAGACAGATATAGCTGGTGTTTGGCAGCAAGATCAAATACCTAGAAGAAGAGAATTGTCAATATTTTGGTGGGGCAAAGACCCCAATTTTGCTGACCTTATTTACCAGGATTTAACAGACGAGGAGGATGGAGTATGGGAGAAAAGACTTTACTCTGAATGCCATACTCTGCTTTTCAAAGCAGTTCACAGTCTGTTGGGATGGTGTTTAATGAACCAGAACTTTGTATGTATTGGCAAGTGGTTTGTACAGTCTCATGAAGAAGATTAAAAACCTATAAATAAAAGTGAATGATTGTCCTGCTCTTTCACCTTTTTCTTGCATGGAGACATCAATGTTTGTACCAATGTGGAAATTAGCCAACATCAACCTGTATACCTTCTTAGTGAAGATCACATCACCCTTGCTCAACAGCTTAATAGCCCATTTCCAGTTATCTTAAGCCAATTTGGACTAAATAAAGACCCCACTTAAAAGATAGAGATTACGGGATTGAGCTTTAAAATGAACCAACGGTATGCCACTTATAAAAAACTCACTTTACTGGTAAAGACACTTAGACACTGAAGATTAAAAGATGGAAAAAGATATTCTACATGAACAGAAACCAAAAGTGAGCAGGAGTAGCTATACTTGTATCAGATAAAATAGATATTAAATCAAAAATAGTTAAAAAAGAAGAAAATAATTACATAATGGTGAAGAGATCAATTCAAGAAGAGTATATCGCAATTTAAATATATATGCATCCAACACTGGAGCACCCAAATTTATAAAACAAGTATTACTAGACCTAAAGAAAGAGACAGCAGGCCGGGCGCGGTGGCTCACGCCTGTAATCCCAGCACTTTGGGAGGCCGAGACGGGCGGATCACGAGGTCAGGAGATCGAGACCATCCTGGCTAACACGGTGAAACCCCGTCTCTACTAAAAATACAAAAATTAGCCGGGCATGGTGGCGCGCGCCTGTAGTCCCAGCTACACGGGAGGCTGAGGCAGGAGAATGGCGTGAACCCGGGAGGCGGAGCTTGCAGTGAGTCGAGATCGCGCCACTGCACTCCAGCCTGGGCGACAGAGCGAAACTCCGTCTCAAAAAAAAAAAAAAAAAAAGAAAGAGACAGCAATACAATAATAGTGGGGGACTTCAATACCCCACTCATAGCATTAGACAGATCACTGAGACAGAAAATCAACAAAGAAACACTAGACTCAAACTGGACTCTAGGCCAAATGGACCAAATAATATTTACAGAACATTCTACCCAACAATTGCAGAGTATACATTCTTATCAGCACATGGAATATTCTCCAAGACATATTGTATGTTAGTCCACAAATCAGTCTCAATAAATTTTTAAAAACTGAAACCCTATGAAGTGTCTTCTCAGACCACAGGGAAACAAAACTAGAAATCAATACCATGAGGAACTTTCAAAACTATCCAAATACATGAAAATTAAACCATATGTCCCTTAACGATCTTTGGGTCCATGATGAAATTAAGATGGAAATTTAAAATTTTTTTGGCCGGGTGCGGCGGCTCATGCCTGTAATCCCAGCACTTTGGGAAGCCGAGGCAGGTGGATCACCTGAAGTCAGGAGTTCGAGACCAGCCTGACCAATATGATGAAACCCCATCTTTACTAAAAATACAAAAATTAGCCAGGTGTGGTGGCATGTGCCTGTAATCCCAGCTACTCAGGAGGCTGAGACAGGAGAATCACATGAACCTGGGAGGCAGAGGTTGCAGTGAGCCAAGATCACACCATTGCACTCCAGCCTGGGCAACAAGAGTGAAACTCCATCTCAAAAAAAAAAATTTTTGAAATGAATGAAATGGATATACAACATAATTCTGAGATATATAAAAAAAGTAGTGCTAAGAGGGACGTTTATAGAGTTAAATGCCTACATCAAAACAAAATAGAAAGATCACCAATTAACAACTTATTATCACACCTCTGGGAACTAGAAAAACAAGAACAAACCCAACCCAAAGCTAACAAATGAAAAGAAATAATAAAGATTAGAGCAGAACTAAATGAAATTGAAAACAAAAAAAGATAAAAAGGATCAACAAAACAAAAAGTTGGTTCTTTGAAAAGATAAGCAAAATTGACAAACTTCTAGCTAGACTATTTATTGATTTATCTAATCAATAACTGTGATTTATCACATAAACAGAATTAAGGACAAAAACAATATGATTATCTTAATAGATGAAGAAAAATAATTTTATAAAATCCAGCATTCCCTCATGATAAAAACCCTCAACAGAATAGGCAAAGAAGGAACATACCTCAAAACAACAAGGGCCGTATACAACAAACCCATGGCCAATACCATACTGAACAGGGAAAAGTTTAAAGCAATCTCCCTAAGAACTGGAGTAAGACAAGAATGCCCACTCTCACCATTCCTATTCAACATGGTACTGGAAGTCCTTGCCAGAGCAATCAGGCAAGAAAAAGAAATAAAGGCATACAACTGGGAAAGGGAAGTTAAAGTACCTCTGTTTGATGATAATATGATCTATGTCTAGAAAAACCTAAAAATTCCTCCAAAAACAAAAAACTCTTAGGTTTGATTAATGAATTCAGCAAAGTTTTAGGATACAAAATCAATATACAAAAATCAGTAGCATTTCTATATGCCAATAACAATCAAGCTGAGAACCAAATCAAGAAGGCAATCCCATTTACATTAGCTACAAAAAATAAAATACCTAGGAATATATTTAACCAAGGAGGTGAAAGATCTCTACAAGGAAAACTAGAAAACACAGTTGTTAAAATGACTATACTGCCCAAAGTGATCTAGAGATTCAATGCAATCCCTATTAAAATTCCATGCTCATTCTTCACAGAATCAGAAAAAAAAACCTTAAAATTTATATGGAACCCCTCCCCCAAAAGCCCAAATAGCCAAAGCATCCAAAGCAAAAAGAATAGAGCTGAAGGCACCACATTACCTGACCTCAAATTATACCGCAAGGCTATAGTAACCAAAACAGCATGACACTGGTATAGAAATAAACACAAAGACCAATGGAACAGAATAAAGAACCCAGAAATAGAGCCACATGTCTATAGCCAAATGATTTTTGACAAAGTTGACAAAAACATACACTGGAAAAAGGATACCCTTTTCAATAAATGATGCTGATAAAATTGGATTGCCATATTCAGAGGAATAAAACTGGACCCCCTATCTCTCACCATATACAAAAATCAACTCAAGTTGGATTAGAGACTTAAACATAAGACCTGAAACTATTAAAATGCTAGAAGAAAACCCAGGGAAAACACTTCTGGACATTAGACTAGGCGAAGAATTCATGACTAAGACCTCAAAAGTACAGGCAACAAAAACAAAAATAGACAAATGGGACTTAATTAAGCTAAAAAGCTGCTGCACAGCAAAATAATAATTAACAAAGTGAACAGACAATCTGCAAGATAGGAGAAAATATTTGCAAACTATGCATCCAACAGGGGACTGATATCCAGAATTTACAAGGAATTGAAACAACTCAAAAAAAAAAAAAACCCCAACATTAATAACTCCATTAGAAAGTTGCCAAATGACATATGTAGACATTTCTTAATATGAAAAAATGTTCAACATCACTAATCATCAGAGAAATGCAAATTAAAACCACAATGAAATATCACGTTACACCAGTCAGAATGGCTATTATTAAGAAATCAAAATATAACAGATGTTGGCAAGGAGCAGAATAAAAGGAATGCTAATACATTGTTGTATTTGCATTAGAGAATGTAAATTACTACAGCCTCTATGAAAAAGTATGGAGATTTCTCAAAAAAACTAAAAATAGAACAATCATTTGATCCATCCACTACTGGCTATCTACCCAGAAGAAAAGAAATTATTTTATGAAAAATATACCTGCACTAGCATGTTTACTGCAGTGCTATTCACAATAGCAAATATACAGAATCAACCTAAGTGTCTGTCAATGGATGAATGGATAAACAAAATGTGATATATATATACACACACACATACACATACACATTGAAAGGTTCTTGTATCGGTTCGAACCCCAAGAGCGCACCAACAGACAACACGAGGTGGTGTGGAGCAACATGCTGTTTTAATGAGCTCCTGGGTGCAGGCGGCCTGAGGCCTAAAATGGCATCAGCCCCAAGTGAGGACAGGACAGGGGTTTCATAGTCCTCTGTAAACAGGAAGTGTCCCAGTCTGACATGACTGGTACCTAGTACCCAGACGGACTCTTTCTCGATCTTCAGGGGTACGTGTCTTCTGGCCAGGGTAGGTGTCTTCCGGCCAGGGTAGGTGTCCTCCAGCCAGCTCTCTTCCTGCTTCTGCTATCTTGCTGACGCACGCTGCTGGTGCAAGGGCCTTGCACCTTGGACTAGGCCTGAGAAGGAAGGTGTTATTCATCCCTTCAAGTTTTCAGGCCCCGGGGAGAATCTTTCACGCATACATACACACCAGCCCATAGGCCATAGTTTGCTTGTCTCTGCTTTAATCAAATCTCTTTTAGAGCAATTTAAAATAAAGAAGAACAGGCTGAGCACAGTGGCTCATACCTGTAATCCCAGTGCTTTGAGAGGCCCAGGGAGGAGGATTGCTTGAACCCAGGAGTTTGAGGTTGCAGTGAGCTATGACTGTGCCACTACTCTCCTGAGCAACAGAGCAAGACCCTGTCTCTAAAACAATTTTTTTAAAAGTTAAAAATAAGGAAAAACTATCTTTTATACTTTAACCATCTCCAAAGATTGTCATTTCTTTTTATAGATGTAAGTTTCTGTCTGGAATAATATTTCTTCTTCCTGAAGAATTTAACTTTTATAGAACAGATCTGCCAGTAATTATCTTAGTTTTCATTTGTTTTTTTAAAAAAAGGCTTTACTTCTCCTTCATTTTTGCAAGATATTTTCTCTGGGTTGACAATGTTTTTGTGTAAACACTGACAAGCTATCACTTCAATGTCTTCTGATTTGCATAATTTCTGATAACTTTAATTCTTATATCTGTTTCTCTGTATCTAAATGTCTTTTTCCCTTGGCTGCTTTCAAGGTTTTCCCTTTATTTTTTATTTACATCAGTTTGAATATGATGTGTCTAGGCAGGTGTGTGTGTGTGTATTGTGTTGGTCCTTATCCTCTTTATTTTGGTATTTTTCTCTGCACTTTTTTTTTAGACGAGGTCTCATGATGTTGCCTGTGCTGGCCTCAAACTCCTGAACTCAAAACATCCTCTTGCCTTAGCCTCCAAAGTAGCTGGGACTACAGGCATACACCACTGCACTCGGCTCTGAACTTTTTGATCTATAGTTTTATGTCTTTTATTATTTTTTGAAAATTTTTGGCCATTATTTCTTTTTTTCTTCAAATATTTATTTTATATTTTTTAATAGAGATGGAGGAGTCTCACTGTGTCGCCCAGGCTGGTCTTGAACTTCTGAACTCAAGTGATCCTCTTACCTCATCTTCTCAAAGTCAAATATTTCTTTTGCCACATTCTGTCTTCTTCATCTGGGATTCCAATTACTCATATGTTAAACAGTTTGACATTGTCCCACAGCTCTTGGATGTTCTAGTTTTTTCACTCTTTTTTTCTGTTTATATTTCAGTTTGGATAATTTTTATTGACCTATCATCAAGTTCACAGATTATTTCCTTGTCTTCATTGAGTCCACTGATAACTTTATCAAAAGAATTCTTAGTGGTGGCTCATGCCTGTAATCCCAGCACTTTGGGAGGCCAAGGTAGAAGGACTGCTTGGGGCCAGAAGTTCAAGATAAGCCTGGGCAACACAGCAGGACCCCGTCTCTAAAAATATATATATATGAAAATAGATGGGCGTGGTGACATGCACCTGAAGTCCTAGCTACTTAGGAGGCTAAGGCGGGAGGATCAGTTGAGCCCAGGAGTTCCAGGACGCAGTGCATTGTAATTGTGCCACTGTACTCTAGCCTAGGGAACAAAGTGAGACCTTGTTTCTAAAAAAAAAAAAAATTTTTAATGAATTATTTGTCTCTGTTACTATTTTTTTATTACTCACATTTCCATTTCACTATTTTGTATGATTTCCATCTCTCTGATGAATTTTCCATTTGTTCACACATGCTGTCCAAATTAATTTTAGAAATACCATGAAGTATCAAAAACAGTCATGTCCCTCAACTCCCAGCATGCTGGGAAGGTGGGAAGCCTTCTTGGGTTTGATTCTGTCTTGAGAGTATAGCCTTTTGTAGAGAAAGACCAGGACAACAACTGAGAGACTCTGTGCTAGAGTCCCAGAATCTCAGAATTCTAGAAGCTTGTAGTTTTGGAATTACGGAAACTAGGGTTCCAAAAAATATTTCATAAGATTTTAGAGTTGAATTTTAGAGGTTGAACATTGCCAGAGATGGGAGTTCACCAAACTCACAAGGCAGCTAAGGCCAAAGGGAAGCTGTCTTCCTTTGGGTAGAATAATGTTGTTAATGTGCTATTAAAAGGAGGCCAGTTCCCATCCAGAGTGTAACAGTCACAACAAAAGCAGAATCTCCCTCCCCTTTCCCTGTCTCCCGCTCCCATAAACACCAGAGTGAGATAGCCCCAAACCTGAAAAGAAAAACCAAGGAAGATCAGTACACATTTATCCCCTTTAACATGTTTGTAATGCTATTAGGTAGAAAGTTTTAGTTTCTTCCAAAACGAAAAAGGAAAATATTTTTTTAAAAAACTAAAAACTAAAAGAAGAGTGTTTTTAAAAAAAATCCTATTCACTAGCCTTGTTACACATCCTTTTTCTAAAATTTGCTTTTCCAAATTTCTGTTGATAGTGGGAGTTGATAACAAGATAGAATATTAGAAATTCTTTTAACTTCACTAAGTCTCAATGACCTCATCTCTAAAGTAGAATAAATTTCTGTTCTGTCTCCCTATTAAGCTTTAACATATTATAATGTGACATCAAAAAAAGCTAATGAGATATCATTAGTGAGAAAGGTAGGTAGTAGGACAATATTACAGTGCAAGGTTGTTTGTAAAAGTGAATATGTGTGTGTCTAGGGCTAGGGGGATAATAGTTGATCTCTGGCTGGTAGAATTATGTATATGTTTGTTTTCCATTTGCTTGTGTACATTTTCTCATTTTTTACAATGAATATAGTTTATAGAAAATTAAAGTACATAAGAACTCCAAAGTTCTATACAAATACAAGAAATGATTGTCAGTGGTCCATGCAAGGTCTCTAGCTGAATTTATTTATTTATCTTCCCCTTGTATTTATGCCAGTGGTTCTCAATGTCCCTCCTCCACCCCTGGAGGACATTTTTCAATGTCTGGAGACACTTTTTGATTGTTACATAAGGGAGGTGTGCTACTGACGTCTAGTAAGTACAGGCCAAGGATGCTGCTAAACGTTCTACAATGCACAGAATGATAACTCCACTTAGAAGCAATTTATTTTATTATTATTATTATTTTGAGACAGAGCCCTGATGCCCAATCTGGAGTGTAGTACTGCGATCTTGGCTCACTGCAACCTCCGTCTCCCGGGTCCAAGTGATTCTCCTGCCTCAGCCTCCCAAGTAGTTGGGATTACAGGCGCCTGCCATCACGCCCGGCTAATTTTTGTATTTTTAGTAGAGATGGGGTTTCACCATGTTGGCCAGGCTGGTCTCAAACTCCTGGCCTCAACAGATCCGCCCGCCTCAGCTTCCCAAAGTGCTGGGATTACAGGCGTGAGCTGCCGCGCCCAGCCTAGAAGCAATTTAAATCAGATAGTGGTCACAAGCAAGTTGATATTGAGTAAGAAAGTACAGATTTGATATTATAATTTAATGAAAAAATCTTATAAAATACTGAATTTGTTTCCAATATTCTGCTGTTACAAACAATGCTGCAAAGAATATTATTGTATACACATACTTAGGAAATGTGGGAAGGTTTCTTCAAGGTGGATATGAGGAAGTGGTGTATCTGGGCCAAAGGGCATTTCCATCCTTAGTTTTAGTAGTAACTGTAAATCTAACAACATGAATGGAGCCTAACAAAAAAAAAAAGGAAGAAACAGAATGAAATTCTAATGTGGTATCATTTATATTCATTAAGCATATACAACAACAACACAATAATATGCAGCATTGCATGAGTACCTATAAGATAATATACACTAAATACATCAGAACTGTTATCTGTGGTGGGATGATCATATACTGGCTTGGCCCAGACTCTTGGGGAAAAGCTGTCTGCCTCAGATATAATCTGCTTCCAATACAGAATGGTTTTTATTTTTAGTTAACTTCAGTTTTAAATTTCCAGTGAGTTCAGAGAACATTTAGGAACAAAGGCCTTTTTAAAATGAGAAATAAGGCCAGGCACAGTGGCTCACGCCTGTAATCCCAACACTTTGGGAGGTCGAGGTGGGCAGATCACTTGAGGTCAGGAGTTCGAGACCAGCCTGGCCAGCATGGGAAAACCCCAACCCCATCTCTACTGAAAATATAAAAATTAGTCGGGCATGGTGATACACACCTGTAGTCCCTACTACTCCAGAGGCTGAGGCATGAGAATGGCTTGAATCTGGGAGGCGGAGGTTGCAGTGAGCTGAGATCGCACCACTGCATTCCAGCCTGGGTGACAGAGGGAGACTCTGTCTCAAAAAATAAAATAAAAATAAAATGAGAAATATGCCAGGCACAGTGGCTTATGCCTGTAATCCCAACACTTTGGTAGGCTGAGGTGAGAGGATGGCTTGAGGCCAGGAGTTCTAGACCAACCTGGGCAATATAGCGAGACCCTGTATCTACAAATATATTTTAAAATTAGCCAGTCATAGTGGTGTGTGCCTGCCTGTAGGTCCAGCTCTTCAAGAGGCTGAAGCAGGAGGATCACTTGAGCCCAAGAGTTTGAAGTTGCAGTGAGCTGTGAACGTACCACTGTGCTCCAGCCTGAGGGAGTTCAGTCTGGGGTGGGAACAGGTTTAGTTTTTAATTGTTGCATTTGACAGTTCATTACTTGACCAGCTTGAATTTGAAGATCTAATGCACGAATTGCTTTCTTCTCAGCTGCCCTTTCAGGGGTGTGTTAGAGGGATTTTTGGACAGATTAAGCAAGTCAGAGGTTTTCACAGTAGCCCAATTGAGTTGATTTCACTTTACTATCATGTTCTTCTTCCAGTCCACTGATAACAGTTGAATTACAAAGGGAGGTTGTGTAATTTATTTTGCCAAAGCCAGAGTATTGCCTTAAAATTTTCTGTAGTCTATAATGAATTTGTAGACTGGGTCATCTGGTTCTTAGGTGCATTGTTGTATTTTGTTTTTCCAGTCAATAGTTTTTTAGAAAACTTCAGGGATTTGTTTATGGAGATCTTTGCCAATTTTTGAACATCAGTAAGATCAGTCACTCTTCTCTTAGAGAAATCATTTAAAGGGTTATACTAGTCAGCTTTTTCCATCCACGTGTTAGCATGTCCTTCACCAGCAAGCATGCGTATCAGCTGGTAAAGGTTGAAATAGCCAGGCTGGTAGGTTTTGGTAACCAAGTTGAATTATTTAGCAAAGGCATTTAGATTTTCTAAGGGGCCAGGGAAGTCCTTTGTTGCAGCTCTGGGTTCTGCCTTTGTTCAAGGGGACTAAGTTCCTGAAGAGGTCCTTGAGAGTCCTTCATTAGATTTAACCTTAAATGTGGCATGGATAGGACAAGTCATTAGTCACACTCTTAGGATGGGAACTCCCCATGATTGATCACCAAAACAAAGATTCTTTGCAACCAGGGTCACCAGAAAAAAGGAGAAATCTATTGTAAAAGCTGGCAACAGAGGACAACCAAAAAAAGGCCTGAACCTCAGCTAGGGTAAGAAGGTGGTTCAGGACACAAAAAGACTTATCCAGTGAAGTTTGGGGTCATTCGGAGTCAATAAAATGCAAGGAGTTCCCACAGATACTTTTTCTTGGGTATATGGTGGCACAGGAGATCAGAAGGGAGTCACTTTGCATCCCACTTCTGACACCATGTAATGTCAACTAAGAAATAAAACTAACACTGCAGAGTGGCAAACAAAAGAAAACACATTTTAATTAGGGTCTTAGGAATTGCAATTCAAGAGACACAGATCTAGCAAAGCAGCTAAATTATGTTCCATCTAGGCAAGCTTAAGCAGAGGCTTATAAGCGCCACAGTAAGTTTACACATCAGGAAGGTTTTAGCACAGTTTATGATTGATGATGGCAGGTTATCAGCGTAGGATGTCTCTAGTCAATGATCCATCCAGTTTTGGCACACTTTGTGATTGATTATGGCAGGTTATTGGTGTAGGATGTCTTTAGTCAATGATCAATCCAGTTCAGTGTAGCTGAACTCTCCAGGAGGTTGGTGATCAGGCTCAATATAAACAGCTCAAATCAAATGCAGGTGGTTGTATAATTTGGCCTAGTTAAACAGGTTGAATTCCATCTGGATGTGTACATAACTGGGGTCCAACGCCTCCTACCCTCCTGCATCCTTTTTAGAAAGGACACATGTTGGATTTTTCTTTTAACACCCTGCCAAAAGATTCTGTCCCCATAGAGAGTTATTAGCAAGACAAGGAGATTCCCCTCAGTGCTCCTATGAAATGTTTTCAAATGTTCTACTGTTACGGGAAGTCAGGGACCCTGAACAGAGGGACCGGCTGAAGCTGCAGCAGAGGAACATAAATTGGGACAACTTCATCTTATTATGGACATTTTTCAGTTCTCAAATAATACTTTTATAATTTTTTATGCCTGTCTTTAATAAACTCTTAATCCTGTTATCTTTGTAAGCTGAGGATGTACGTCACCTCAGGACCACTGTGATAATTGTGTTAACTGTACAAATTGATTGTAAAACGTGTGTTTGAACAATATGAAATCAGTGCACCTTGAAAAAGAACAGAATAATAGTGATTTTTATGGAACAAGGGAACACAACCATAAGGTCTGACTGCCTGCAGGGTCAGGCAAAAAGAGCCATATTTTTCTTCTTGCACAGAGCCTATAAACGGAGGTGCAAGTAGGAAACATATCGCTAAATTCTTTTCCTAGCAAGGAATATTAATATTAATACCCTGGGGAAAAAAAAAAAAATGCATTCCTGGGGGGAGGTCTATAAATGGCCGCTCTGGGAATGTTTGTCTTGTGCCGTTGAGATAAGGACTGAGATAAGCCCTGGTCTCCCGCAGAACCCTCAGGCTTACTAGGGTTGGGAAAACGCAGCCCTGGTAAATTTGTGGTAAGACCAGTTCTCTGCTCTCAGACCCTGTTTTCTGTTGTTTAAGATGTTTATCAAGACAATACGTGCACTGCTGAACACAGACCCTTATCAGTGGTTCTGCTTTTGCCCTTTGCCCTGTGATCTTTGTTGGACCCTTATCAGTGGTTCTGCTTTTGCCCTTTTTCCTGTTCCCTCAGAAGCATGTGAACTTTGTTAGACCCTTATTAGTGGTTCTGCTTTTTGCACTTTGAAGCATGTGATCTTTGTACCTACTCCTTGTTCTTACACCCCCTCCCCTTTTGAAACCCTTAATAAAAACTTGCTGGTCTGAGACTTAGGTGGGCATCACGGTCTTACCGATATGTGATGTCACCCCTGGCAGCCCAGCTGTAAAATTCCTCTCTTTGTACTGTCTCTCTTTATTTCTCAGCCAGCTGACACTTATGGAAAATAGAACTAACCTACATTGAGATACTGGGGGCAGGTTCCCCCAATATTCTGCCATGCTCGGATTTTAATTGTAAGTGTGTTCCCCTCTGGGGCAAGTGGAAACCAGGTTATCTTCTTCCACTGCAGGTTCCCTGGCCATCCTCATCCCCCATCTGGGCATGGTCCTTACCCAGATGAGCTTGGTGAGCAGCAGCACCCTGCCCCTCATCATCCTGTGCCTCCTGGAGATGACTACCTACTACTCAGAGTGCATGAGCTCCCTCATCATCACCAAGGACGCCCTGATCAGCATCCTGGGCTTTGTGGGATTTTTGGTGGGGACCTTCTAGGCCCTCCATGAGCTGATCCAGCCTCAAGACCTCTCCTCTTTCCAAACTCCACTGGCACCTTGAAACAGTGACCAATTTTCAACTCAACATTTCCCGCTTCACTTCCTAAACTGACATTCTAGCATTGTTTGAACAAAGATCCTTCTTTAATTGCTAATGTGTATATTTATATGGGGCCACCACAGTGTTGGGTGGAGAGTACAGGAGTGGGGTCAGAGGATCTGAGTTCTATTCCTGAGATCTACCATTTACCCCCATCAGATCTGAGTGGGCCACTTCCCCTTGGGAGCCTCAACTTCACAAATTCAGTTAAGTTCAGCCTCACCCACCTCAGAATGTTGTCAGGAATGTCAGGAAGAGTATGTGCACACATACATTTTTAAAAGCTAAGGTGCTCTACAAATGTTGGTGATTTTCATTATTTTACTGTTTTCTCCTATGATGACCAGAAGAGGCATGAACAGGACCCCTTTTTCTCCAAACCAGGCTGGACTACCTCTTGTCCCAATGTCTTGGGAGCTGAGAAAATATTGATGTGTGATCCAGGAGACCTGGTACCACCAGGAGGCACCACCAATGGAGGCACACTGTGGGCCAGGCAACGTACAAAATGCATCCCATACGTTATGCCACTAAATCATCTGCAGAACCCTGTAAGGTAGATGATGTCTTCTCCATTTCACAGAAAAGGACATCTAGGTTCCAAGAAGTTAGGGAACTAGTGCTAACTCATACAGTTAGTAAGGGGTGGAGTCAGATTTAAACACTGGCCTATTTAGTACTGAACCCCTTGTTCATAACCACTAAACCCTGTCCCTGACTCAGCTGCCTGATTTTAGACAAGTGACTTTTCCTCTCTGAGCCTCAGTTTCCCTAGCTGTAAAATGAGAGGGTGGACTAGATGACCTCTGTGGACACTTTCTAAACCATCTTTGCTCTCCCTACTTCAGAAGCTTGTTACCAAGAGTTTGGTTTCCCTGCTGATTGGTGGGGCCAATTGTGACTTTGTCTCCAGCCTCTGTTGCCCCCTGAACTGGCCACTTTCCCTGAGCCTGTCAAATAGGACAGGATTTTTGATGTGTTTGCAATTACTGGGCACCTTAACCAGGTGAAGATGCTGTATGAGCATTAACATCACATCTATATGCCACAGGCAACATCTTGATTCAATAGGAAGAGCACTGAGCAGAGGTTTATAGAAAACTAGATTTTAGTTCCAGGACTACTTCTAGCTAGCTGGAGACAGTGGACCTCCAGTAATGTCCCATCATTGCCTTCTTATCATCTTTCTCTTTCTTCTGGAAACAGTGCCCTGATTTTGCCTTGGGCAACCACCCTTTCTCCACTCTCTAAGTTGTTTTAGAGGAGCAGACTCTACCCCAACTCCAGGAAGTGAGCACATGACCTGGGTTTGGCGAATAAGTACATTCAATCCTCCTGTCCATAATGCTTTGTTCTGAGATGGCCATATAATCAAGGGTTCATGAGCCCTTGGACTTTAATCAGTGATATCAGGAAGAGGGTAATCTTAATGCTAGGGTTAATAAACCCAGATGAACTAACCTGGAACTGAAGTAAACATGTTCCCAGACTGCACAGCAGAAGCATATATCAAGCAGGAGAAAATTATGCCAAGAGATGGAAGAAAAGCCTGTTGGTGTCCTTGGAGCTCCTGCTTCCACTGGTGCCTGATGCAGGTTTCACCTTGTGCTTTCCAGTTACATGGGTCAGTTCCTTTTTGCTTAAGCCACATTCAGTTGGGTTTCCAACATTTGCAACTGAAAGAACTCTGACTAAATCTCTCAGTGACCTTGAGCAAGTTCATTTACTCCTTTTAGGATTAGTTGCCTAATCTGAAGTGAGAGTGTTGAAACTCTAAGATCCTTAATAGTACAAGTATTCTATAATTTAATAGTATAATTAAAATGGGATCTCACTAGAATTACTATGATCAAAGAGGCAGACAATACCAAGATTTGATGAGGATGTAGAGAAACTGGAACCCTCATGCATTGATGATGAAAATCTAAAATGGGACAATCACTTTGAAAAGCAGTTTGGCAGTTTCTCAAAAAGGGAAACATATACAGTTGACCCTTGAACAACATGGGTTTGAACTGTGAAGGTCTATGTATGGATTTTTTAAAATAAATATATTGGAATTTTTGGAGATTTATGGCCATCTTAAAACTTGCAGATGAACCATGTAGCCTAGAAACATTAAAAAATTAAGAAAAGCTAGGTAGGTCATGAGTGCATAAAATATATACAGATATTAGGTTATTTTATCATTCGTTGCCATAAAACACACATAAATCTATTATAAAAGTTAAAATTTATCAAAACTAGCACACACAAGTACTTACAGACCACACACGGTGCCATTCACAGTCAAGAGAAATGTAAACATAAAGATGCAGTATTAAATCATAACTGCATAAAATTAACTATAGTACATACTATACTGTTGTAATAATTTTGTGGATACATCCTGTTGCCATTGTGGTGAGCTCAAGTGTTGCTAGTATCAGCTTATAATACCATGTGACACTAATCATCTCTGCATGAGTTCAGTAGTTCATCTCTCCAGTAAATTGTATGTTACAGTAAAAGTGATCTCTTGTGGTTCTAGTGTATTTTTCACTGTGTTTGGTGCAATCCCATAAATCTTGAATAACACCATGGGATCCATACAAAGTGCCACTAGTGATGCTGGAAGTGCTCCCAAGAAGCAAATAAAATCATGACATTCCAAGAAAAAGTTGAATTGTTTAATATATACTATAGATTAAGGTCTGCAGCTCTGCTTGCCTGTTAATTCAAGATAAATAAATCCAGCGTAAGGACTACTGTAAAAAAAGAAAATGATAAGCTCTGGGGATGATCTGATTCCAAAATGGTGGTGTTGAAGCAAGCTGGCTTCAGTTTCCCCTACAGAAAACCAAAAACAAATATAGAGCACCAAGAGTATCACCAGTGATATCCCAGAACTCAAATATGAGGATTTAACAACTCCCAGGGCCACAGAGAAGTGAAAAGCCATCAAGCAGACAGTAAGACAATCAGATTTCCATATTCATGGCAACCCTCCTTCCAATCTGCCCAGCACCAAGTGTTTGAAAACTCAGACAAAGGAGATGTCAAATCAGAGTGGTTGTTCAGCAGCACCACACTGTAGGACATACATTCCACAATTCCCCTGGGCATGAACTCCTAGCCAGCCTTCCCACACTGCGTGGCTATCCCCTTTGGGACCTCTTCCATCTGGGACAGGCAGCCAAGGCAAACCTGGGCTTAATGTGTCATCCAGTGCCAAAACACAGGTAGTGACCTAGTAGGGAAAAAATTCAACAGGTAAATAACAAAGAATCTCTAAGCAAACATAACAAATAAAAACTAAAACAAAGACAGAGAAGACTGAAATAAATAATCGTTCCATACAAAGACATAGGTGTACATCCACAAGAAATAACAGTACACGGGAACCATGACTTCCCCAAACAGACAAAGCAAGGAACCAGTGACTGATCCTAGCAAGACTGTGATATGTGAGCTCTCTGATAAAACATTCAAAAGAGCACTTTTAAGGAAACTCAGTGATCTCCAAAATAATGCAGAAAAGCAATTCAGGAATTTATTAGAGAAATTTAACAAAGAGATTGAGATATTTAGAAAAAAACAACAACAAATCTTTTAACTGAGAAATACATTTGCTGAGCTGAAAAACTCATCAGAGAGTCTCAACAGCAGAATCAATCAAGCAGGGGCTGGGCTCTGTGCCTCACGCCTATAATCCCAGCACTTTGGGAGGCTGAGGCAGGGAGATCGCCTGAGGTCAGAAATTTGAGACCAGCACAGCCAACATGGTGAAACCTCATCTCTACTAAAAATACAAAAATTAGCTTGGCATGGTGACATGTGCCTATAGTCCCAGCTATTCGGGAGGCTGAGGCAGGAGAATTGCTTGAACTTAGGAGGCGGAGGTTGCAGTGAGCTGAGGTTGCCCCACTGCACTCCAGCCTGGGAGGCAGAGTGAGACTCCATCTCAAAAAAAAAAAAAAAAAAAGAAGAATCAATCAAGCAAAGGAAGAATCAGTAAGCTTGAAGACAAACTAAAGGAAATAATAGAAGAAGGATCAATACTATATAGAAACAGTGAGCTTGGAGACAGGCTATTTGAAAACACACAGAGGGGGAAAAAAAGAAAACAGAATGTCTACAAGATATTAAAAAATTATCTCAAAAGACCAAATCTAAGAAGTAATGGTGTTCAAGAGGTAGTTGAGCAACAGCAAGGGGTAGAAAGCTTATTAAAAAATAATAACAGAAAACTTTTCAAAAGTTGAAAAAGATAAATATTCAGGTATAAGAAGATCAGAGAACACAAACAGATTCAACCCAAATAAGGCTACCCAGGCTTATGATAATCAAACTCTCAAAAGTCAAGGACAGAGAGAGGATTCTAAATGCAGCAAGAGAAAAGCAAACAATGTATAAAGGAGCTTCAGTTCATCTTGCAACAGACTTCTCAATGGAAACCATATAGGCCAGGAGGCAATGGGATAACATTTTCAAAGTGCTGAAAGAAAAAAAAACTGTCATCCAAGAATACTACTTCCAGCAATGCTATTTTTCAAATATGAAGAAGTCTTTCCCAGATAAACAGAAGATGATAGAATTTACTACCACCAGACCCATCTTATAAGAAATACTAAGCAGCTTCTTCAGCATGAAAGAAAAAAACACTAATATCTAAAAAGAAAACATTTGAAGCTATAAAACCTACTGATAAAAGTAAGTACCCAGACAAACCCAAAATATTTAAATACTGTAATTGTGGTATGCAATCCACTCATAACTCTAGTATGAAATTTTAAATACACCATCTGAAAGCAGAAGGTTTTGTCTGTTTAACAAGCACTTATGTTAACAATTTGGGCAGTTGCAGAACATGATTACTTCAATTTCTCTCACTATTTTTGACTCTAAAATATCTTATATCTGGGCACTAAAATGTTCTTCTTTAGTAGATATTGGACTGATATAAGAAATATATTATTTTTAAAGCAATATAAGATGTTTCGAGTTGTTTGTTCAGCTCAATAAAGAATACAATGTTGCTAATAAGTTAAATGCTAATTACAGTTAGTAACTTTCATCATATTGTCCAATTATATCATTGTGAAAATGAATTCAGCCTCTACACCAGGGGTCTCAACGAACTTTAAGGCTCACTACACATAGTACTCTATGGAAAGTATTGTCAGTGCTATGGAAGAGAGTGCTGATAGAATATCATCAAAATGTGAAAAGATTACACCATTGAAGATGCCATTGTGGTTATAGAAAAAACCATAAAAGCCTGAAACAATAAATTTCTGCAGAAGAAAACTGTGCCTAGATGTTGTACATAACATTACTTTAATGGCCAAAACCATGATTACTTTTGCACCAACCTAATACAACAGAGCCAATCAAGGAAATAAAAAAAGAGATTGTGGATGTGACAAAAAAGATGGGGAGTGAAGGGTTTCAAGATATGGATCTTGGAGAAATTCAAGAGCAAATAGACACCATGCCAGAGGAATTAACAAAAGATGACTGGATGGAGATGAGTGCTTCTCAACCGGTGTCAGCTGAGGAGGAAGAAGAAGCAGCAGCAGTGTCAGAAAACTAATTGGCATTTAAAAATCTGACAGAAGGGTTCTGGTGATTGAAGACTGCTTTTGACTTCCCTAACAAAATGGACCTTTCTATGATACAGGTACTGAAACTAAAGCAAAGGACAGAAGAAAGATCAATACTATATAGAAACATTTTAGAGAAATGAAAAAGCAGAAAAAGTCAGACAGAAGTTCAGTGTATTTCTGTAAAGTTACACTGAGTGTGCCTGCCTGTCCTGCCTCCCCTTCCACCTTTTTCCACCCCTGCCACCCCTGAAACAGCACCATTAACCCTCCTTTTCCTCCTCCTCCTCAGCCTACTCAATATGAAGACAATGAAGATGAAAATTACATGATGACCCAACTCCATTTAATGAATAGTAAATATATTTTCTCTTCCTTGTGATTCTCTTAGTAACATTTTCTTTTTTCTAGCTCACTTTATTATAAGAATACAGCATATATAATACATATAACATACAAAGTGTGCGTTAATCAACTGTGTATGTTATTGGTAAGGTTTCCAGTAAATAGTAAACCATTAGTAATTAAGTTTTGGAGAAGTGAAAAGCTATACATGGATTTTCAACTCTCCAAGGAGTCTGTGCTCCTAATCCCTGCATTATCTAAGAATCAACTGTTGAGGATCCACCACTTTAAGCAAAAAATTTTAAAAAAGCTTTAATAAAAATAAAATTTTAAAAAGAATCAAGTATTTGACATACAATGGAACAATTCTACTTATAGGTATTTATACAAGGCAAATGAAAGCATAAAACTTACGTCCACAAAAAACGTGTATGCAAATATTTATGACAACATGACTCATAATAGGCCAAAACTAAAAACCGTCCAGAGATCCATCAACTGGTAAATGGATAAACAAAATGCAGCATACCCATACAATGGAATATCAATCAACAATTAAAAGAAACAAACTATTGGTTTGTTTCTACAGCATGGATGAACCTCAAAACATTCTACAGCATGGATGAACTCAAAAACGTTATGCTAAGTGAAAGAAGCCAAATGCAAACAACCACATGTTGTGTGAATCCATTTATATGAAATGTCTAAAAAAGGCAAATTTATAGAGGCAAAGAGCACATCAGTTGCTCCCTAGGGCTGGTAGGGTGGCATGACTGGGGATAGCAAATGGGCAGGAGGAGACTATTAGGTGTGATTGAAATGTTCAAAACTGGCTCGTGGTGGTGATTGCACAATTATAAATTTACTCAAGTCATTTAATTGCACACTTGCAGTGGGTGAATTTTATGGCATGCAAATTATAATAATAAGGCTATTTAAATAATGGAATGTCCCCTCTTAGCCTCTTATTTGCTAGCTGAAAATCTTTTAGGAGAATTAGACTAGAAGAGAAAGAGAGAAGAAAAAATATGCCTCCTCCAGAAATTGCTCTGAAAAGTTTCTAACTATAAGCTTATGTTTTTCTTGCAATTCGATGTTGTATCAGGAGAGATTCATTAGAGATATAGGTTGAGTGGGGGTAGCCAGGAGATTTCTAAAACATTTGTGGATGTTGTTTGAAAGTTAGCTGACTCTGGAAGGCATGGATGTATTAGGAGCCAAAGAAATGATGGTTCAGACAGTTTGCTATTTCTCTGTGTAGAAAGATCATTGGGCCAATATGTCTGTTTTATAGCTTTAGGATTCAGTAATTCACCATACATGATCTCTTACATGATGTCATTCGAATCATTGAGGCATTTATAAAAATGTAGATTCCTAAATCAACACTCCGGGGTGGGACTTGAGAATCAACACTTTTTTTTTTTTTTTTTTTTTTTTTTTGAGACGGAGTCTCGCTCTGTCGCCCAGGCCGGACTGCGGACTGCAGTGGCGCAATCTCGGCTCACTGCAAGCTCCGCTTCCCGGGTTCACGCCATTCTCCTGCCTCAGCCTCCCGAGTAGCTGGGACTACAGGCACCCGCCACCGCGCCCGGCTAATTTTTTTGTATTTTTAGTAGAGACGGGGTTTCACCTTGTTAGCCAGGATGGTCTCGATCTCCTGACCTCATGATCCACCCGCCTCGGCCTCCCAAAGTGCCGGGATTACAGGCGTGAGCCACCGCGCCCGGCCGAGAATCAACACTTTAACCAGCTTCCCAGGCGGTTGTCGTGCCCACTGAAGTTTGAGAACCACTTCTCCAGTCAGTAATGTTGAGGAATTGGGGATAGAAAAATTTATCAGGAAACATGTACAACAAGCACCAGATGAGAAGTGTTAAATTAAACTAAACCTGTAATCCTAGCATTTGGAAGGCTGAGGCAGGAGGAGGCCAGGAGTTCAAGACCAGCCTGAGTAACATAGCAAGATCCCATCTCTACAAAAATTAGCCGGCCACAGTAGTGCATGCCTGTAGTTTCAGATACTTGGGATGCTGAAGCAGGAGGATCTCTTGAGCCCAGGAGTTCAAGGCTACAGTGAGTGAGGATCACCAATGCACTACAACCTGGGTGACAGAATAGGACCCTGTCTCAACAACAAAAAAAAAACAGAAAAGAAAAAAAGTTAAACTAAATCTGGCCTGAGGCTGTCTCCCTACTTGGGTCTTTGCATAAGACACTGCAACCTAACTTAGTATGCAAACTAACTGAAAACCAAATATAAGGGTATACTTTTTTGTAACAAATAGCTGAGTCTCAGCCAATCACAGCTGCCTAGTCAGTCAATCACAGGCAGCCAACTGAGCAGACCGTGGTCAAATAGGGCAAATGCTGAGCCTTAACCAATCAAGTTCTCTCTGTCCTTCACTTCCATTTTATGTCCATAAAAGTTCTCTGACCACAATGCAGCCTGGAGCTCTCTGAACCTATTCTGGTCTTGGGGTTGCCTAATTCATGAATCATTCTTTGCTCAATTAAACACTGTTAAATCTTATCTGTCTATAGGTTTTCTTTTAACAGATGCCACAAGATTTAGGTTTTAATCGTGGAGAATACCAGCAGATTTCTGGAAGTAAAAGAGCAAGAAGGCACAGAGTTCATGCTCAGAAAATATATGTTGACTTAAGTCAGAGGTTGGCAAGCTTTTTCTATACAGAGCCAGATGGTAAATATTTTAACCTTCGTGGTCTGTATGGTTTCTGTCACAACTACTCAACTCTGCCAATGTAGCATGAAGGCAGATTTAAACAATACGTAAATGAATGGGCATCCTGAGTTCCAATAAAACCTTTTTTCTAAAAACAGGTGTCAGGATAGATTTGGCCAATAGGCCATAGTTTACTAACCCCTGCTTTAGGTTATTTCAAAAGAAGAGATAAATCAGATAAGATTAGTATTAATACTTGGCCCAAAAGGCCTATCATTCAGCTTGTAAGGAAGTAAAAGTCCACAAAATCTCCTACTCTCCAAAAACAGCAATGGAAGCTCCATCTCTCCCTTGACAGAAGAACCACCCAAACTGGCTAGTGCTCCTTTTAGTGCCAAGAACAATGATGGGTTTTGTCATGCTGATACTGGCAGCCAACCACCTTTCTCTCACTACCTACCACCTATTATCACACAACCACCGCTAAAGCCCTTAGCTATGTGGGCCTGTGGCTTAAGTGAGGTTCCGGCTGTGATCCAGGGAAAGGCCTTTTGTGGCTTTGTGAATGGGGGTCAGAAATCTAGGAAATGAAGATTTTCCAGTTGTCTACCACTACACATGGGCATCACTAAACCGATGAACTTCGAGTTCCTTATCTGTAACATGGGGACTATAATTCCTACCCTTCTTCCTCTTAGATTTGCTAACATCAAGGAGATTCTGGATGGGTCAAGTGCTTGGGGACCTGCATAGTCCTCTACCTATGGGAGCACCCTGCTTGTGTGAATATTATCATCAGCTACCTGGCTTCATTCCCTTGACCCTATCTAGCTTCCTATTTTTTTCTTCCTTATTGATCCACAATAAGGAATTGCACAGGAAATCATGAGCAGGTTGAAGGGAAATGTTAGGTCTGAAGTTAAATTTGAGAGAGAAAATTGCCCCCAGTTGTGTAGCATGTTCTTCACTGAATTTATGGCAGAGAACTATGGCCTAGAAGAGGGGCTGACCACAACTGAATGCCCAGAGGTAAACTTTAATGTGGAGGGATTTTTTGAACTGCTTCCTTGTCTTTGAGTAAGTGGATGAGAGGGGGGTACTTGAAACTGGACTTCAATGTTGAATTTCCTCTTGCAAAAATTCAGGAGGAGAGCCAGTGCCTGAAGGGCATTTCAGGGAGAAGATTCAGCCACCAGAGACCTACTATATGCCCAACACACGTAGTTCCTAAGGATGAAAGGGAACACAAAGATGACAGCCCCTCTCCTCCTAGAGTTTGCTGGCTCCAGCTCGGAGGAGGTGTGAGTAACAGATATACGCCTCATCTCTCTCTCGTAGCACTTTTCTTCTAGCACTTTATCAGGTCTTCGTGTATTCTTTTTTTTTTTTTTTTTTTTTGTGAGACAGAGCCTTGCTCTGTTGCCTAGGCTGGAGTGCAGTGGCGTGATCTCAGCTCACTGCAACCCTACCTCCCAGGTTCAAGCGATTCTCCTGCCTCAGCCTCCCAGTTAGCTGGGATTACAGGTGTGAGCCACCATGCCCAGCCAGTTTTTGTATTTTTAGTGGAGATGGGGTTTCTCCATGTTGACCAGACTGGGCTTGAACACCTGACCTCAGGTGATCCACCCACCTCAGCCTCCCAAAGTTCTGGGATCCTCCTGTATTCTTAACATATCCTTTGTAAAATTTTAATTTTGTTACAAAATAGCACATTAATATTAATTTTTAAATATGCCTTTAAAATCAAAAACATTGGAATTAAAATACAAAATTCCCACATCTGCTTCACCCCTAAGTGTCCACTTATATTCTCACACTGCAGGAGGAACTACTGTGAATCCTTCCAGATCTTTCTCAAGCATATACAACCATGTGTATACAAGATGTGTATGCATGTGTATTTTCTATGTTTGGGTTCTTGCAGTTGGAGATGTATGCGGTTTTATGCTTTTCTCAAAAATAAATTGATTCCATTTGTTTTTTGAAAAATGGGTTCATGTTGTACTTAGTGTGATGAACATTTCATATTTCACAGTAATATATCCTAAATCTCCCTCCACGTCAGTATATACAGATATGCTTGAGTCTTTTTAACAGCCATGGCAATATTCCACTCAATAGAATTAGGATAATTTATGAACAATTATCCTCCTGTGGTACATGCAGGTTGTCTCCATTTTTTGCTATTACAGATAATGCTGCAGTAAACACCCTGGGGTATACGTGTGTGAGCATTTCTAGAAGAGATTATTAGAAATTAAATTGCAGAGTTAAAAGGAATGCACTTTTTCAAATTTTTATAGATATTACCAAATTCACTTCCAGTAGTATGTCGTATTGTGGCACTGTAACCGAATAGCCTGGCATCAACCCTCCATTTAAAGGTATTTTTTTTTCTTTCCCCTTTCCCCTGCAGTTTCAAGCAGCCTCAGAATGCTTTCTTTCCTGCATTCTTTTTCTTTTCCCATTCTATGCTCCCGCGCCTTGTGCCATTCCAAACCCTCTCTTGAAAAACTCCTGTGTTCCCTCCACAAATTGAAGAGTAAAAAATTTTGGAAAGAATTCCACCCACTCTGCCCCTTGCTTGCATGGATAATAAAATCTCACTCTCTTTTTATTACACCTCACTCATGTTTCTTTCTATAAGCAGCGAGCAGCCAGACTTTTTGCTGGTTACAGTTCATTGTTGTCATTTTAATGTGTTTTTCCTCGGTCAGTAGGGAGGACTTACCATGGTCTCCCTTGCATTATAGCTCTTAATGTTCAAGTTGTATTTCCCCGCTATGGTGAACATCTGCTCTGCTGCCCAGCATCTAGCCTCCTTTTTTCTGGTAATTATTCTCTGATTTTCCTTTGGAAAACCACTTCTGCCACCCCCCGTATATATAGTTCTGGTGAGGCTGACTCTGCCTCCAATCCAGGGGCTGACCACTAGGGTCACAATGATTGGTTCAGGTATGTGCATGTGCAGGGGTTCCAATCTAGACAACAGGAGTTAGTGCCAAGACTATTCCTGGAGCTAGCAGGCAAAATGGAGAGTGGGCATGAAACTGTCTGTCTTTTCTGTCCCCCTACCAAAGCAGAATCTAATCCAAATGACCCCTAACCCCGCTGAGGGACAGGGCCCCAGGGACAGGGCAGGGTCAAATTGTGTGCTTCAGTTTCCCCATCTATAAAATGAGGAGGTTGGACTCTGTGCCTCTAAAACCATTTTAGCTCATTGTGCATGCATGAAACACAGAGAGTACAAAGACTTGGCTGAAGTGCAGATATTATCTTGGTAGAAGAAAATCTCCTCAAGGGTGGCTGTTCTGCACTGATCTGATAAAATGACAAAGTCAATATTTATCCAAATGAATTAAAAACGCATGCCAATCCAAAATATCCACAAAGATATTTATAGTAGCTTAATTTGTTTGTTTCTTTGTTTATTTGAGACAGAATCTTGTTCTGTTGCCCAGGCTGGAGTGCAGTGGTGCGATCTTGGCTCACTGCACCCTCCACCTCCCAGGTTCACGTGATTCTCCTGCCTCAGCCTCCAGAGTAACTGGGATTACAGGTGTGCACCACCACGCCTGGCTAATTTTTGTATATTGAGTAGAGACGGGGTTTCACCATGTTGGCCAGGCTGGTCTTGAACTCCTGACCTCAAGTGATCCACCCTCCTCAGCCTTCCAAAGTGCTGGGATTATAGGCCTGAGCCACTGCACCCGGCAGATAGTAGCTTTATTTATAATTGCAAAAACTTGGGAGCAACCAAGATGTCTTTCAGTAGGTGAATGGATAAATAAACTGTGGTAAATTCAAAGAATGGAATATTATTCAGCATTAAAAGGAAATGAGCTACCAAGACATAAAAAAACATGGAGAAAACTTAAATGCATATTACTAAGTGAAAGAAGACAATCTGTAAGGCTACGGTCTGTATGTTTCTAGCTGTATGACATTCTGGAAAAGGCAAAACTATGGAGACAGTGAAAATATCAGTAGTTGCCAGGAGTTAGAAAAGAGGGAGAGATGAACAGGTAGAGCACAGATGATTTTTAGGTTAGGGCAGTGAAATGACTCCATGATACTCATGGTAGATACACGCCATTAGACACCTGTCCAAACCCACAGAATGCACCCCACCAAGAATGAACCCCAAAGTAAATTCTGGGTGATAATGGTGTGTCAGTGTAGGTTCACTGATGTAACAAATGTCTCACTCCGTTGCTGGATGTCAATAGTAGGGGATGCTGTGAATGCGTGGGGCTGGGGGTATATGGGAACTCTCTGCTCCTTTGGCTCAATTTTGCTGTGAACCTAAGACTGCTCTAAAAGAATAGTCTATCACTTATTTTTAAAGACAACATTAGGTTTTGGTAGACAATCTCTAAACTGGGAACCATATTTTAGATGCTATGCCTGGTTCTGTCCTAAACATAGTATCTTTGTGTGTGCTCACTTCTCCTCTCTGGGCCTCAGTTTCACAATTTGTAGAATGAAGGGACTGTTATGCCTCTAACTAAGTACTATGAGTCTATGATATCTATATTATATATATACACACATATGCACACACACATACATATATATGTTTTCATTCATGGTTTTCAACACATATGTTTTCATCCATGGTTCCTGGCTCATAATTCCCATAGCCCTTGTAAAAGCAAAGAGAATCTCTTTTTCTCTAGCTTTCTCCTCCCCTCCTTTCACCTGCCCAAGGCAGGACTCTAATTTGATTGTGGGTCATAAGACCCTTATTCCAGAGGGGGTCTAGCCCCATACCCTGAAGTAAGGAATGCTGCATAGAGAGGCCAAGAAGAATCTGGACAGCCCTTGCTGGGTTTAAATCATACCCTTTGAAGATGTGATTGAGTTAGGGATCTTGAGATGGGAGGTTTATCCTGGATTATCCTTATGTTTAATCTCAAGTATCTTTATAGGAGGAAAACAAAGGGAGATTTGACTACAGACAAGAGATAAGAAGCCCATGGGATAGAAGCAGAGTCAGAGAGAGAAGACACTATGGGAATATCAGGGAAGGAGCCACGAGCCAAGGGATGTACAGAATGCTCTAGAAGCTAGGAAGAAGAACAACAACAACAAAGGAAACAGATTTTCCTTCATAGCCTCTGGAGGAAGCATAGCCCTGCTGGCATGTTTACTTTGGCTCATTGAAACTGATTTAGGGCTTCTGGCCTTCAGAACTGTAAGAACAAATTTGTGTGTTGTTTTATGGCACTAAGTTTATGGCAATTTGTTAGAGCAGCCATAGGAAACCAACACAGGCAAAAGAAAGGACCTCTGAGGCTTACTCCACATCTGTCAAATGGGATCAATAACACATTCATTCATTGAATATTTTTTGAGAGCCTACCATGAGCCAGGCCTAAGAACTGGGAAGGTGACCAAGTACTTCCCACTTTCATGGAGCTTAAATTCTAGTGGGAGGACATAAACAACAATGGGGATACACACACATAATCAAGATAATTACAAATTGTGAGAAGCAACATGAAAAAAAGCAGGGGTATGACTGAGAATAACTAGTCAAGCAGAGGGTCCTCCTTTAGATAGAGTTGTCAAGGGAGGTTGTTGGAGCAGAAAAATCTTGACCTAAGACTAGCATAACAAAAAGCAGAGGATAAAAAGTGCAGGCACAGAGAGCAGCAAATGCAGTATCCAAGGAGGGAAAGGACAAAATTTAATGCAGGAAAAAAGGTCCATGTGACTGGAGCATAGTGTTCTAGGGAGAGACATGAACAAGGTGAGTTGGGAGAGAGGCAGCAGCTGGATCATGCAGGACCTTGTGGGTTGTGGTGAGGAATACTGATATGTTCTCAGGTCAATTTGGAGCAGGAGGAGGTTTCAGGAAGGGGAGTTGCATCATCATTTGCTATTGTGAGGAAATAGATTTTAAACAGGGAAGTGGAGAGGCCAGGAAACTAGTTAGGAAGCTAGTTTTCCAAGTGAGGGATGATGCTGGCTTGGATGAGAATGGAGGTGGTGAGGATGAAGGATTGCTCTGAATACTGTATAACATAAAATGCTTAATAAATGGTAGCTCTCGTTACAGTATGATGATGATGATGATAACTGTCATTATCATTATTAGCTTTTGCTGAAAAAAGAAACGGATAAATGAAACTCAGTTGGGTCATAAGAGTTGACACCTGCAACAAGTGAGAGACCCCATTCCCGTTCACCAGAAGAAGCCACTTGCTGATGCCACTGACCGCTCCTCATCCGCAATTCACTCTCCCCAGCAAGTTCAGAAACCTAAAAATGTGTCAGAGCCTATACCTACACACATGAATATGTGATTAGGCCACTTAGGGGTTCTCAGGAATAGCTTTTTTTTTTTTTTGAGACAGAGTTTCACTCTTTTTGCCCAGGCTGGAGCGCAGTGGTGCGATCTCGTCTCACTGCAACAGAGCTTGGGAATCAAAAGACCTGGGCTGGGTTAAAGTCCCTATCTCACCACTGTATCCCTGTTCACTCACTGTGTTCCTTCTCCTATCTGGGCCTCAGTTTCCCAATCGGTGAGACAGTATGAGTCAACGAAATGACCTTGTAAGTTCCCTCCAACAATAAAATGATATCATAAAAATGGTTCTCCTCTCTGGGCACTGACTGTGACTCAGGCACTGTACTTGTTTATTTTCTCATGTAATCCTCACGCCTGCCTAAAGACACACTCATTAGTATTTTACAGTTGAGAAACACCAAAGCACAGAGTGGTGGCCATCAGAAAGGGAGCAGTATTGTTAGCATTAAAAACATTGTCCTTTAATCCCAGCACTTTGGGAGGCCAAGGCGGGCTCAGGAATTCAAGACCAGCCTGGGCAACATGGCAAAACCCCATCACTACAAAAAATACAAAAATTAGGCATGGTGTCATGCACCTGTAGTCCTGGCTACTTGGGAGGCTGAGGTGGGAGGATCACTTGAGCTTGGGAGGTGGAGGTTGCAGTGAGCCGCGATCACACCATTGCACTCCAGCCTGGGCAATGGAGTGAGACTCTGTTTCAAAAAAGCCACAAAAAACCCCATTATCCTTTATCCTGATATTATGTTCTTCCAGCTTTAGGGGGTTGAAATATTCTCTTTTTTTTAATGGTGATATTTTAAAGGTTTTTAATGGAGAGAAATGAGAATTTGCCCATCTATATCAGTCCCTAACATTTATTTAGAAATTTGATTGATGCATGAAGTCCCAGTCTTGAATGGCATAAAGTATGCACAGGAAAGGGTTTTCAACTATTTCAGAGTTCCTACTACGCCCTAGTCATAGCAGAGGAACACAGAGATAACTCAACTGCAGCTTCAGAGGCACATGCCAAGAGGCCTGGAATCCAATCAAAGCTCTGTCTCTAGTACTAACTGGGTCACCTTAGGCAAGGGAGGTAACCCCTCTGAGCCTCAGTTTCCTCATCTGTAAAATGGGGGTAATCATAGTGCCTACCTCATGTAACACACCTCATCTAGAGCTTGGCACATAGAATAGACTCAATACATGTGAGTCGCTATTATCATTATTATTTAGATGGGGGTAGAAGGAGTCACATTCATCAGCCACAGACTATGAGGAGGTACCCGGGGCCGGGGGAGGGTGGTGGTGGTGGTGGTGGTGAGGATAGGGTGATGAATTTTCATCCAGGTAGGGGTTTCATTTTGTCTCTGAAGTCTCTGACTTCTAGCCCAAAGGAGTACCAGTGATCATTTCTACCAGATTATACGACCTCAGGCAAATATTTCCCAGCTCTCTGCCTTGGTTCTCTAATCTATTAAAAAAGAAGCAATTATTCCCACTCCATAGAACAGTGGACTCAAACTTCAGCTAGTATCAGAATCACCTGATGAACTTGGCAAAAATAACATGGCACAGATTCTATCCTACTTCAACAAGTCTGAGTCTCTGTTCTTTATTATCTCTTCAGATGCTTTGATACACACCACGTTTTAAAAGTGCCATAAGCCATGAAAGGAACAAGGCTCTGTGTTTACTCTAAAGGATCATAGGAGATTATTATCATTATTTACATCCCATTTGCTCCACTCTTTTTGGAGATGTCTAGTGGGCAGGCTGTCTTTTCACCAGTTGCCTGCCCCACCCAAGAAAAGCTGGCCTGCATCTCAGCGTTACCAAACACCCCATCCAAGCCCTTGGGGTTCTCATGCCTTTGGAAGTCATCTACAATCTAGTATCCATCTTGCAAAGGGGACACTGGAGTTTGAAGGGGAATAATATCTTTCCAAGGGTTGCCACAGCTTCATAGTTAGAGCCATAGCGGAACCCAGGGCTTCGGATGCCTGGGCCACTCGTGTTGGAAGGGCTTATTTTGGACATCCCCACCCTAGGAGAAGACCTCCTGCCTGCTAACATGTGGTGCAATGAGTTGGGGTGTGGAGCCCCACCCTACAAGCTTTTTTTTCACTGACGATGCCTGGGAAGAGCTCTGGCCAAACACTGATATTCCAGCCACCCCTTTCCAAAAGGCCTGAAGATAATTCAGAGTTCTTCTCAAAACCTGGAGAGGAAGGCAAGAACTAGCTCATATCTAAACATAGCAAGCTCCTCAACAATCTTATTACTGACCTTGCTCGAGCAGGAACACAGAGCTCCACCTGCGACATCAAATCTGAGATTACAAATTTAAATTGTGGAATCTCAGGCTGTAAACGAGCAGGTCACAGGATGCAGCCTGCTACTTCACAGACCAGTAATACTGCCATGTAATGGTGCCAGACAAGGGAATAACACTTCTCAAATCACAGCAAGTGTTTCAGTTGATTCAGGACAAGAAGCTGGCAGGGTGGGGCCAGCATTAAAACAAAGGAGACAGTGCTGTGGTCAAAGCTGCAGGCTTCAGAAAAAACAAACAAACAAAACAAAAAACAAACAACAACAACCAAAAAAAACCTGGCTAGCGGGGAGTTCGGATTTACCGAGTTCCAGCTGTGACCTCCAGCAAGTTATTCTTTTCCTCTCTGAGCCTCAATTTCCACATCTGTAAAAACAAACTAACAAAGCTAACCCACAGAAGTAGCCAGGCTTTGTGGAGCTTGAAGCTTATCCCATGGAGAAGGGGAAAGTAGTGGTAAGGAGGACCTCTTTAAGAAAAAAGCAATACAAAATTGTCCATTCAAAATTGCATACAGGACCTTGGAAAGAGCCCCATGTAAGGGAGGGGCCTGACAAATCTGTCTTGGATGCTACCAGTTAGCAGTGACATTAGCTAAGCAAAGCTTGTGGCATGTAATAAGCCCTTAAGAAATGTTAGTTTTGGGGATGAGATGATGGAGGAGAGAGTGGTATGGCTTGAGTCAAAAGCTGTAATTTTGAGGGAGGAGGAAATTTTGGCCTGTTCATCTGCACTGAAGCAGAGATAATGACAGAGAGTGGGATACTAGAGAAACGCCCAAGACCATCTTTAGCTGCAGAGTTCTATCCTGGATTTCATGTGTGACCTTAGACAAATCTCACCACCTCCTGGCGCCAGTATCTTGCCCAGCAAACTGTGGCTGGGAGTCATACAATCTCAGCCTCTTCCCCGTTTCCAGAAGAACACTCTTTACTCACTCCATGGAGCCTCACAAAAGCTAAGAATTAATTAGAGATGACTGAGTGACTGTCCCTTTTTTGTTCCAATTTAAGAATGGGGTGCTGCAAGAAGGGATGTCTTACAGCAGACTGTGGAGCCAGTGAGACATGGAAACCTCTACCCTGAGATGAATAAAAGGAGAGGGATTTGTAGGTATTTTCTTGGAGACAGAAATAGGTTACTGGTTGAAAACCTTGACAAATTGGGCTAGGTTCCAACTCTGTCACTTTCTAGCTATCTGACCTCGGGCAGATTCCTTTACTTCAAGAAACCTCAGTTTTCTCCTTACTTAATTGATAGGGTTAAATGAGAAAATGTAGATAAAACACTTAGAGGATTGCTTATCCCTTAGTACAGGGCTTAATAGATATTTGTTATTAAAATTATCAGTATAATAGTTATCATTATGATTATTATTAAGTAATACCAATACGAATGGGTGATGCCTTTTCCAAATCCCTCCTTCCTCTCCTCCTCTTCCCAGGAGTCCTCGTCCACTGGCTTCTCCAGGCAGGAAGAGGTGCCCTCCAGGGAGGTGGGCGGGGCCTCGTTCCAGCTTGGCCAGAGCCAGCCCGGGCACACACCACTGTGCTGGGGTGTACATCTACACTAGACACCTTCCTGCTTCCCTCCTTCCAGAGCAGACCTCTTTGTCACCCCGAGCTCCTTGTTTCTTAAGCAGTCATGTCTGTGACAAAAAGTACTGAGGGTCCCCAGGGAGCCGTTGCCATCAAATTGGACCTTATGTCGCCTCCTGAAAGTGCCAAGAAGTTGGAGAACAAGGACTCTACATTCTTGGATGAAAGTCCTTCAGAGTCAGCAGGCTTGAAGAAGACCAAGGGCATAACGTGAGTGCTGTTTTCTGCCATCCCTATTTCTGCTTTCTAGCCTGAAGCTTGCATTGGCAAAAACCCTGAGGTGGGTGTGTCTGACCCTCAACCCACTGTGCAGATGAGAAACCAAGGTTGCAAAAGGTGCAGTCATGGGCTGAGTCAAGCTGAGGCAGAAGTAAAGGCTGTCAGAAAAGCCCTTAGGGACATAGTGATCCAGATCCCAAAAGGCACAGGTGGGGAAACTGAGGCTCAATTACCCTGGACCACATACTGAGTCATTGGCAGGATAAGGGCTAGAATTCAGTGCTGGCCCTAAAGCCACATTTTTGTTCCTGGCCAGCGATGTTAAGATTGGGGATAGAGGTAGAATCCCTAACTACTTGGAGGAGAAGGTGAGTCCTGAGCTTAAAACCACAGTGGCCTCACTGACCACTAAGTATTTCCTCCTCCCTGCCTCCTTCCTGCAGTAAGCCTGGCCTCTACTTCAACTGAGAAGCATAGATGACTCTAAAAAACACACTTTGTGGAAAGTTCTAGTTTTTTCCACTTTCCAGGGAGTGGGGAGTGGGGGTTATTCACAAGGCTTCCAAAACATAAAAAAAGAGGGAAGCCAAGCTACAGGGCTGCAGCTCCCTTCCCCACATCTGACCCCACCACCCAACCAGACTTGCTAGTTTACTTAGGAACAAAAGGTGTGGGGTGTGGTAGTGAAGAGGTTCTGCTGCTTTAAGAAGAAAGTTTTTGCACCACTAGATAGTAGAAAGAGCACTGGACAGAGAATCAGAAGGCCTGAGTTCAAGTGGTTTCTCTGCTCCTTCTCTAAGTTCCAGTTTTCTGACATGCAAAACAGGTGGCAGTGTGAACTAAAGGAGGGTGCATGGAAACAAAATCGGAGGATGTGTTTCTCGGGGGTGCACTGCAGGGAGGGACTGTAAGGGGCAGGCAAAGCCCCTCCCCACAGCCATCCAGCAGGACAATTTAGGGATGGACACAGTGACTGGCCCTGCTGCCTGTGCTGTCGCCCCAGGGCTAGTCCTGGAAGTTGCTAAGTATTAGTGACCCTGAGAGTGTGCTGTCTGTAAGTTGGGGCCAGCCACTGCTAAGTAGAGGCATTTTCTCAGTCAGAGGCCTTGAGGGAACCACCTGTCTCTTGTGTCCTGAACTGATACAAGGTTTGATGGCAATTTCAGCAACTTAAGGATCAAAGGAATAAAGCAAGTGAGAGCTAAAGGGAGACACGTGGCTTGGGGAGAAGCCAAATAACGGGCTGAGTAAGCGTGGCAACGATGGGGTTGGCTCACCCAGACTCGAATTCCCACTTAGCTGCTTACCAGCTAGAGCAAATGCTGGAACTTCTTTGTGTCCAGTTTCTCCTCTGTCAATGATAGTTCTCTCCTCCTGGGAGATTTGAGCATAAATACCCCAGACACAGTGTCTGTAAGTGTTGGCTGCTGTGAATAAGATGACAGTCCAAGGTGACCAAAAAGAAAGGAGTTAGAGTTGGAGCCCATGTCTCCCAACTCCCAGTTTGGTGCTTTGCATGACTTACCGCACTATGTTTTCAAGTTGGTTGAGTGGCCCAAAGTTAAATTCTGATTTCCTAAGTACTTTAGTTAGAAATTTCCAAAGTAACCCGCTGACCCTTTCCTAGTTGCAAAACAAGCCCATTGCTAGCCTGGCGAGTAGGGTGTAGTGCTCGGTCAGCGATGTGGACACCCACAGGGAGAAAGGCATGCAGGGACTCTCCACCCCCTTTCTCCCTCGATTGTTCTCTTTAACCCTTGATGAATCTATGTACAGAGACTCAGGAAGCTAGAGGGTTTACAGCTTCAATATGAAGCTTCCTGAGCCTCTGCCCATAGATTCTTTTAAAATAGCATCTTTTAAAAATAGCATCACTCCTGACATTTACAGAGGGTCAACAAAGTTGAACACGTTGCCCAAGATGACACAGCTAGTTAAGTCGTGGCCTTGAGGTTTAATCCCTGGTTTGTCAAATCCCAGAGACCGGGCTCCTTTCAGAGTACCTCTGTTGTTTTACAAAGAATAAGTCTCCTAACCAGAAGGTTCTCATGGGGAATTTCCAAGGTTTCTAAAGTTGCACGTGTAAACCCCATGCTCGCCTTGACTTAACCTGGTACAGGTACAAAAACGTGTAGAAATAGGTTGTTTTGTAATTCCGCTAATAGAGTGCCTCCCTGGAACATTTTTTCTCCTGATGGTTTAGACTTTGTCCTCCGGGCAAACCTTCGCATTTGTCTTAAAGGAAGGGTCTGAGTTTTTGTTTGGGGGAGGGGAGGTGTGCACTCTCCAGCCTTGATGCCCTGGGCTGAGAAAAGAAATCCCTCTGGAGCCCAATCCCTGAATGGTTATGCCCCGCCAGACCTCATCTGGGGACCCAGTCATCCGACCTGTTTATTCAGAAGTCACAATGATTTTTTGTTTCTGCCTGCCCTTTCCCCTTTTCTCTGTGTTCAAGCCTGTCTCTACTACTAGTTTTATGACATTGAGCTAGTTTCTGCCCCTCTCTGAGCCTTCATTTCCTCAGTTATGATATGGGGTTGTTTCTTTACTTACGCTGTCTGAGTTTATCTCTGGGAGGCAGCTCAGCAGAAGTAGGGGTGAAGAACAGGGACTCTGAAGCAGCACTGTGTTAAATCTTGGCTCCCCAATATATCCTGGATAAGTCATTAACAAATCTCTGTGCCTCAGTTTCTTCACCTGCAAGATGATAATCGTATCTTTGTCAGAGCCTTGACTAGAAGATTAAATGAGATAATACTGATTTAAAGCACCTAGCACAGTGTCTCATATAGTAAGTGTTGCAGCATATATTGAGTGTTAGCTGCTAAAACCAGGACAGTTCTGGGCAAACTGGGATGGTTGGTAACCCTACAGGAGACCCAGATGTGCCAGGCAAGGACTCATGGACTGAGAGATGGCTAGGAGCCCGCCTATCAGGTGCTGGCATGCTGCAAGGGAATCACCGCTGGATCTTCTCACCTCCACACACCCATACTTCACATCTCCTTCCTCTCCTTTAGAGTGTTCCAGGCCTTGATTCACCTGGTGAAAGGCAACATGGGCACAGGGATCCTGGGACTACCCCTCGCTGTGAAGAACGCGGGCATCCTGGTAAGAGAGGCGCCACATGTGGGGGCTTTATGGTCAGTTGCAGAAGGGAAGTAAGAGGAGAGGCTCTAGCGGTTTAGCAACCTGTGGTGAGCAGTCTTTCTGGGACACAGCTTGGTGCGGGGTTAGGGTCTAGACATCTAGCCTGGGTTTGAGTTCCGGCTCTGCCACAGACTTTAGTACCTTTGGTAAGTCATTTGCCTGCTCTATGGGCCTTAGTTTCCTCCCCTGTAGAATGCAAGGATTGGACTATGCCCAGTTTTCCAAGTATGCTCTATAGAACACCAGGTCCCCTTGGGGATGTTTCAGGGGCCACAAAGGGCACACATGGTCAGGATTCTCTGTCCCCCTACTCCCATCAGTATACCCCATTGTAATTGCTTTATGTGCTTTATTGGAATATTACTTGAGGTCATATTTGAAAGAATAGCTGTTGCTGCTACAAAAGGGCTTTAAACCCAGTTTGCTAGAGAGTTCTTTGAGTTCTGCATGATATCAGCACTACCAAGCCCATCTTGCAGTATTCTTCATAAATGCATTCTCTTCTCTCCTCCCTCGCCCCTTGCCTCCCCTTCCTCCAGATGGGCCCACTCAGTCTGCTGGTGATGGGCTTCATTGCCTGCCACTGTATGCACATCCTGGTCAAGTGTGCCCAGCGCTTCTGTAAGAGGTGAGGAAAACAGCCTCCTTGTGTCAATTCCTTTGGTGCATGGTTCTCAGGGATAGCCCAGAAACATCCTATGCATAATAGAAATTTACTTCTTAGTTTTCTCCAATAAGGCCAAGAAAGAGTGAAGAGCATTCAGGGGCAGGGAGCTCAGGTGAGGCTCTTCTGCATGGCTCCTTAGGAGATCTCAGTCAGGCTATTGTGCTTATCTGGTTGGCTCCTCTGGAAATTGGGCATAAACTATGCAGAGAATGGTCACGAGAATCCAATGGGATCATGGATATGAAAACTACCGTCCCCGTGCAAGGTGTGCATTAGACTCTTGCTGTGTAGTCTCCGCCTCATTTAACAGGTAAGGAAAACAAGCCACTGAGGAATTACTGCTGAGTGTCAAAGCCCGAGGTCTCTGCCCCTGTGTTCTTTCTGCTCTTTAGCTGTGTCCTGCCTTGTTCTGTGTCTCCTGACTTTTGACCATGTGAGTTTAGGCTAAACTATCTCTTGGAAACCGTTTATGCACTCTCTCCTGCAGGCTTAACAAGCCCTTTATGGACTATGGGGACACGGTGATGCATGGACTAGAAGCCAACCCCAACGCCTGGCTCCAGAATCACGCTCACTGGGGAAGGTAACCTGTTCTTGCTTTGCCTGCAGTGGGGTAGGACACAGGAGGAGAAAATGCTGCTATCAGGGTGACTTCTTCCCTGGAAAGGTGGTTTGTTTGGCACTTCTATGTTAGATGTTGTACATGGAAGGGGTTCATTGGCAACATCCCTGATCAACCCCCACTTCTTGTGTATCTCTAGTGACAGGATACTCATTCCTTTGCTACGCAGCTTTAATGTTTTTTACTCTTTTATTAAACCACATTTATCCAGTTACTCCTATGGCCCTGGACATGTCATGGGGACTGAGAAGAACAAGACTTTGCCCTCACAGAACCCATAGTCCAGTGAGAAAGGCAGACATTAAACAGCCTAGAATAGAGTTATTTAATAGCCGCTTGGATATGTACGATGAAGGAAAGAAGGGCTGGTTGCCACCAGGCAGGTTAGGAGATGTGTGTTGGCTTGGGGGAGAGGAGGGCTTTCTAGGATGGAACGGGTGAGATGAGTTCTGCAGGAAGGAGTCCTGAAGAATGAGGAATCACCTCAAAGAAGGTGGACAGGGGCCTGGAGGGTGGGGCTGGAAGGAAGAGAGGGTGTGAAGGTCCCTGAAGCAAGAAGGTATAGGTGACAGATTCAAGGTACAACAAGACCAGGTAGCTTGAGGGCAGAGAGTCAGGGAGGTGGAACTGAAGAAGGAGCCAGGCACCCAATCAAGTGGTACATTTTAGACCCTCTGAAACGAAGACTCTATTTGTTCTTTTCTTAAAACCAACCAGGAAGCCATTGGAGGGTTTTAATCAGGAAAGTCATCATATTTGTATTGTTTAAAGATCTGTCTGGCTTCTCTAAGGAGAATAGATTGTAAGGGAGCAAGAGCAGATTTAGTCAGATCCATGAGGGGGCTATTAACAGTACCCAGCCAGGTCACAATGGTAGCTGGGACCAAGCTGGTGGCAGTGGGATGAAGAAAAGTTGACTTGATCATGAACTGGATCCTGGGATTGGGAGACAAGGAAGAGTCGAGATTGACTCAGATTTATGATCACTTCTATTTTGGACAAGTTGAGTTTGGGGTGCCTGAGAAACATTTAAGTGGAGATGTCTAGTGGGGATATATGGGTTTAAGCCTATCTTCATGCACCAATCCAGAACTGAAGTCATCAGCCATGAAGCCAGGGACAGAGAGGTCTCTTAGGGAGAGGTTATATGGTGAGAAGAAAAGAGAGGAAAAGACCAAGACTTTAAGAACCCTTTGTTGAGCTGAGTGAAGTCTTGCTCCCTGAAAAATCCCACCTTTTAGCTCTCAGGGGTGACAGAGAACAGGTTAACACCCTTTGTCCTCTGGTACTTGGGACTAAATCTACTCCTTTCTCCTTGTTTCAGACCTGTCCCCACCTGTCTGTCTCCTCTTGTTGAGCACCATCTAGACTGTCAAATTCTCTTTTGAACTGTGCTTCCCTAAACTGCTGCAGTACTCACGGTGTGCCCCTGCCCATGGCAGGTAGTCTGTATGGTATCATGGGCCTGGAACCACCCTTCGCTCAAAGCCCATACTCACAAGAGTAATCCACAAATTCAGTCTGTGAACAGACAAGGAAGACTACTGGATAATGACCAGAATTTTCCCAATTGTGTGACCCAGGAGGAGACTTGCCTGTCACAGACTGTCAAATCCTTCTACTTGTTGTTGGGCATATAAAGAAGATTTCCCTGCTCCATTTAGGGATCTTCTTTCATTAATTACTGCCTCTCCTATAACTGGAATTCCTTTAGTATGGGTTCTTCCTCTCAGCATTTAATGTGTTCCTGTATCTCCAGCAAACCACCATGGCACATGTATACCTAGGTAACAAAAGTGCACATTCTGCATATGTACCCCAGAACTTAAGATACAATAATAATAATAATAAAGCAAGTAAATAAAACTTCCTGGACCTTACCATTGTAGCCAACATCCTATCTACATTCAATATATATTATTCAACAAATGTCTACTGAATACCTACAATGTGTCATAAAGTGCTTTAGACAATGGGTCTACTGCAACGAGCAAATGGGTGCCATCAACACTGGACCACCCTCTGATTTTATTGCCTTACATCCCATCCACACCTCTTTCACAGGCCACCTGGGTTTTCTGTCCTTATAATTCTACTGAAGTTCTTTCAAGCAATGTCCTAAAAGACCTTCTTGTTGTATCTTCCTTGCCCTAGAGAACCTTTCAGCAGTAATGTGTATAATTGACCATTCTCTTTTTTCAACATTCTCTCCTCACTTGGCTACTATTAAACCTCTTTCCCCCTAGTTTCCCTCCTACCTTTCTAGCCACTCCTTTGCATTTGTTGTAAGCTTTTTTGTTTCTATTAAATGTTGATGTTCTCCAGGGTTGAACACTGTCTTCTACTCTCCTCATTCTGCACACTTTCTAACACTGCTCTGCCTTTGCAAGGCTTTATCCACTACTACAACTCAACAGTTCCAGACCCTAATATCCAGTTGTGTCCCGAACGTCTCCTATAGGAACCTCAAGTTCAAAGATTCAGATTCTGAATGTGTCATTTCTTCCCCTTCTCCTAAAACTGTCCTCCTCCTCCTCCTCGTCTTCTTCTTCCTCCTCTTCCTCTTCTCTTAGTTCTTCTTCCACCTCCTCCTCTTCTTCCCCCTCCTCCTCCTCCCCTTCCTCCTCCTCTCCCTCCTCCTCCTCTCCTCCTCCTCCACCTCTTCCTCCTCCTCCTCCTTCCTCTTCTTCCTCCTCCTTCTCCTCCTCTTCTTCCTCCTCCTTCTCCTCCTCTTCTTCCTCCTCCTTCTCCTCTTTTTCCTCTCCTCCTTTTTCTTCTTTTTCTCTCTCTCTTTGTCCCTCCCTCTTCCTCCCCACAACTCTCTTTCTTCCCTTTCCCAAGGGGCTGTCTCTTAGGTATTGGGTTTTCTAACAAGGCTTTCTGTCTGCCCATAATTTAGATAAAATGCCCTTTTCACCATGGCCCTTAATGCTATATCTAAGAATTTTTGTCCACCTAACCCATTAGTCTATAAACCACAAGAGGAAGGGACTGTATGTTATTTGTCTGTGTATTCTCAGTGCCCAACATAGTTCTGGCACATGGCAGAAAAAAATTCAAATGTGAATGGTAGCTAATAAAAACATTGTGCCTGCTGTCCCACATTAATTGGTATCAATGATGAGGAATGCCACCAAGCCCGGTATCGGGAGAGGCTCATAACCAGGAAGAATTTTACCACTTGCTGAGCTGAGAGTGTGAGGGTGGTTAAAAATCATCTTTTAAAAAGAACTATTGTTGGCCGGGCATGGTGGCTTATGCCTGTAATCCCAGCACTTTGGGAGGCCAAGGCAGGCGGATCACCTGAGGTCGGGAGATCGAGATCAGCCTGACCAACATGGAGAAACCTTGTCTCTACCAAAAATACAAAATTAGCCAGGCGTGGTGGCACATGCCTGTAATCCCAGCTACTAGGGAGGCTGAGGCCAATCATTTGAACCTGGGAGGCAGAGGTTGTGGTGAGCCGAGATCCCACCATTGCACTCCAGCCTGGGCAACAAGAGCAAAACTCCTTCTAAAAAAAAAAAAAAAGAACGATTGTTACCTTACTTCTTTGCCCCATTGTTGATTGTGGTGGAAGGACCAAGTGTGCTGGTACAGGGCAACCAATCCCTGGGAACAGAGGGCAGAATGGCAAGAAATGGAACTGACAAGTTGACTTATTTTATAACAAGTTTTCTTTTTCCCTCTCTTCTCCCTTCTAGGCATATCGTGAGCTTCTTCCTTATTATCACCCAACTTGGCTTCTGCTGTGTGTACATTGTGTTTTTGGCTGATAATTTAAAACAGGTAGAGGCTTCTAGAGAAAACGGGAGGGGAAAAGATGGACAAGGACACGCCACTGCTAGTTGTTTGACAAACTGCTTCTTCTCTCTGGTCCTCATCAATGTAACAAAGGAAGTTAAACTAGATGTTGTCAAACTTGCCTCCCCTAGTTCACATATCTGAAGATCTCTGTGTGGTTACTTTTGCCACAATACCCTTTATCCGGTATCTTAGACCTGTTCTCAAAGTTGATCTCTACTGAACTGGAATGGAAAGACCCTTGGATTTTGTTAATCCTCCTGCCTTGAAGCTTAATTATACTTAACGCTTCTAAAATTGATATGGGTCTTCTTTTGATGATTCCTAGTCTTCTTTAGGTCATCTTTCTTTCTTTTTTTTTTTCTTTTTGAGACAGGATATTGCTCTGTCACCCAGGCTGGAGCGCAGTGGTGAGATCACAGCTCACTGCAGCCTCAAACTCCCAGGCTCAAGTGATTCTCCCACCTCAGCCTCCCAAGTAGATGGGACCACAAGTGTGTGCTACCATGTCTGGCTAATTTTTTTTTATTATTTGTAGAGCCGAGGCCTTGCAGTGTTGTCCAGGCTGGCCTCAAACTCCAGGGCTCAAGTGAGCCTCCCACTGTCTCCCAAAGTACTGGGATTATAGCATGAGCCACCACATCCAGCCTTGGGCCATCTACTTAATCTATGGCTTAATAGTTATTGTCCCTAGGAATTCTTTCTGATCTAACCTAGAAATTCTCTTACAGCAATTTGAGCAAAATAATATGGGTAATAGCAGAGGCCATCCTTAATCAGTAAGTTTAAAAAGAAAACTATTCTTTAGGGCTCTTTTTCTGCTTATAGCAGTAATACCAGAAATTCAAAAATGTAAACTAGCTAGAAGAAAAATGTAGTAAGCTTTCAGAGTTAGCTTCTATTATGTCAGGTACAGTGCTGAGCATTTTACATGCTTTCCATCATTGAATTATCTCCATGACCTTATTAGAGCAGGTACTGTGGTTATTCCCATTTTGCAGACGAGAAAACTGAGATTATAAACTCTGTAATGTATGTAAGGTCACAGAGCCAGAGTTAAAAACCCAGGCCTTCTGACACCAGTGCTCAAGTTCTTAAACCTATGCTGTATTTCTGCAAAGAAAACAAAATAAAATAAAATAATTCTTAATCCAACTATTCATGGTTATAATTTAATGTAACCTTAACTGGTCAGTATTTTGCAATATCCTTATATTTAGTCATGTAATTTTTAATAGTTTCATAATATTCCATCACACAGATTGATCATAACCTAATCAATCTTCTATTGCTGGACATTTCCCTTATTTCCCTTTGTTTCTCTACTATCATCTGTTGGCACAAAAGTCTTTGTGCACTTCTTTATTTCCTTAATGTTTCTTAAGGTAAAATTACTGAGTCAAAGAGTTTGATTGTTTTGAAGGCTCTTAAAACATTGCCAGATTGCTCTTTAGAAAGCAATCTGACATGTACAGACCTATACTTATCATCTGCATTTATTGTTACCTGCATTTATTTATCATCTGCATTTATTATCAAGGCAAACACTGTATCAAGGAGTTTACAGCCAAGTAGAGTGTGTTCTAAAACCTAATAAGTTAAATATCAATATGATATTTTGGTGTCAGGCCAGGATGCCACTAACAACAACAACGTGAGGTCAGGGTGCAAACTACATTGCAGAGATCACTGGAGCAGGGAAAGCCTCCTCCGGGGGGTGGTGCATCTGAGCTGGGTATTGACAGGTTAGAGAAAAAAAGTGGTGGCAGCCAAGGTGGGAGAAGGAATCAGTGAAAACCGGGAGGCAGGAACATATGGGATTGCCCAGGAGAAGCAATACAATTGGTTCAAGGAGGAAGAGTAGGTCATGGGAGAGGAAGAAACCTTGAAGGTTTGATAGGGCCCATTTATGGAGGGCCTTGAGTACGTAACTAATGTTCCAGCTATTTTTCCAATTGTAGTGAGGAATCAGAAAAAAATCAATACTTAAATGATTCATTTATGTATCCACAGTGTATTGTTAAGTGCAAGGGACATTTCAAAAGAAAAGAGTGAATGCTATGATTGAAGTCTTGTAAAATAAAAAGAATGTGTATAATATATGTAATTTGTGATATTGTATAGAAAATATATAGATGAGTATCCTCCAAGATGTTAGCATCTTGATACTGAGATTATCAATGCATTTGTGTTTTCCTCCTGCTGAACTCTAGTTCCTAATCGTTCTGCAGTGATTTGTATTGCTTGTCCAGTAAGACTGTATCAGTTAGGTCATGCTGACTTTAAATGGAGGGTGGTAGCATCCACCTACCCCTGACTTTACAAGGGGGTGTTCATAATGTGTGGGGGGGTGGGGGACGGTTTCTTGTTTATCACAATGATTGGGCATGCTCATGGCTTTCAGTGGGTGGGGTCCAGGGCTACTAAATGTTCTGCAATGAATGGTCCAATCCACACAAGAAAGAGTTTTCTTACTTAAAATGCCAGTATTGTGTCAATTAGGAATCAGTAAGCGTATATGTTAATTAGGAAACAGTAAGTGATAGACTTTTTTTATTATACGCAAAAAAAAAAAAAAAAAAAAAGATTGAGGGAATTTAAGCAGAAAATAAGTTCCATGGAAGGATATTACCTTCCACTAAATTAAAAAGCAGATCTGAGGGAAGAACAGGAGCCAGGGTAGCGAGGAGGATATAGATGGAAGAACTAGTGAGCAGCCTCCACTATCGGAATTAATCTTTACCCTTTTCTAGTCCGTCCTTAGGTCCCTATGCTTTAGGTTTACATTCAGATTCCTGGAAGAGGGTCTGAATGCCCCAGCTTGAGTCAAAGGCTAATCCCCTAGCTATGCCACATGACTGTGATTTACAGTCCTCAAAGGCTGCATTCAATGACAAGAAAGAACTCACCAAAATCAAATTGGTATCAGGAGAAATGGATACTAGTTGCTAAAAGCTAACAAATAGCCACTGCGAATCCAGTTATTTATTTTGTGTTACACTTATTTTTTAACTATTTTTACAACTTTTTTTTTTTTTTGTGGATACAGGGCCTTACTCTGTTGCCCAGGCTGGAGTGTGGTGGCATGATCTTGGCTCAAGCGATTCTTGTGCCTCAGCCTCCTGAGTAGCTGGAATTACAGGCATGCACCACCACACCTGGCTAATTTTTGTATTTTAGTAGAGATGGGGTTTCACGATGTTGGCCAGGCTGGTCTCGAACTTCTGACCTCAAATGATCCACCTGCCTCGGCCTCCCAAAGTGCTGGGATTACAGGCGTGAGCCACTGCAACCAGCATGTACAGCCTCTTCTGAGGTAGTATGGTGTAGAGGGTTTAGAATAAGTTCTACATTCACCCTAACTCACCGTGAGATTTGGCACTGTGGGACACTCCCATTCACTGTGAGGGAATTTGATTAGGGGCAAGGCACTGAGTCAACCATGAGGTTAGAAGACTCATCATCTCCCCCTTTTGCCTCTCCCATTCCTTCCTCAGGTAGTGGAAGCTGTTAATAGCACAACCAACAACTGCTATTCCAATGAGACGGTGATTCTGACCCCCACCATGGACTCGCGACTCTACATGCTCTCCTTCCTGCCCTTCCTGGTGCTGCTGGTCCTCATCCGGAACCTCAGGATCTTGACCATCTTCTCCATGCTGGCCAACATCAGCATGCTGGTCAGCTTGGTCATCATCATACAGTACATTACCCAGGTGAGTGCACACCATGCACCTGCCCACTCCACTGGGCAGGGTTTTTTTATCAAGGATAGACTGAGCTTTAGATACCTGGAGCCAACCCTGTAGGTGGGTAAGAGTGTTATGAGAGACATGCATCTCACTGTAGCATTTCTTCTACAAGGATGTCTCCGTGCAGTCCCATTCTTCTGATTGTCTCCTTGTTCATGTTCTTTCTCCAAATATCTATTTTTATGTCAAATTCTGGCTTTTTTAAAAAAATGTGCTTGCAAGGAAAACATCTTGGTTGGTGAACTGTAGACCATTCCTATAATGGTTGGCTGGCAGCAAAAGGCAGGCGAAAACAGATTCTTGTACTACAGCTAAAAGTTATTGCGTTACCCATAGGGTACAATTTCAGGTACCCAATAGGAAGGCAAGAAAAAAAAAATCTAATATTTAGTCACAGAGATATACATAGAGAGTCTCAAAAACCATAAGCTTTCAATAAGTGTCTTGTTACTAATTTAAAAAAAAACTATAAGCAAATCTATTATAATGTTAGTTATAATGTCTTTGATGTTGAATTATGGACATTGATTTTCTGTCAGTTTCCTAATTTGCTATCCTTTCTAATTTTTCTTTTATTTATTTACTTACTTATTAATTTATTTGAGACAGACTCTCGATCTTTCACCCAGGCTGGAGTGCAGCGGTACAATCTCAGCTCACTGCAGCCTCTGCCTCCCGGGTTCAAGCGATTCTCCTGCCTCAGCCTCACGAGTAGCTGGGACTACAGGCACCAGCCACCACACCCGGCTAATTTTTGTATTTTTAGTAGAGACGGAGTTTCACGATGTTGGCCAGGCTGGTCTCGAACTCCTGACCTCAAGTGATCCCCCCGCCTTGGCCCCCCCAAAGTGCTGAGATTACAGGCATGAGCCACCACGCCCAGCCTAATTCTTCTTTTATAATAGACAACACTACATAGAAAGTTAAGTCTCAGAAGCCCCTTGGCATATTTAATAAATTCCAGATGTTCTTCCCTTTAAGAAGCCACAAGAGAAAAAAAGTTACATTGTCCGTGAAATTTAGTAAAAATAATAGTCAAACATTTTAGAATAACTGCAGATCAGCCTCACATACCTTAGAAGACACTGATGAATTCTATAAAATTGAATTTCCTAAAGAAATAGCTACCTTTAATACATTTTTGGACAATTCCAAAGGTTGCCCAGTTAGAAAAATGGCTCTGTCATCATTTTCACATTCTGGGTCACAAGGTATATAGAATATTTATTCTACACAGTCTTCTCCCCTTCAATTTACAGCTCATTAAAGAAAAAAATGGATCTTTCATATTTAACTCATACTTTGGGCTCCTTAGATTATTACTATGACTGCAGTCACAGGAATTTCCAACACCCATGACCACTGTCCATTCAAAGGTGTTCGTGGGCTCGTTGGGTCAGTGCTAATCTGTGGTGTGTAAGGTCTTCTTTTGGAGGATTGTTTTGTTTTGTTTTTGAGATGGAGTTTCGCTCTTTCACCCAGGCTGGAGTGCAGTGGTGCGATCTTGGGTTCACACCATTCTCCTGCCTCAGCCTCCAGAGTAGCTGGGACTACAGGCGCCCACCACCACGCCCGGCTAATTTTTGTATTTTTAGTAGAGACAGGGTTTCACCATGTTGGCCAGGCTGGTCTCGAACTCCTGACCTCGTGATCTGCCTGCCTTGGCCTCCCAAAGTGCTGGGATTACAGGTTAAGCCACTGCACCCGGCCCTTTTGGAGGTTTTTCATAAACCAAACTCCCTCCATGAAATACTATTCCTTCAGTACTTTGACAATACCGTCCTCTGGCTCTTTGGCATTGTGCAGTGTTGAAATCAACTTTGATCGTGGCCTACATCCCTTTGAAGTTTTCTAAACTTCTTGATATTCAATTTTAAAAAATTCAGGTCTCATTTCAGAGTACCCTTCTCTTAAAGGAGCTCAAATGTGCTTTAAGAGTGACTGTCTCATAGCATTTCTTTCTTCTTTAGGAAATCCCAGACCCCAGCCGGTTGCCACTGGTAGCAAGCTGGAAGACCTACCCTCTCTTCTTCGGAACAGCCATTTTTTCTTTTGAAAGCATTGGTGTGGTAAGGTTTGAATTGAGGTGGCCTTATCCCTAGTGCTTGTGAGTGACCTTCTAGAAAGGAACTGTGAGCTCTGGGTTTCTGTGTCCCGCTGGCCATTGTTTTGGGCCTGCTAGAAAATGCCCATGGGAGAAAGTAACCTCTGGCCTTACTTGGGACAGTTGTCACCAGCAAGAGAAAAGTTGATTACAACAGAGAGGCAGTCAGGAGACAGTTTTATTTTTGTCCCCACATGCCTATTAAACATCTATCCTCCTATCGACATGAGTTTCCTAATCTTTTAAAATCAAGAAGAACCATGGTGTCCAATTTAAAGGATTTGATTAAACATAAAGGAGTTTTAACCTGGAAAGTTCTGTATTTACAGTCTGTAGTCTCTACTTCCACACTTGTGGAAGGGTAGTGTTGTTTATATATTTTTAAAAGTTACTTTTAGTGTACATACAGTAACATTCACTTTTTTGGTGTACATTCCTGTAAGTTTCAAGAAGCATGTAGAGGAATAAATGCACCAAAGTCAGAATGCAGAACAATTCTCCTTCTGTTCTCTGCCTGTACTGTCTTCTCTTTTCCAAAATGTCACATATATGGGATCATACAGTATGTATGAGATTGAGACTGGCTTCTTTTACTTAGCCTAATGCATTTTAAATTCGTCCATGCTGTTGCACACATCAATAACACCTTGCTTTCTATTGCAGAGCGTCCACTGTCTGGGCAGTACCACAGCTTATCAACGCACCTGTCAAAGAACATTTGGGTTGTTTCTAGTTTTTGACAATCATGAATGATACTGCCGTAAGCATTTGTGTACAGGTTTTTGACATTGAACATCTTTTCATTTGCTTGTTGGCAATTTGCACATCTTCTTTGGAGAAACATCAAGTCCTTTGCTTATTTTTAATTAGGCTGTTTGTCTTTTTGTTGAGTTTTAAGAGTTCTTTATATATTCCAGATACAAAATCCTTATCAGAAAAATGGTTTGCAAATATTTTTTCTTATTCTTGTCTTCTCCTCTTCTTTTTTCCTTTTAAATTTTTTCCTCTTAAAAATGAGATGGAGCCGGGCGCGGTGGTTCACGTCGGTAATCTCAGCACTTTGGGAGGCCGAGGCAGGCAGATCACTTGAGGTCAGGAGTTCTAGACCAGTCTGGCTAACATAGTGAAACCCCGTCTCTACTAAAAATGCAAAAATTAACTGGGAGTGGCAGCATGTACCTGTAATCCCAGATACTCAGAAGGCTGAGGCAGGAGAATCACTTGAACCCAGGAAGCGGAAGTTGCAGTGAGCTAAGATGGCGCCACTGCACTCCAGCCTGGGTGACAGAGCAAGACTCTGTCCCATAAAAAAAAAGAGAGATGGGATCTTGCTATGCTGCCCAAGGTGGGTTTTAATCTCTGGGCTCAAGTGATCCACCTGCCTCAGCCTCCCAGGTAGTGGGGATTATAGTTGCATGACCACAGTCCATCACACCTGGCTTCTCACTTTCTTGATAGTGAACTGTGATGCACAAAAGTTTTTGATTTTGATAAATTCCAATTTATCCTCTATCTTTCTGGTTGTGCTTTTTGTCTTATGTCTAAGAATCTATTGCAAAATCTAGGGTCATGTCTAGATATGGTGGCTCACACCTTTAATCCAGAACTTTAAGAGGCTGATGCAGAAGGATCACTTGAGGGCAGGAGTTTGAGACCAGCCTGGGCAACATACAGAGACCCTGTCTCTGCAAAAAAAAATTTTTTAATTAGCTGGGTGTAGTGGCACACACCTGTAGTCCCAGCTACTCAGGAAACCAAGCAGGAGAATCACTTGAGCCCAGGAGTTCAAGGCTGCAGTGAGCTATGATTGTACCACAGCACTCCAGCCTGGGTGACAGAGTAAGACCCTGTCTTAAAACAAAACAAAACGAAACAAAAACAGAAAAAAAGAAAGAAAGAAAGAAAGAAAGAAATCATAGGTCATAGAGATTTACCTCAGAGTTTTCTTCTAAGAGTTTTATGGTTTTAGCTCTTACATGTAGGTCTTTTATCCATTTTCAGTTAATTTTTGTATGTGGTATGAGGTAAGGGTCAAACTTCATGTTTTCATATGTGGTTATCCAGTTATCCCAGCACAATTTGTTGAAAAGGCTATTCTTTCCATATTGTATAGTTTTGACACTCTTGTCAAAAATCAACTGACCATTGATGTATAGGTTTATTTCTGTACTCTCAATTCTATTCCATTGGTCTATAAGATCATAAGTCTACCATTATGCCAGAACCACACAGTTTTGATTACTATAGTTCTATAGTATTCCACTTTAATTGGCCTATTGACTTTTTGGCTATATCTTTTTCTATAGTACTTTTAGTAGTTTATCTAGGTACTATAATATACGTTTTCACAATTTACTGTGAGATAATATTTTATCATTGCTAGTAAACTGTCAAAATTTTACAATTACATAGGGCCCTTCCGCCTTTATGTTGTATTGCCTTATGTATCTAAACACACTGAAACACCAACAATGTTATCATCTTTGCTTTCAATAGTCATGCATAGTCCTTGTAATAAACTTACTAGGGAAAAAATAGGCTATTATATCTACTCAGATATTTACCATTTCTGTCGCTCTTTCTTTATTCTTGAAATCCCATTTCCTTCTGGCATCATTTCCCTTCAGCATGAAGAACCTTCATTAACATTTCTTTTAAAGCAGGTCTACTAGTGACAAATTATCTTCATTTTCTTGATCTGAGATTGTCTTTATTTTGCCTTTATTCCTAGAGGATATTTTTGCACAATATGGAATTCTAGGTGGACAATTTTTTTCATCATTTTGAAAATATGACTTCCTTTCTTTTTGCCCTCAGTGGTTTCTGATGAGAAATCTGCAATTGTTTGAATCCTTGTTCTCCTATGTGTTTTTCTCTGGTTGCTTTCATAACTTTTTAAAATCTTCTTTAATCAGCAGTTATACTGTATTATATTTAATATAGTTTCTTTGAGTTTGCCCTCTACGAGATTTCTTGAATCTGTAAAAGTTTGTCTTTTACCTAATTTACCTAATTTCAGCCATTATTTTTTTCAAAGGTTTTTTCTTCACCAATCTCTTTTTCTTCTCCATCGGAGATCCCAATAACCTGAATGCTAGACTTTTTGATATATAGTCATCGCTTAGCATATATAGGACATTGGTTCCAGGACCCCGCTCCCCCACCCCCCTAAACACACACACCCAGTGTATAACCAATCTGTGCCTACTCAAGTCCTGCAGGTGGCCCTGCAGAACCTGAGTATATGAAAAGTCAGCCCTCCATACATACAGGTTTTGCAGCCCATGAATACTGCAGTTTTGATGTGCATTTGGTTGAAAATATCCACCTATTTGAGGGCCTGCGCGGTTCAAACCCATGTTGTTCAAGAGTCAACTGTATATCCCACAGGTTTCTGAGGCTCTATTCATTTTTTTAAAAAAATCTCTTTGCTCTTTGTTGTTCAGATTTTGTCATTCCTGTTTATCCTCAAATTTACTGAGTTTGTTTTCTGTTATCTACATTCCGCTATCAAGCCCCTACAGTCAGTTATTTAAATTTTTCTTATTTTCCAGTTATAATATTTCCATTTGTTTCTTTTACATTGTGTCTACTTTGCTAAGAACTTGTATCTGTCCATTTATTTTAATAGCGTTCTCCCTTACTTTTTGGAGTACGGTTATATTACCTGCTTTAAAGTCTTTGCCTAATATTGCCAACATTTGAGTCATCTTAAGGTTGGCATCTGTTGTCTTTTCTCTTGAAAGTTGATGAGATTTTTCTGGTTCTTTGTAGGCTGAATAATTTTAAACTGTATCCTATGCATTTTGAATATTATTTTAGGAGACTCTTCAGAATGCTGATTTTTGGTTTTAGCAAACCATCTACCTAGTTAGATTCAGCTCATAAGTCCTTGCTCACCTTCTGTGGGCCATGGTTCCAATATCCAGTTAGTTTTCAAAGCCCATGAAGTGATATTTGGCTCTACCCTGCTCATGTGCTACACAGTGCCAATTGGCAGACAGGACTCTACACAGTAGTTCAGTTTTCAAAGCCTTTGCTTTGATGCTTCCCATCAGTTCCACATATGTACAGCTCAGGGCTGGGCCCAGGATATTATTCACAGATTTTAGGAGATTGCTTTTTCCAGTTTCCTCTTCTCTGTGTTTTCCCGCACACTCGCCAGCTCGCAGTGGGTTCTTTTTCCCATCCTCTGGCTAGAAATCTAGGCTTTTAGCCTCCTACACTGTCATGTACTTCCTGTGACCAAGTCTGCCTCTGGGGTTGAGCAATGAGTGAAAAGAGAAAGAAAAAGCACAATAGTGATTCTTTCCTGGACCAGTTTCGTGAGCAGGCAAATCATGCAGCCACATAGGGTCCAACCTTCAGAAGAATCTCACACTTAGTTTAACACTCTGCTGGAACCATCTTTCACCAAGGAACCCTGCATTTTCATTTTGTACTGGGGCCCATAAATTAGGTAGCCAGTACTGATTTCCCACACTCTTCAGACTCCTAAAGCCAATTTTCCTAGTACTTCTGTGTAGAGATAAGGATTTCTATCTCAGATTTTTAGGTGCCTGTGTGACCACTACAGCCACTGATACACCAGAATGCTGCTTAGTGACTAGGACTTGCCTTGAGGTCATGGCCTGGAGATAAAACAAAGAAACAGAAAAATAGAGATTCTCTCCACGCTCTTCATCCCACAGGGGACCCTATTCTAAGTCATCTGTCCAAAAAGAAGTTTCTCTTGGTGTTATTTTCTGTCTGTATGCACCGCATAGTTCTAAGATTTGGGTGTCCCTTGAGGTTAAAAACTAGGATGTATGGGAAGAAGAAAATCAGGAAACTCACCACCATGACAGTCATTTTTTCTTTTTGATTTCCTTCCCCATTCTGCCTGCTACTATTTACTCTTCAGGACCTGTGCATAATTGCTTTATGTATTTCATCCACGATTTTTAGTTGTATTAGTGAAAGAGATATTGTGAAGTGTGCTTACTTCATCTAGATGGAACTGGAAGCACTTTGTTTTTAGAATTTGGAATAGTCATGGACAAAAGCAGAGTGCAGCAGTTGAGCAGGTAACTTTGGAGGCAGAATGTGCTGGAATCTTGCTTTGGCCAGGGCTACTCTCTGAACTCTAATTCTCCACCTCTAAACTGATGACAATATTTGTTCAGTAAGTATTTCTTGAATGCCTATTATGTGCTTGTGATTCTTAGTATTAGTTGAAATTATCTTAAGAAGAACTCTGCTAGCCCAGTCTCCAATTTTACAGAAGAGGGAGAGCCCCAGAGAGAGAAGGTGACTTCAGTTAGATCACCAGCTAGGAACTGTGCAGATGTGAATAAAACCTAGTACGTCTGACTCTCCATCCAGGGACCTTCCCACTGTACGTCAACAGCCATTTATCTCTTTGACTGACTGATTGTGGAGAGAGAGAGAGAGAGAAAGAAAGGAAGCCAGCTACCCAGTCTGAGCAGGCCTTGTGAAAAGATCATTTTTGGCCTTGAGAATATATGCAGCAAAATTGTGTTACAGGGTGCAAGAGCTCAGGTTGGATTGTCTGCTCTCCATACAATTATTGTATAATCATCAAACATCCTCCTGAGCACCTGCTGCAACGAGACCTAATCCAGAAGAAAGTGGAAAGGCATGGGGAGGACCCAACATGACACTGCCCTCAAGCATCTTCCAAATGCCTGGAATAGAGAGAGGGTTAGGGAGTTTCAGGGCTGGAAGTTTGCATGTACGACAGAAAAGAATTCAACAGTACAAGGGAAAAGATGCTAAATTCCTTAGTAACAAATATACCCATTGCTATAGGAGTAGAAGCAGGTACTTGGACTTTGGATAACAGCCCTGGTCTACAACCTGAATCTGACACTTTCTGGTTCTGCAACTTGGGATCAGTTATCTCATTTTCAGAGCCTTGTTTTCCTCATCTGTAAAACAAGAATTATGGAGGTACCGACTTCATAGAGTTACGGTCTTCACAGTATTAAAAAATAACAACCGCCAACATTTACTAAGCCCTTAACTGTGCCATTATGGTGCTTGTGTAATTCTCTACAAAATTTGCAAAATTCAGCCACATGTGATGTCTCTCGCCTGTAATCCCAGCACTTTGGGAGGCCGATGTGGGAGGATCGCTTGAGCCCAAGAGTTCAAGACCAGTGTGAGCAACATGGCAAAACTCTGTTTCTACAAAAAAAATACAAAAATCAGCCGGGCATGGCAGCACATGCCTATAGTCCCAGCTCCTCAGGAGGCTGAGATGGGAGGGATCTCTTGAGCTCGGGAGGCAGAGGTTGCAGTGAACTGTGATTGTACTACTGCACTCCAGCCTGGGTGACAGAGTGAGACTCTCCAAAAAAGAAAAAAAAAAAAAGGTAAATTCATTTGAGCCCGTTTTCAGATAAGAAAACAGATCAGCTAAATAGTGCATGTAGAGAATGCTTAGCACACAGCCTGAACAAGGAGTAGGAGAAGGTGGGGGTGGTCTCCAGGACAATAAGAGCCTGAGGAGGAAATTATGGGATGAGAGACAGGAAGATTGGTTTCAAAGACAGAAGAGACCTTCAAATGTCCAACCGGCAAGAGGCAGACTGGCCTCAACTTGGATTCTCTTAGAACCAGGTATGCATTTAGGGGAAGAAGGATTCTGAGAACAGAAGAGTGAGAACCTGGGGTGTGGGGAAATGCACTGCTGGCAGAACCAGGAAGCGCTCTCTGGTCCCAGCTGCCACCAGCACCCTGTGTTCCTGGAGTCTCAGCCTCCCCACTGTACAGTGATGGGGTTGGCGGAGGGAGTCTGCACAGGAATTAGGAGTTTCAAACCCAAATGCCTTTGGAAGGCAGGTATAATTCACTGGTAGGTGGGGGTGAGGGGAGGTGGGCCTGGTGAATGGGAAAAGAATGTTGTGCCTAAAGGCATTCATATTCAATTGTCGAAAGACTGTGCTGTCAAAACAAAACGCATCTGCTGGCCAGATCTAGCTGCCCCAGAGTGTTGAGATCTTTGGTCTGGATAAAACCTCAGTGGCCCTTCCAGCTCTTAAGGGTCCAGGGCTCATCAGATGACTCCAGGCCTTTCTTTTTATCTCCTTCCTCCTCCTTACCCTCATCTTCCTACCTTTTTTCCTCCTCTTTTATTTCCTTTTTTTGTTTAATTGAAGCACACCTAACATAAAATTTACTCATCTTAACCACTTTCAAGTATACATACATATTAAGTAAATTCAGATTATTGCTTTCTTTCATCTGCAGAACTCTTCAGCTTGCAAAACTGAAACTCTGTACCCATTAAACAATAACTCCCCATACTCTCCTCATGCCAGTCCTTCCCAACTAGCATTCTGCCTCTTTGGACCTACCTACTCCAGGTACCTCATATAAGTAGAATCAGGCAGTCCTTGTCTTTTTGTGACTGGCTTATTTCACTCAGCAATAATGTCCTCAAGATCCATCCGTGGGTTAGCATGAGACAAAACTTCCTTCTTTTTTAAGGGCTAAATAACGTTCCATTGCATGGATACACCCACATTTTGTGTATCCATTTTCTGTTGCTAGACCCTTGGGTTGCTTCCACCTTTTGGCTATGTGAATAGCACTACTGTGAACATAAGTGTACAAATATCTCTTTGAGGCCCTGCTTTCAGTTCTTTGGGGTAGACATCCAGAAGTGGAATGCCATTTTTCTTTTTGTTCATGTTACTCTTTCTCCTTCTTACATTGTGATGTTTCTGTAGGTTCTGCCTCTGGAAAACAAGATGAAGAATGCCCGCCACTTCCCAGCCATCCTGTCTTTGGGAATGTCCATCGTCACTTCCCTATACATTGGCATGGCGGCTCTGGGCTACCTGCGGTTTGGAGATGACATCAAGGCCAGCATAAGCCTTAACCTGCCTAACTGCTGGTATCTTCATGGGCTGTCAGGTGGTGGGGACTCAGGAATGGGTGGAAACGTATAGGTCACTTCCTCCTCCCTTCCACAGCTGGGAAACTGAGGTCTAGAGAGCCTCCCACAGAAGAAGCAGAATTGTCATTGGAACCACGGTCTCCAGATTCTCTGTCCTGGGAGTTCCTCCTTCAACAACAGCCTCCCAAATTGAGTTAAGCCTTGACATCTTAGTGTGAAGGAGGACATGACTTAAGAAGAGAGGACACAAGTGAGAGCCCTTGGTCTACTAAGGAGAGAAGGGAAGGGCACTGGGAGATGGCAAGAGACAGAGAGAGGAGTCGGGAGGTGGCCACACTTCCCATAGTCTTGTTTGCCACAGCCAGTGGTTCACATTCCCCAAGTCAGAGTAACCAGATAGAAAAGTGGAAAACAAAAACCAATTGGGCCAACCTGGGCAACATGGTAAGACCCCACTTCTACAAAAAAAATTTCCATAGCTTAGCTGAGTATGATGTCTCATACCTGTAGTCCCAGCTGCTTGGGATGCTGAGGTAGGAAGATCACTTGAGCCCAGGAGTTTGAGGTTACAGAAGGCTATCATCACACCACTGCACTCCACTCCAGCCTGAGTGACACAGTGAGACCCTATCTCTTAAAAACAAACAAACAGGCCAGGCGTGATGGCTCATGCCTGTAATCCCAGCACTTTGGGAGGCCAGGGTGGGTGGATCACCTGAGGTCAGGAGTTCAAGACCAGCCTGGCCAACATGGCAAAACCTCGTCTCTACTAATAATACAAAATTAGCCGGGCATGGTGGTGGGTGCCTGTAATCCCAGCTACTCGGGAGGCTGAGGCAGGAGAATCACTTAAACCTGGGAGGCAGAGGTTTCAGTGAGCCAAGATGGTGCCATTGAACTCCAGCCTGGGCAACAAGAGTGAAACTCCATCTCAAAATAAATAAATAAATAAATAAATAAATAAATAAATAAATAAGCCAGGCATGGTGGCACACACCTATAGTCTCAGCTACTCAGGAGGCTGAGGCAGGAGAATCACTTGAACCTGGGAGGTGGAGGTTGCAGTGAACCAAGATAGCACCACAGCACTCCAGCCTGGGCGGCAGAGACTCTGTCTCAAACAAACAAACAAACAAACAAAACAATTTGGGAAGACCATTGGAATCTGTAAAAGTCTTATGTTCTAGCATACTCAATTCATGCAATAGTTAGCAGCCCCATAGACATCAACAGTGCCATATTGAACAGACGCATGAACCCACATCCCACTGTGCGGGATTTTCTCCCACACCAGGTCATGTCATTAATTACAGGACATTTCGGTCTTCTCAAGCGGACAGTCACAGTCCCTTGGAGACCTAATTTGCCTAAATGTGGCTCCTTTCCCAACATGATAATGCCACTCATCAAGCATTTACTGCATGCCAATTATAAGCAGATGCCAAGTGGCACTGATGTGAGTAGACTATAACCTTGGAGGTTCACTATCTTCGCCGGCTCCTGATCCGGTGGGAATGGGGGAGGAACAGATAGTGTATGTACACAAACAATAACATAGAAAAAGAAGCTCTCCAGAGTAGCAAACAGGCCTTGGGGATTTCCAAGGAAAGAAAGCACATCGGAAGGAGACAACAGGGAAACTCCTTGTCCGGCAGGTCAACTCAATCCAAACATGGACCACTCTGGTACACCTGAGTCCAGGTCCCAGTTGGACTGCCTACTAGCTTGTGGTTGTAGATGATTTACTTCAACTCTCTGAACCTCAGTTGCCTCATTTATAAACTGGAGTTGTCATGAGGATTAAGTTGAGCTGTGTCTACAAGGATCTGGCTGTGGTACCTGCTCAGAACAGGGGAATTTCAAAAACTTGGAGGGGTTTGAACAGATGGAAATGGAGTAAAGAGGGTGCCCAGGCAGCAGGACTAGTGTGAGCAAGAAACACAGAAATGTGGAAGTTAGCCTTTTTAAGGAATGGGCTAAACACACACACACCCATTTATTTATTTATTTATTTATTTATTTATTTATCTATCTATCTATTTATTTTTGAGACAGGGTCTCACTCTGTCGCCCAGGCTAGAGTGCAGTGGTGCGATCTCAGCTCACTGCAACCTCTACCTCCCGGGTTCAAGTAATTCTCCTGCCTCAGCCTCCCAAGTAGCTGGGATTACAGGTGTGCACCACCACACGTGGGTAATTTTTTATTTTTGGTAGTGGTAGGGTTTCGCCATGTTGGCCAGACTGGTCTCAAATTCGTGACCTCAGGTGATCCACCGCCCTCGGCCTCCCAAAGTGCTGGGATTATAGGCGTGAGCCACTGTGCCCAGCATCACACATTTATTAAACATGGAAATGCATCTACTGCATTAGTGGACTGAAGGAAAACAGTCACATCTCAATAGATCAAATAGAAAAAAAACTTAGATAGAACTCAATATCCCTTGAAGCCTCACACACACTCTGCCCCTAGCTTGAGGCTGGCAAGTACCCCTGTTTCTCCTTATATTCCACCCTGACTCCCCCTAACTTCCACACAACCCTATTTATAAACTGTCTCTTCTTCCAAGGATTTGGGATTCTGCAGTTCTCTCAACTAGAGGCAACAGTTATGTGCCTAGAGCTTTGGGGAATCCAGATAATTCCTAAGGACTGATCACAAAGGACTAGAGTCTTTTAGATCCAGGGCTTTTGGTCTTAGCCACTTATCATCTGTGTCTCCCTGGGCAAAGTATCTGGCCTGAGCCTGAGCCTCTCTTTTTTAAAACATAAGATTGAGCATCAGATGGTAGCGATTTGCGAAGGTGCAATACATACTCAAGCTCAAGATGGTTTTTATTTCATTTAGAAATGACCCTTTCCATTGTTTCCACTGAATCCAGAACCGCACTATTTTCACTGCATGCTCTGCTGTGACTCCCTCTTGATTCTTAGAAGGTCCCTCTCAGTCATTTTCAGAAAGGGAAACAAAAGCCCAAGTCATTGTCCCAAGGTCAGAGGTTAATGTTCCAAGGAGGCCAGTGTCAGAACACAGTGGCCGTGGAGAGCAGCTCTGTGGTTTGTCTTGCAGGCTGTACCAGTCTGTCAAGCTTCTCTACATTGCCGGCATCCTGTGCACCTATGCCCTGCAGTTCTACGTCCCTGCAGAAATCATCATCCCCTTTGCCATCTCCCGGGTGTCAACACGCTGGGCACTGCCTCTGGATCTGTCCATTCGCCTCGTCATGGTCTGCCTGACATGTGAGTAGAAAGGAGAGTGCAGTGTTCCTGCTGATCTTTTCTGAGGGCTATAAAGAATCAGCCAGATGGGCCGGATGCATTGGCTTACACCTGTAATCCTGGCACTTTGGGAGGCCGAGGCGGGTGGATCACCTGAGGTCAGGAGTTTCAGACAAGCCTGGCCAAAATGGTGAAACCCTGTCTCTACTAAAAATACAACAATTAACCAGGCGTGGTGGCACGTGCCTGTAATCCCAGCTACTCAAGAACCAAGGCAAGAGGATCACTTGAACATGTAGGGCAGAGGTTGCAGTGAGCCGAGATCGTGCCACTGCACTCCAGCCTGGGCAACAGAGCAAGATTCATCTCAAAAAAAAAAAAAAAAGAATCAGTCAGATGGTAGAGGGCAGTCATGACAATCAGCATTTACTGAGCACTTACTGTATTCCAGGGACCATTTTAAAGCTTTACAAGTATTCACTCATCTAAACAACCCCATTCTTACATGTACCTAATTAGACAGATTTGTTGGTGTTCAGCCTAAGGGATTGACACAGCTTATCAAACAATAACTGTAAGAACTTGCTGCGCACTCTGGCACATGCCTGTGATCCCAGCACTTTGAGAGGTCAAGGCAGGCGGATTGCTTGAGTTCAGGAGTTTTGAGACCAGCCTGGACAACATGGTGAAACCCCATCTCTATTAAAAAAAAAAAAAAAAAGAAAGAAAAGAAAATAGCCAGGCATGGGTGCCCCATGTTTGTAGTCCCAGCTACTTGGGAGGCTAGGGTGGGAAGATTGCTTGAGCCCAGGAGGCTGAGGCTGCAGTGAGCTGAGATTGAACCATTGCACTCCAGCCTGGGCAACAGAGTCAGACCCTGTCTCAAATATATTAATAAATAAATAAATAAATAAATAAATAAATCATAAGAACTGACATGTATTGAACACTTACTGTGTGCCAGGCACTGTGTTCAGCTCTTTCTAGTCTAGATTTCATAATATTTTATTCAGTCCTCACAACAATTATCATGAGGTAGAACTATGATAAACCCTACTTTATGAAAGAGAAAACTGAGGCAGTGAGTGATTAATAATTGGCCAGAAAGTGTCAGAGGTAGGATTTGAATTCAAGTCATGTAAGTCTAGAGCCAGTGCCCTTCACCTCCAGGGCAGACATTGAAAATGGGACTCTAATTTGGCAACAGGTGTTGTTTGAACCTCACAATGTTGTATAAAGTGGGCCAACATTTAAAATGTGGGCAATCTCCATACAAATGCAGATTTTTAAAATTTTTTGGTGGGGCTACTATAAAATGATTGGGCAAGGCTGGGATCACATTCCCCATCGGCAACAATCAGCTGGGGCTCCTTGACCCCTGGACGGTCCTGTGCTTGCCTATTGGCTGAGGTCATTCCCACTCCCTGGCTCACAGCAGCCCCCATGACCCGGAGTACCCCTTTCTGCAAGTATTCCACCAGAGGCCGAAGGAGATGGCTAGAGATTCCTGTGTAGAGTAGAGGTGGCCCAGCTGTCCCTAAGATGCCTTTTGATTGTAATTGCAAAAGTGTCTTCTTTTTAAGGCCAAATTGTATTCCACTGTACGTAGAAACCACATTTTCTTTATCCATTCATCTGTCCATGGAAATTTAGGAAATTCTTTTTTTTTTGCATAACAAAGTGTTACTTTTAGATAATTATCAGTACACCGAGTAATAACATGTAACGAGTTTTTGAATTCTACCATCTAGTAATTTTGATTCAGAGAAACTAAAAGCAGCCCAAACAGTTATGCTAGTATTCATTATTCTAACCATTAGCAGGAATGGACTAATTTAAGGGTGGCTGCTGCTTCACACAGATTACAAATAACCATTTACTACTTTTTCATGGTTAGAATCCTGACATTCAAGAAAGCACTACAGGGAAAAAAAAAATATTAATCTCTTTCTTCTTCAAAGAACTTTTTTTTACTAGAAAAAAGAAAGAAAAAGTCAACATTGATACACTGATACATATGTTACTTCAGCTAATAGGCATGGGAAAACATGACATATACCCATTAAATTTCTACGAAATACGATGTAAAAAGAAAATCTATAGATAAGTTCTAAGTCTGTACAAAGAAGCTAGATTTTATATTCTCTGAGATGTGAAGGGACCTGCTATATAATATACAGAAATCATTTAATGCCTTTTCATAAGAATATATCTCAAGCTGCATATTCCTCGAGGGCATCTAAAATGCCAATCTGTGGTACAGGCGCTTCTTTCTCCCACTCTTCTTCATTTATGCAGCAGTTTTCATGGATTTCTGTCCAGGTGTCACAGACAAAAGCCAAGAGACTAGCCAAGCCTTCACCCCCATTCTGCTGGAAGTAGTTCTGGAGGCTGGTCCTCTTCTTCTGACCCTCCTGTGCCACTTCAGTGCCAAGGCTGCTGTGAGATTCCAGGGCTGCAGCTTCCTTGGTCTTGAACTCTTTCTCCCTCTGCAGGCAGTGCTGTTCAGTTTCAGTTCAGCAGTTGAAGCCTCAGCTGCTTCCTTGGCCTGCTTCAGCCTCTATGTTTTTGCTCACACTTGGACACCTTCTCAGTGGCTGCATCTTGGCCTGCAGCAGCTGCTGGATCCCCTGAGACTGGCTGAAGTGGCTGTTGATTTTCACTTTTCTAGGCCAGCCCACAGCATTCATTCGACACTGATTTTCTTTTTTTGAAGTGATTAGTTCTCAATTTGACCTTGAATGCAGGAACTATCCAGTATCTTACATATTCCAGACAGATCAAGGAATTTGCCCCACAGTATAAAGATAACAATCCCTTAAGCCTACACTACACTTCTTCATGCATTGTCAATTAGCATGTATGAGTAAATAACTTGGAGTAATAGCAAAGATAACTTTTCTGAATGCTTTACATGAAAAATCTCATTGAAGACTTTTATGTCCTATGCAGAATGAATCACAATACCTAAAAGGATAGTAGCCTTCATCTCCATTTTGCAGCTGAGGAAACAAGCTGAGGAAGGGGTGGGACTTGGGCAAGGCCATACAAGAATGAACCAGACTCCTGCCTTCCAGACCTGTTCTGTTCTACCACACTCCTCCAAAGGAGGCCTGCTCAAGGCTCCTGGGATTTATTGGTGACCAGGAACATTTTTCATCAAATATAATAAAAAATGTAAAAGCCCAGGTCTGTAAAACGTCCTGCTAAAAAAATATAATTTCAAAATTTTTAGCTTTTCGTGTTTCTTTGTTAGGGGTTTTCTGACATGTGTATAAAACCTGGAGAAGACACTTCTTTAAAGACACCTCCCGGATTTTCTTCCAACTGAAGATCTCTTTGTATTATAAATAATTTCATATTCTAATTGTTTGCAAGTAAAAGGTTCTTATACTCATGTTAATTATTTATTAAAATTCTAGGCATTTTAAAAAATAATTTATTTATTTATATTATTTATATTTATTATATTTTTATATATATAAAATATTTATTATATATAAAAATATATTTTATAAATAAATATTTATAAATAATTATTATATTTTTATTTATTATTTATTTTTATTATAGATAAAATATATAAAATATATTTTATTTATATATAAAATAAATAATAAATTTGTATTATTTATTTATATTATTTATATTATTTTTTATTTATTAAAATGCTAGGCATTTTAGAAGACTTCTAAAAAATTTGTACATTGATACAAATTTTGATAGTACAAACATTGACAGTTTGTACATTGATATATTCCAAACAGCTTGAATGGTTCCCAGCACTGTTATTTAGTGTTATTTATTAAGTAAGAGCTTAAGTTTTGTTGGATATGTAAGGATCCAAAATGCACCTCGGTAGCATAAAGATTATTTTAAGCTAAAAATGCCTGAACAAAAAGAAGCTGCAGAAAGAAACTTTGTCTAATCTTCTTTTGCTGATGTAAGCGGGACCTCCTGACAAATATAGCTGCCATAAATCCCTTCTCTGGGAAGTTTAGAGCCAGAAAAGAGACTTAGCATTATCATGGGAATTACTAACTGTTTAACAAATTTTATCTGAAACTGTCATATCTTCCATTTGTTCTTCCATAAAAGCCCTTTCTCCTCCCTCCTTTTCCCCTTATTAAGGGGGTATCTTTGGCTGTTCTGGAAGCCAATTCTTCTCAAGGCTCTGGAGCTTATATATACACTTTGTCTTTTCTCTTGTTAATCTTACCTATTGTCAGTTGAATTCACAAGCACCCAACCACTGACCCTAAGTTGGTAGGGGAAAAGTTTTTGAATGAATACATTTCCTCCCAACAATATGAATGAACAATATGAATGAATACAATTAGACAGAGACTCACCAAATTTTGTTATTGTTGTTTTGAGATGGGGTCTCACTATGTTACCCAGGGTGTCCTTGAACTCCTGGATCCTCCTGCCTCAGCCTCCCGAATAGCTGGGGCTACAGAAATGTGCCACTATGCCTGGCTGAATTTTTAATATGTAACTTCTAGGGAATATGATTAGGGATATTGGAGGACTTTTAACTTTTCTTTCTGTAATTGAATTTCTGAGAAACAATTAGTTCATTTTTTAAGAAGAGGATTTTTTTTTTTTTTTTAATGAGATAGGACCTCACTTTGTCACCCAGGCTGGAGTGCAGTGGCGTGATCTTGGCTCACTGCAACCTCCACCTCCCAGGTTCAAGTGATTCTCCTGCCTCAGCCTCCTGAGTAGCTGAGATTATAGGCACCCACTACCACACCCGGCTGATTTTTGTATTTTTAGTAGAGATGGGATTTCACTATGTTGGACAGGCTGGTCTTGAACTCCCAACCTTCAGTGATCCACCCATCTAGGCCTCCCAAAGTGCTGGGATTACAAGTGTGAGCCACTGTGCCTGGCCAAGAAGAGGACTTTAAGAACAAACTTTCAAAGCTTGGCTAAGCCTGGAATGCTCCATCTCTCCACTATCCTCTCCCTGCAGGCCTCCTGGCCATCCTCATCCCCCGCCTGGACCTGGTCATCTCCCTGGTGGGCTCCGTGAGTGGCACCGCCCTGGCCCTCATCATCCCACCGCTCCTGGAGGTCACCACGTTCTACTCAGAGGGCATGAGCCCCCTCACCATCTTCAAGGACGCCCTGATCAGCATCCTGGGCTTCGTGGGCTTTGTGGTGGGGACCTACCAGGCCCTGGACGAGCTGCTCAAGTCAGAAGACTCTCACCCCTTTTCCAACTCCACCACTTTTGTTCGGTGAGCCTGGCACTGCTCCTTGCCTACCAGCACCCGACTTTTAATTATATGGATCTCTTTTTTTTTTTTTTTTTTTTTTTGAGACGGAGTTTCTGTCTTGTTGCCCAGACTGGAGTACAATGATGCGATCTCAGCTCACCACAACTTCGGCCTCCTGGGTTCAAGCGATTCTCCTGCCTCAGCCTCCCGAGTAGTTGGGATTAGAGGCATAGTCCAGCACGCCTGGCTAATTTTGTATTTTTAGTAGAGACGGGGTTTCTCCATGTTGGTCAGGCTGGTCTTGAACTCCCGACCTCAGGTGATCCACCCACCCCGGCCTCCCAAAATGCTGGGATCACAGGCGTGAGCCACCTCGCCTGGCCAGATCTCTTTTATATGCATTATCTTTATGTCACTGCTTTGCCTTTTCTCTGGGCCAAGTCATGGTGAAACAAGAAAGCTACAAGCTCTAAATGGTAATTTTTTACATTTTTGTTTTGTTTATTACTTCTTCTTTTCATACCTCTGGCATTCCACTACATTGTGAGCTTTCCCTTGGAAGGCTCTGGACTCTATCCAAGCTTATGATAATTCACACAATGAATTTCATACCTAGCGTGGAGCTATGCAAGAAGCAGCCACCAGAGGGCCCCAAGTGGCAGCAACTGGCCAAAGGAGATGCAGCCAGCTAAGACTGTCCACACTTTGGCAGACAACCGGTTTTCCCTTTTCTGGGTCTGTTCAAAAAGCAAACATTAAGGGTGGGCACATAATCCACAAGCCAGAAAGTTGTGCACGGCTCCAGTGTTGAGATGGGTAGGGCCAAGATGACCAGTGTGAAAACTCTCAGATAGAAAGGAGCCATGCATATTAAATGAGGGGCAACAAACATTTCAAACGATTAGATAACATTTTCTCCCAACTCAAAGATCCCAACAATGAATAGGAGGCATGGAAGTAGATGTGCCAATGGGGAGGGATGAGGAGTGAACATGAATATTATTTGAATAGACTTTACCTCTTAATTCTTGCAACATGCATTCTTGATTACCTACTGTGTGCCAAACAAGATTTTGTAGAATATTGCAAAAATGACCATAAATTCCTCGTGATAATGTGACTTTGCACCTGCTCCTATGAAAAGATGAAGTCTGTATCTGTATCCCTTAAATTTTTTTGCTTGTTTGTCGGTTTTGTTTTGTGTTTTGTTTTTTTGAGATGAAGTCTCGCTCTGTTGCCCAGGCTGGAGTGCAATGGCACAATCTCGGCTCACTGCAACCTCCACCTCCTGGGTTCAAGCGATTCTTCTGCCTCAGCCTCCCAAGTAGCTAGGATTACAAGTGCCTGCCACTATGCCTGGCTAATTTTTGTTTTTCGTAGAGATGGGGTTTTACCATGTTGGCCAGGCTGGTCTCAAACTCCTGACCTCAGGTGATCCACTTGCCTCGGCCTCCCAAAGTGCTGAGATTACAAGTGTGAGCCACCACGCCCAGCCTCTCCCCTTTAAATTTGATCTTGGCCTTGTAACTTGCTTTGGCCAATGGGACATTAGTAAATGTGATGCAGTCAGAGGTTTGGTAATAACCTATGCATCAGGACTTACATCACTTGCTGCTCTATGGAGTTGAGACCACCAAGTAAAGCATCCTGGGCTAGCCTACCGGAGGATCAGAGACCATGTGGAACATAAATGAATCATCCCAGTTGAGCCCTGTCCGCAGATCAACCAGCCTACCAACTTCCAGACACGAGTAAAGCCATCCTAGACTATATCCAACCCCAGTCAGGCTGACACAGACCATAAGAATTGTACAGATAATCCACAGAACTGTGATAAATAATAAAGATGTTTGTAATTTTAATACATAAAGAGTGGGAAGTTTTATGCAGCAAAAGATAACTGATAAATCATTCTAAAGAGGATACACTGATTAATGAGAAAAGAATCCCTGCTCTCAAGCAGCCAGTCTGCTGTCCATTGGGGAAGAGTTAACAGGTAATCAACTAAGTAAATACCATCTAATGTCCATCTAAGGGCAAAGGACACTACCTGCTCTAGAGCACCAAAGAAGACTTTCCACAGGTGGTATCATTTGAGCTGGGCTTTGAGTAGAACCTGAATCTTCTACGACTGAGCCTGAACCTTCTTCCATTCTGTCCTGCTGCCTGGACATTACAGCACCTATGCTTGTGTCTGATCTTGGCTGGCAGCCAGAGGCAAGCCAACCTGAGACATCACCTCCATCCTTCTGGTGGTGACTGCTCTCTCCCCTCCCCTCAGAATTACTAAAATTGAGAAAACGCACCTAGATAAATAAATAGATGTTGAAGATCTATAGTCCCAAAAGGTGGGGAGAGGAGAGTTTCTCATCAAACTCTCCGTGGTTTACGGGAATGAGCTATGCCTGTTTCAGCCTCGGTGTTAAGAGAACATTTGAAAAAGCCCTGTCCTGCTTATTTTCATCCTTCGTCTTCCCTGTGCCCCCCAATTCCCACGTCCCGGTCTGCTCTTTCTGTATGTTACTTTCTATCTGCTGGACTTCCAGAAGATACTTCACCAGCACAAGTCCACTCAGATGGAGGAAAGGCTGGTGGTCCACACCCAGATCCCATAGCCTACAGAGTCCCTGTTGGGCAACAGGACACTCATAGCTCGTGCAGGGGTCCACAGTCCACTTTGCCAGAGAATGGGTTGTCATTTCCACCCTGAGCTCTCTGTTTCATCAGCAAACCCAAAGGACTTCCAATGATCCATCCTGAGTGTTGGCAATGTGATCATCCTCTCTGGAAACATTTCTCTCCCACCCTGCTCCACTATCAATCACCGCACCCATCCTTGAAGTTTAAAGTTATCTTCTCTGTTATTAAGAAAAGTTTACACTCATTCTCTAAAGATAAGCCCCTACTGTGTAAGAGGATAGGGTTAATTTTATTACTCAGACAAATCTGGCTGAAGTTAAACCTTGGAAAGAAAAACTAAATTTAGCAACATTGATATAACCAACAAAACTAAGCTAGGGAGACTCATTAGTAATCATTGGCAACACTAAAGACTACTACATGTTAGCTTTATGTCTGAGTGGTGGTGATATTAAAATTTCTTAAGTGGTTTGGAACTGATTTTTTTAGTACACACATATGCATACACACGACTTTCTTCCCCCCATTTAACTTACTATTTATTTAACTTCTGGAACTTGCTAGTGAGTCAAGGAACATAGAAAACCCTTCCTCCTTTCCTTCATTGAGTGCTTACTAAGGATTTTACATGAGATCATCTCATTTAATCCTTACAATGACCTGTGATGTTTACACTGTCATTGTCTCCATTTTCAGATAAGGAAACAGACTCAGAGACATTAAATAACTTGTTAAAGATCAAACACGTAGTGAAGGATGGATCCAGGATGCAAACATTTGTGCATCAAAGCTCCTCACTGCATTGTAGGGCCCAAGGGAGGCCACTGAATGGTGGTTATCAAAATGTAAAATAGGGAGGAGGTAGAGCAAGATGGTAGAAAGCTCCACTGATCTGTCCTGTCCCCCAACCCCTGCTGCAAGGACACCAATTTAACAATTATGTACACCTTCATAAGAACCAAAAAACGTGGGCACTCACAGTACCTGGTTTTAACTTCGTATGGCTGAAAGAGGCACTAAAGAGGTAAAAGAAAAAACAGTCTTGAATCAACTGCGCAGCGCCACCCCTCCCCCACCCCCAGCAGGGGCCCATGGTGCCCAGAGTATCTCTGGGCTCTGGGGAAGGGAGAACCCAGTAATTGTGATGCATTGACTAGGTGCTGCCCTTGTTATAGCAGAAAGGAAAACCAGACCAAACTCAGCTGACACCCGCCCACAGAGGGAGCATTTAAACCAGCCCTAGCCAGAGGGGAATCACTGATCCCAGAGATCAGAACTCTAGTTCCCACAGGCCTCACCACCATGGGCTAAAGTGCTCTGGGGCTTTAAATAAACTTGAAAGGCAGTCTAGGCCACAAGGACTACAACTCCTAGGAGACTCCTAGTACTGAATTGGACCCAGAGACAGTGGACTGGGGGAGCAGGAGACATACTGAGACACCAGTTGGGGTGACTAAGGGAGTGCTTGGCATCACCCCTTTCCTAACCCCAAGAAGCACAGCTTGTGGCTCCAGAATAGACCCCTTCCTTTTGCTTGAGGTGAGGAGAAGGAATAGTGGGGAGGACTTTATCTTACATCTTAGATACCAACTCAGCCACAGAAGAATAGGGCATGGGTCAGAGTCATGATGCTGCCTTTCCAGACCTTAGCTTCTGGGCATTTCTAGACATACCCTGGGCCAGAAGGGAACCCACTGTCTTGAAGGAAAGGACCCAGTCCTGGCAGCATTCATCACCTGCTCACTGAAGAGCCCTTGGGCCCTGAATAAACACCAGTGATACCCAGATACTACATCAAGGGCCTTGGGTGAGACTCTGAGACCTGCTGACTTTAGTTACCAGCTCAGCCACAGGGGTAGAGCACCAAGTAGGCTCTTGGGGTCCCCAATTCCAGGACTTGGCTCTTGGATGGCATTTCTGGACCTGTCCTGGGCCAGAGGGTAGCCCACTGCCTTGAAGGGTGAGTCCCAGGCCAGGCAGCATGCACCAAAAGCTGACTGAAGAGCCCTCAGGACTTAAGGGAACATTGGCAGTAGTCTAGCATTACTCCCTGTGGGCCTGAGGTGGCAGTGGCCATAGGGTGAGGCTGCCCTACCTTTGGAAAGGGGAGGGAAGAGTGAAAAGGACTGTGTCTTGTGGTTCGAGTGCCAGCTCAGCCACAGTACAATACGGCACCAGGTAGACTTCTTAGGTTTTTGATTCTAGTCCCTGGCTGTCAAGACAGATGGCACCTCTGGACCTGCATACAGCCTGGGGGAACTCTCCACATTAAAGGGAAAAATACAGACCCGAATGGCTTGCCACTTACTGATTATAGAGCCCCAGAGCCTTGAGCAAACACACGCAGTAGCCAAGGAGTGGTTACAGGAGGCCTCTAGCAAGACCCAGTGCTATGCTGGCTTCAGGTCTGACCCAGTGCAGTCATAGTGATGGTGGTCACAAGGGTGCTTGTATCACTCCACCCCCAGCTTCATGTGGCTCAGAACAAAGAGAGAGACTCTGTTTGGGAGAAAGTAAGGGAAGAGAACAAGAGTCTCTATCTGGTAATCCAGAGAATTCTCCCAGATCTTGTCCAAGATGATTAAGGTGGTACCTCTGTCAGTCTGCAACAACCACAGTGTTGCTGGGCTTGGGTTGTGCCCTGAAGCAGATACAACTTAGATCACAACACCCAAGCCCTTTCAAATATCTGGAAAACCTCCCCAAGAATGATGGATACAAACAAGTCCAGACAGTGAAGACTGCAAAAAATACTTAACTCTTCAATGCCCAGAAACTGAAGAGCATTTACTAGCATCAACACCATCCGTGAAAACACGACCTCACCAAATGAACTAAATAAGGCACCAGGGACCAATCCTGGAGATACAGAGATATGTGAACTTTCAGTCAGAGGATTGAAAATAGTTGTTTTGAGGAAATTCATAGAAATTCAAGATAACATAGAGAAGGAATTCATCAGATAAATTTAACAGATATTGAAATCATGAAAAAGAATCAGAAATTCTGGAGCTGAAAAATTCAATTGCCATACTGAAGAATGCATCAGAGTCTTTTAACAATAGAATCAATCAACCAGAAGAATTAGTTAGCTTAAAGATAGGCTGTTTGAAAATAGTCAGAGACCACCAAAAAAAAAAGGGATAAAAAATAATGAAGCACACCTACAGGATCTAGAAAATAGCCTCAAAAAGGTAAATCTAAGTTATTGGCCTTAAAAGAGGAAGTAGAGAAAGAGATAGGGGTAGAAATGTCATTCAAAAGGATAATAGAGAACTTCCTAAACCTAGAGAAAGTTATCAATATCCAAGTACAAGAAGTTTATAGAACACCACGCAGATTTAACCTAAACAAGACTACCTTAAGGCATTTAATAATCAAACTCTCAAAGATCAAGTATAAAGGATCCTAAAAGCAGCAAGAGAGAAAAACAAACAAAAACACCATGGAGCTCCAATATGTCTGGCAGCAAGACTTTTCAGTGGAAACCTTATAGGCAAGGAGAGAGTGGCATGACATATTTAAAGTGCTGAAGGAAAACACTTTTACCCTACAATAGTATATCTGGTGAAAATATACTTCAAACATGAACGAGAAATAAAGACTTTCCCAGACAAACAAAAATTGAAGGATTTTATCAACACCAGACCTGTCCTACTGTGTCCGGAATTGGTGGGTTCTTGGTCTCACTGACTTTAAGAATGAAGCCGCGGACCCTCGCGGTGAGTGTTGCAGTTCTTGAAGGCGGCGTGTCTGGAGTTTGTTCCTTCTGATGTTCAGATGTGTTCGGAGTTTCTTTCTTCTGGTGGGTTCGTGGTCTTGCCGGCTCAGGAGTGAAGCTGCAGACCTTCCCGGTGAGTGTTACAGCTCTTAAGGCAGCGCGTCTGGAGTTGTTCCTTCCTCCCGGTGGGCCCGTGGTCTCGCTGGCTCAGGAGTGAAGCTGCAGACCTTCGCTGTGAGTGTTAACAGCTCTTAAGGCAGCGCGTCTGGAGTTGTTCGTTCCTCCCGGTGGGCTCGCGGTCTCGCTGGCTTCAGGAATGAAGCTGCAGACCTTCGCAGAGAGTGTTACAGCTCATAAAGGCAGTGTGGACCCAAAAAGTGAGCAGTAGCAAGAGTTAGTGCAAAGAGCGAAAGAACAAGGCTACCACAGCGCAAAAGCGGACCGGAGCGGATTGCTGCTGCTGTCTCTGGCAGCCTGCTTTTATTATCTTATCTGGCCCCACCCACATCCTGTTGATTGGTAGAGCCGAGTGGTCTGTTTTGACAGGGTGCTGATTGGTGCGTTTACAATCCCTGAGCTAGACACAAAGGTTCTCCACCTCCCCACCAGATTAGCTAGATACAGAGTGTCCACACAAAGGCTCTCCAAGGCCCCACCAGAGTAACTAGATACAGAGTGTCGATTGGTGCACTCACAAACCCTGAGCTAGACACAGGGTGCTGATTGGTGTGTTTACAAACCTTGAGCTAGATACAGAGTGCCGATTGGTGTATTTACAGTCCCTGAGCTAGACATAAAAGTTCTCCACGTCCCCACCAGACTCAGGAGCCCAGCTGGCTTCACCCAGTGGATCCCACACCGGGGATGCAGGTGGAGCTACCTGCCAGTCCTGCGCCGTGGGCCCGCACTCCTCAGCCCTTGGGTGGTCGATGGGACTGGGCGCCGTGGAGCAGGGGGCAGCGCTCATCGGGGAGGCTCTGGCCGCACAGGAGCCCATGAAGCGGGTGGGAGGCTCAGGCATGGCAGGCTGCAGGTCCCGAACCCTGCGCCGCGGGAAGGCAGCTAAGGCCCGGTGAGAAATGGAGCGCAGCGCCGGTGGGCTGGCACTGCTGGGGGACCCAGTACACCCTCCGCAGCCGCTGGCCCGGGTGCTAAGCCCCTCATTGCCTGGGGCCAGCAGGGCCGGCCGGCTGCTCCGAGTGCGGGGCCGCCAAGCCCGAGCCCACGCCCACCCGGAACTCCAGCTGGCCCGCAAGCGCCGCGCGCAGCCCCGGTTCCCGCTCGCGCCTCTCCCTCCACACCTCCCTGCAAGCTGAGGGAGCCGGCTCTGGCCTTGGCCAGCCCAGAAAGGGGCTCCCACAGTGCAGCGGTGGGCTGAAGGGCTCCTCAAGTGCCGCCAAAGCGGGAGCCCAGGCAGAGGAGGTGCCCAGAGCGAGCTAGGGCTGTGAGGACTGCCAGCACGCTGTCACCTCTCACTGCCAGAAATGCTAAAGAGAGTACCTCAATCAGAAAGAAAAGGACATTAATGAGCAATAAGTAATCACCTGAAGGTACAGAACTCACTGGTAATAGTAAATACACAGAAAAACACAAACTATTGTAACTCTGTAACTGTGGTGTGTGACCTACTTTTATCCTAAATAGAAAGACTAAACAATGAACCAATCAAAAATAATAACAACTTTTCAAGACTTAGTACAATAAAATATAAACAGAAACAATGAAAAATTAAAAAGCAGGGTGATGAAGTTAAGGCATAGAGTTTTTGTCAGTTTTCTTTCTTTGTTTTTGTTCATTTGTTTGTTTATGCAGTGTTCATCTGTTATCAGGTTAAAATAATGGGTTATAAGATAGTATTTGCAAGCCTCATGGTAACCTCAAACCAAAAAACATACAATGGACACACACACACACACACAAAAGCAAGAAACTAAAGCATATCAAAAGATAAAAATCACTTTCACTAAAGGAAGACAAGAAAAAAAAAGAAGGAAGAGAAAACCACAACCAGAAAACAAGTAACAAAATGGCAAGAGTAAATCCTTACTTATCAATAATAACATTGAATGTAAACGGACTAAACTCTCCAATCAAAAGACATAAACTGGCTGAATGAATAAAAAACAAGACCCACTGATCCGTTGCCTATAAGAAAATGACTTCACCTATAAAAGCATACATAGGCTGAAAATAAAGGGATGAAAAAATATATTCCATGCCAATGGAAATCAAAAAAAAGCAGGAGTAGCTATACTTATATCAGACAAAATAGATTTTAACACAAAAACTATAAGAAGAGACAAAGGAGGTCACTATATAATGATCAAAAAGTCAGTTCAGCAAGAGGATATAACAGTTGCAATTATATGTGCAGCAAACACTGGAGCACCCAGATATAAAGCCAATATTATTAGAGCTAAAGAGAGAAATAGATACCAATAGTTAGAGACTTCAACACCCAACTTTCTGCATTGGACAGATCTTCCAGACAGAAAATTAACAAAGAAACATAGGACTTAATCTGTGCTATAGACCAAGTAGATCTAACAGATATTTATGGAATATGTCATCCAGTGGCTTTAGAATACACATCCTTTTCCTCAGCACATGGATCATTTTCAAGGATAGACCATATGTTAGGTCACAAAACAAGTCTTAAAACATTACAAAAAACTGAAATAATACCAAGCAGCCTCTCTGACCACAATGGAATAAAACTTGAAATCAACAACAAGAGGAAGTTTGGAAACTATACAAACACATGGAACTTGAACAGTATGCTCCTTAATGACCAGTGGGTCAGTGAAGAAATTAAGAAGAAAATTTAAAAATCCTTGAGACAAATGATATGGTAACACAACATACCACAATCTATGGGATACAGCAAAAGCAGTACTAAAAGGGAAGTTTATAGCTATAAGTGCCTACATCAAAATAGGGGAAACTTCAAATAAACAATCTAATGATGCATCCAGCTGGGAACGGTGGCTCACGTCTGTAATCCCAGCACTTTGGGAGGCCAAGGTGGGTGGATCACTTGAGGTCAGGAGTTCAAAACCAGCCTGGCCAACATGGTGAAACCCCATCTCTAGTAAAAATACAAAAAAATTAGCTGGGTATGGTGGTGGGTGCCTGTAATCCCAGTTACTCGGGAAGCTGAGGCACGAGATCACTTGAACCCAGGAGGTGGAGGTTGCAGTGAGCCAAGATTGTGCCACTGCACTCCAGCCAGGGCAACAGAGCAAGACTCCATTTCAAAAAACAAACAAACAAAATGCAGCTTAAAGAACTAGAAAAGCAAGAGTAAACCAAACCCAAAATTAGTAGAAAAAAAGAAATAATAAAGATCAGAGCAGAAATAAATGAAATTGAAATGAAAAAACAATATAAAAGATTGATAAAACAAAATGTTGGTTTTTTTGAAAAGTTAAACGAAATTGACAAACCAATAGTCAGACTAAGAAAATAGAGAGAAGATCCAAGTAAATAAAATCAGAAATGAAAAAAGAGGCATTACAACTGATACTGCAGAAATACAAAGGATCATTAATGGCTGCTATGAGCAACTATATGCCAATAAATTGGAAAATCTACAAGAAATGGACAAATTCCTAGACACATACAATCTACCAAGATTGAACCAGGAAGAAATCCAAAACCTGAAGAGACCAATAACAAGTAATGAGATCAAAGCAATAATAAAAAGTCTCCAGGTAAAGGAAAGCCTTGGACCCTATGGCTTAACTGCTGAATTCTACTAAACATTTAAAGAAGAACTAATACCAATCCTACTCAAACTATTCCAAAAAACAGAAGAGGAGGGACTACTTCCAAACTCATTGACTATTATAGAAGTTCAGTATTACCCCGATACCAAAACCAAACAAAGATACATTTAAAAAAAAAAGAAAAGAAAAGAAAAGGAAATTACAAGCCAACATCCTTTTGTGTGCTTGCTCTGGGTGATGGTGATTTCCACGGTCTCTGTTTTGTAGTTGCGAGTTTGGCTTTGCCTTGTTTTAAAACAAGCATAACGTTTATTATAATTGATCACTGTCTTGTTTACTTGTTTACTGTTTGTCTTCCTACTAAGGGAAAGACACACTCCTTGAAAATGGAACCATGGTCCATCCTATTTATTGTTAAATCTGCAGCACCTTATATAGAATAGGCATGGGTTAGGTAAGTATTAAAACAACGAATAAATGACATGGCAAAACCCCATCTGTTTTGGTTTTTTTTTAAATTTTTTTCTCGAGACGGAGTCTTGCTCTGTCATCCACGCCGGAGTGCAATGGCGTGACCTCGGCTCACTGCAACCTCCGCCTCCTGGGTTCAAGCGATTCTCCTGCCTCAGCCTCCTGATTTGCTGGGATTACAGGCACATGCCACCATGCCTGGCTAATTTTTTGTATTTTTAGTAGAGATGGGGTTTCACCATGTTGGCCAGGCTGGTCTCTAACTCCTGACCTCAGGTGATCTGCCCACCTTGGCCTCCCAAAGTGCTGGGATTACAGGCATGAGCCACTGCACCCGGCCACAAAACCCCATATCTACAAGAAATACAAAAATTAGCTGGGCATGATGGTGAATGCCTGTAGTCCCAACTACTCAGGAGGCTGAGGTTGGAGGATTGCTTGAGGCTGGGAGGAGGAGGTCACAGTGAACTGTGATTATGCCACTGCACTTCAGCCTGGGTGACAGTGAGACCCTGTCTCAAAAAATAAAAATAAAATAAAATAATAAATGCATAAGTGCAACAGGGGAGGGGAAATTATTTTCAACTTGAGAAAAAGTCTTTTGGGCATCAGAAGAGAGAGATATTTCATCTGATATTCAGAGGAAGAGAGAAGCTCCCAGTGCTGATTTTACAGCAGCACAAAGAGGTGGTGTGGGGAGTACCTTGGCCCCCATGAGCTTCATAAGCAATCTGTGCAGTCATCCCAAACAAACGTGCAATCAAAGTCCAGTGCTGGTGCTTGCTCTGCAAAAGCAGCTTCAGGACGCGATTTTGTTAATGCCAGTCCCATTCTTTCTGTTACTCATATCAAAAATATTGGAGTCTTCCTTGATTCCTCTCTCTTTTATACCCCACCTCAAGTTCATCAGCAGATCCTCTTGGCTTTATCTTTAAAAGTATCCAGAATTCAGTCACTTTTCACCATCTCTTTCACTACCACCCTGGTTTAAGCCACTACAGACCGACACCTGGGTCACTGCAACACCCTCCTGGATTATTGTAATAGCCTCCTAATTGATATCCCTTGCACCCCTTCAATCTGCTCGCAAAAAAAAAAAAAAAAATGGCCAGAGACATCCTGTCAAAATGTTTAAGTCATGTCATTTCTCTGCTCAGAACCCTCCATGATTTCTCATCTCTCTTAAAGTAAAATCCAAAGTTGTTACAATAGCCTACAAGATCCTGCCCACCCACTCCATCCCGCTTTCATTACCTCTTTAACCACATCTCTGGTGTGACCATGTAATTATCATCCAAACCAGGATATCTCTTTTTATTTTATTTTATTTTTTTTTTGAGATGGAATTTTGTTCTTGTCACCCAGGCTGGAGTGCAATGGTGCGATCTCCGCTCACTGCAACCTCCACCTCCCAGGTTCAAGTGATTCTCCTGCCTCAGCCTCCCAAGTAGCTGGAACTATAGGTACATGCTACCAAGCTCGGCTAATGTTTATATTTTTAGTAGAGATGGGGTTTTACCATGTTGGCCACGCTGGTCTCTAACTCCTGACCTCAGGTGATCTGCCCACCTCGGCCTCCCAAATTGCTGGGATTTTAGGTGTGAGCCACTGAGCGTGGCCTATTTTATTTCATTTTTAGGGTGGTTTCCCAGGCTGGCCTCAATCGATCTTCCCATTTCAGCCTCCCGAGTAGTTGGGTCTACAAGTGTGCACCACCTCGCTCAGCTGCAGGATACTTTTAATAATGAAGGGAGGCACCATTAGTAATTATGCCAGGGCAATAGGCACAAACCAGGCGAATCCATTCTCCTCTGTGTGCTCCCAGATAGCCATATGACCTCATTGCCATTCCTAAAACACCCCAGGCACTCTCCTGCCTCAGGACCTTTGCACTTCTTGCCCCTCTGCTAGGAGTTTCTTACCCAAGACCTACATGAGTTGTGTTCCCTCATCTTGTTCAGCCCTTTGCCCAAATGTCACTTTCTAGGTGAGGCCCTCTCTGATCACCCAATCTAAAATTGCGACCCTCCCCCTAGCTGAAACTCTCCATTACCCTTGCCTGGATTTTCTCTATACCGCTTTTTACTAACAGATACTTGATATATTTGTTTCGTTTATTGTCTGTCTCCCCCAGCCCCTCCAGATTGTAAATTCCATGAGAACAGAGATTGTAGTAAGTTTTCTACCCTAATATATTCCCAGCATGGAGAACAGTTTCTAGCATATATTAGATGCTCAATAAATATTTTCTGAACAAATGATTTTTTTTAAACATGACCTGCACTCCCTTCCAAATCACTGGCAGGCCATACGCCTCCTGTATAGAAATTCTGAGCAGGTGGCATTTGAACTGGGCCTTACAAGCCACTCTTCACCCCAAACAGGGAACATGGTAGCTGGATTATGTTCTGTTGGGCCACATCTGCATCCCAGGATTCTGCTGCAGCTCATTGGCTGGGCAGCCTCCATTGTGAGGTAGCTCTGGTTTTTTCCTTGCCAAAGACAGACAAGCACTGAGCCTGGCCCCACGTCCAGGCACCAGGACCTCCAATCCAATGGTGTCTTCTTCCTCCCAGTCACACTGTTCACTTTGCCCTACAGCAGCAAGGGCTAAACTAGGAGAGGCCAAAAGCCCAGGCAAGTCCTGGTTGGGCAAGCAATTGCGAGTGAAACTGAGGACCATCCTGACTGAGATGGGTCTTTCATAAGTCCCCCAAGAGCCAGGTGAGGCATCATCAACATCAGCCTCTCCTGCCACCACCGCTTCCCTGATTCATGCACTTCAGGCTTCAGCCAGCAGCACGCATCCTTGGGGTTAGGAGCCAGCATCTCAGGTCAGCAGCCATGGTTTCTCTGGAGAAAGACCCATCAGAGGCTCATTCAGAGCCTTAACCCTGAGCCTCTGCCACCTACCCACCGTGTTGAAGATGTCATTGCTTGGAAGGGACTACAACAGTGAGCTGAACTCCTTGGACAACGGACCTCAGTCACCCTCAGAGAGCAGCAGTAGCATTACTTCAGAGAATGTCCATCCTGCTGGAGAAGCTGGACTATCGTAAGTGGCCGCACCGCCCTTCCAGGCCTGAGGTCAAGCACTGCTGTTTTTGCAACTCTGGACTATGTCTTCCTTCATCTATCTCCTTAACACGCTTATTCCATTAACACGATATGCGTGGATAAAAGATGAAACCTTCAGAATCTAAGGAGGTCAATCCCTGTGGCTCTGGCTACTAGCCCTGTTTCCCAGTTTTTACGAAGAACCCAGCTAGAGCAGCCACCCTCAACATGAGCAGCTTGTCTCCAGGAACAGTTTCCTATCTCAGGCTGTCTGCCCTTTCCTTCCTCCCTTTCTTTCTTCCACAGTCTCTGGCTGCCTTCTTCTCCTCACACATCTGCCATTATTCTCTCTGCCTCTTCTCCCCAACCCCCCATGCCATCCATCCAGAAAACAAAAGGTGCTAACCCCATGTCTCCACCTTTACTGCCCCAAACTCAGACACATGGAACTCTTCTCTCTTTTTTTTTAATTAAATTAAATTTAATTTAATTTTAAGTTCCAGGATACATGTACAGGACATGCGGGTTTGTTACATAGGTAAACGTGTGTCATAGTGGTTTTGCTGTACCTATCAACCCATCACCTAGGTATTAAGCCCCATATACCTTAGCTATTTATCCTGATGCTCTCCCATCCCCTGCCCCCCACCCCCAACCAGCCCCAGTGTTTGTCTTGTTCTCCTCCCTGTGTCCATGTGTTCTCATTGTTCAGCTCCCACTTACAAGTGAGAACATGCAGTGTTTGGTTTTCTGTTCCTTTGTTAGTTTGCGGAGTATACTGGCTTCCGGCTCCATCCATGTCCCTGCAAAGGACATGATTTCAACAGAACTCTTCTTCTAGGACTTACTGTCAATCACACTGCTATCTGGTAATCATCAGATCGGTAACAACTGTGGGCACAAAGAGATTATCGATGACAATCCCCAGTGTTGATAAGGATATCAGGAAATGCCCTCTCTCATCTTTTGGGAAGAATTAAATTGGTATCTTTCTAGATGGCAATGTTACAGGTCAAATCGTAAAATGTCATTTGTATAAAACATACAAATATTTATTTGGCAAATGCTGTCTGAAAGTATACAACTCGTGCACACACACAAAACTGACAGCAGTGGTTGCCTCTGGGGAAGAGAATTTGGAGGCTGAGAGAAAAGAGATTTATATTTGTTTCATAAGGATTTGGATTATTGCGTTTTATCTTTTGAATTTTGTACTGTAAGTATTACAATCTAGTTCTTTAAAGTATAATGAAATATAAATAAATATACCCTTTGATTAATAATACCCCTCTAGGAATTTTTTCTGATGAAATAATAGCACAAGAGTGCATAATTTTTATCAAAGCACTTGTTATAATGTAACCACTCAATGGGTTCACCTTGCCCACTGCCTAGACAGAGACGATTTATCAAGACAGGGGAATTGCAATGGAGAAAGAGTAATTCATGCAGAATCTGCTGTGCAAGAGACTGGAGGTTTTTTTTTTTTTTTTTTAGACGGAGTCTTGCTCTATCGCCCAGGCTGGAGTGCAGTGGCGCGATCTCAGCTCACTGCAAGCTCGAGACCGGAGTTTTATTATCACTCAAATCGGTCTCCCTGAGCATTCGGGAATTAGAGTTTTTAAAGATAATTTGGTGGGTAGGAGCTTGGGAAGTGGGGAGTGCTGATTGATCAGGTTGGAGATGGAATCACAGGGGCTCGAAGTGAGTTTTTCTTGCTGTTTTCTGTTCTTGGGAGGGATGGCAGAACTGGTTGAGCCAGATGACCGGTCTGGGTGGTTTCAGATGGTCCATCAGAGTGCAGGGTCTGCAAAATAACTCAAGCACTGATCTTAGGTTTTACAATGTGATGTTATCCCCAGGAACAATGTGGGGAGGTTTAGACTCCTGGAGCCAGAGGCTGCATGACCCCTAAACTGTAATTTCCAATCTTATAGCTAATTTGTTAGTCCTGCAAAGGCAGAATGGTCCCCAGGCAAAAAGGGGGTCTTTTTGGGAAAGGGGTGATACCAATAGTCAAACCATGAAATGAATTCCTTCCCAAAGTTAGCTCAGCCTATGTCCAGGAATAAACAAGGACATCTTAAAGGTTAGAAGCAAGATGGAGTTGGTTAGGTCTGATTTCTTTCGCTGTCTTAATTTCCTCAGTTATAATTTTGCAAAGGCAGTTTCAATAATATTGAAAACTTGGAAACATTAAGAGAAAGGTTAACACATGAAACAAACATACAGTAGAATATGATACAGTCATTACAAGTGATGGAGGAAATGTATGGACATGGAAAGTGTGTAGCACATTTATTCATACAGAAAATTAGTTGAGGATCCAGCATGCATAGCGGTTCTCTTTATGTAAAATTCGGTGCATTTAGAGCAAATAAAGATGCCCAGAGGAGGGCTAATTATAATGTGTGGTTATTTTCCATTGGTGGGATTTTGGAATTTCCTTTTATAATAGCAATTGTATAGTTTTCGAGAAAAAATATAAACCCAATTTTTTAAATCTCAGGGGAGCTTGCAACATCTATTTATGCTTCAAGGTCCAGATGGGTAAATGCTGTCAGCTAAGGCACAGTGGTTCCTCCGAAAACTTGTCTCACCTTTCCCACAATATCTGATTCAAATAGGGGCAAGACATCGATGCTGTCATGGGAAAGAAGTGAGAGACAAAGGAAAAAAGAGCAGAGGGTGGGAAATGGGACCACATCTTTTGGAGAAATTACTACTTAAGAATTGACAAATTACAGTTATCAAGAAATAAAGGTTATCTCTTGGAAGTAAAGGGACAATGGGTGCCCACCCCCCCATCCTTAGGTGAATAGACTGCCCTAACAGAAGTTAGGTCAATAGACTTCACTCAATAGACTGAAGTCACAGAAGTCCCCAACAGTTCATCTGTTCTCTCAACCCAACCCTCTCTCAGGTCAGCATTGAAATGCAAAGACCTGGTTGGTTACAGCTTCTTCCTAGCCCCTTGCCATGACTCTCTAATGGATAAGACAAAGAGATGTGAGCACTGTCTCTGCTGGACTCACTTGGGCAGTTGGTTTTGGCTCTCCTGGCCACCTGCAGACAATTTAAGTGTGGCAAGAGGGCATTCTCTGTCTTAGCCTGAGACTTCGTCTGTATCTCCCAATGGCATCTTCAAGGTACCCTTTTGTTCTTGGGTGGAGGGGGCACTTCTACTTGCTTAAACCAGCCCATGCTTGCCTTTTTCCTATCATCCCAATTCTTCTTCCTCTTGAAGGATGCGCTTTCTAACAAATGAGCACCATGAAGGCCAAACCAAAGGTGGCAGTGAGGATGATGATGATGATGAGACAATGATATGACGATGATGATGCTCACATCTGTGAAGCACTTCATGATTCCATGATTCATCATGTTGTTACCTCTTTTGAGTCTTACAGCTTCCCTGGGACATAGGCAAAACTAGAATTTTCTCCCTTTTTTGGCAGTGAAACAGGATCAAAGCAGCTAATGGCTTCCCAAAGTAGTAACCAAACACAGTAGGTTAGCGGCAGAGCTGGAACTCAGAATTAAGTGCTCCCATCTCTGGGTTCAATGCTTACGCATGTACTTTTTATTTAAGTTCCTTTTTGATTCTGTTCTCATGATCCTGTTCCCACCTTTCCCACCCAATCCACATCAGGATTGGAGCTGCCTGGGCAGGAGCTGCCAGCACAGGTGTGAAGAATATTTAGAACCCTAGGCCCTAGCACCCTGCTGGGACCATCATAAGTACTCTATATGCACAGTAACAATTGCTATTAAATTATTAAATTTTACCCAGTGCATAATGTCGATATATAGCAATTCATATATATATAATATATATATATATATATATATCACCATGCTCATCTGACTCTACTTTGCCACAATTCTCCCCACAGTCCTCCCCACTCCCTAGCATCACATGCAGCTCATTTCATATATATATATATATATATATATATAGAGAGAGAGAGAGAGAGAGAGAGAGAGAGAGAGAGAGAGCGCACAAGCAATTCATATTCACAATGAATATTGGTTGAACAAATGGATGAAGGAGTAAACTAAAACCAGTAAATATCCCATATATGGTAGATTTTTGTTTCTAGTGAGTGAGTTAATAAATAACCTGATGTCTCACTGTAGACTGAGGCAACTATTACTAATTTTTCCATTGTCTATCTAACTGATAGACATGTATTAGGTCACAATAAATGTTATTTGAGAGAATAACTCATGAAAGAAATCACTGGATGAATTAATGAACCAACCAGTACTAGAGTGTTATCCAGAATGGTAGCAATTTTTATTTCCTTTAGAGCCTAGTGTGTATTAAAGATTTGTTGAGTCACTTGAACTAGCACCATCCCCAGATCAGATGTTCCAGGACAGACCCCTAGAACTGAGAGTTGTCTCCAAGTCCACCTCATCAGGTTTTGCCCCTCTTCCTATCAGGCGCTCTGGAGATGCCAGAAGGAGGCTGAGTTTCTGGCCATGCTTCCCTTCCACTAACAGTACCCTCTGTCTCCCTACTCTCCCCACCACAGGATGATGCAAACTTTGATCCACTTGTTGAAATGCAACATTGGCACAGGGCTCCTGGGGCTTCCCCTGGCCATAAAGAATGCCGGCTTGTTGGTAAGAGGCATCTGTGGGATGGGAACTAGGTTTGCTCATTTGCAGAAGGGGGTGATAGGTCCTGAAGGCCTTCACACTGTTATCAATGGGCAATTTGGGGGTACCCTCTGCAATTGAAAATGTGCCTGTTGGCATCAATCCCCTGGAGTCAACCTGGGTCCAACCTGAGCATCCCTGAAGGGGGCACACCATTACTCTTAAAGACTCACCATGCTCATCTGACTCTACTTTGCCACAATTCTCCCCGCAGTCCTCCCCACTCCTAGGATCACATGCAGCTCATTTCGTCATTTGCATTAACAGCCCAATCCCTGCAGGCATTTGAGTGTGTGACTCCTGTTCCAAACCACTTGAGGGCGCATGAGAAAGTGTCTTGGACATGAAGATAGACGCCTCCATCAATCCCACCAATCCACTCTCCCCACACCAGCCTACCTCTTTCTCTTTTCCTGTGCTGTTCCTGCCCCCTCATTTCTGTCTTTTTAAAGTGCCTCCTCTCTAAAACTTTACACTTTCTTATGATCACTAATGCCATCCTCACTTTGTATTTTTCTACCATTTATATCTACCTTACCTGGGATTCTTAAAGCACTTACGAAGATAAGATATTTATTTATTTATTATTATTTATTGAGACAGAGTCTCGCTCTGTCGCCCAGGCTGGAGTGCAGTGGCACAATCTTGGCTCACTGCAACCTCCGCCTCCCGGGTTCAAGCGATTCTCCTGCCTCAGCCTCCCGAGTTGCTGGGATTACAGGTGTGAGCCACCACGCCCAGCTAATTTTTGTATTCTTTGTAGAGAGGTTTTCATCATGTTGGCCAGGCAGGTCTCAAACTCCTGACCTCAGGTGACTGGCCCATCTCGGCCTCGCAAGGTGCTGGGATGACAGGTGTGAGCCACCTCGTCCGGTCGACATATTTATTTTCTAACAGACCCACCTTCCTCATTTAATTGAAAGCTCTGTGGGCAAGAACTGTCTGATTTCCCTTTGCACGTCCCCACGGTAGCCTCTGTAGGGACTGGCACACAGCAAGTTTCCATTAACATCTACTGAATGGAATAGATACCAAATATATAATTCCATTTCCTTGGAGTGAATCTTTTCTTATCTCCAGGCCTGGTAAGTGGCTTCTATGTCTAAAGAAGGCGAGACCCTTGCTGCCTCTGTCATGACTTCTGATCTTCAGTGGTTCCAACCCAGAGACTGGACTCTCCCCTTTGGAATCCTCTGGGTTCTAGAGCTTCTACAAAAAAACATGGTCTTCAGCCAAACTATCTTTGCCAGGGTGGTATTTGTTTTTAAGACAATGCTTTTATTCTTTGATATTTGCTTCCTCAGAGTCATTAGATGATTTCTTTACCTTTCATCTCCCACCAGAACCTCTGGCCATGATTCATTTGAGAAATATTTATTGAGCACCTATCTACCCTGTGCATTTGTAGCCCCTGGGAATATAGAAGCAAACAAGACACGAGAGTCTCTGCTGCATGAAGCCTGCATTCCAGTGGAGTCTAGTGGTGCTCTTGATCCCTCATTTATGTCTTTGTGATAGGTCACATCTATAAAGACACAAGTGTTCAGAACAAAGGATGTGAGAGGGTCCCCGTTTATACCCTTCTGATCACCTCTGGAAGATATAATTAGTAATCAGCCCCACTTTTTAAAAGGAATTTGACAAATTAGACACACTACAGTAGTGATCCCCAACTTGGGATCATTTTGCACCAGCTCCTGCTACCCTAGCCAAAGACCTTTACAATCTCTACAGACATTTTTGGTTGCCACAATCTGGGGGAAGAGTCTCTGACACCTAGTGGGTAGAGGCTCGGGAAAGCTGCTAAACATCCTATAATGCAAAAGACAGCTCCTGATAACAAATAATTATCTGCCCCAAAATGTCAATAGGGCACCTGTTGATAAACTCTGTACTAGAGGAAGAGAACTGAGTCATAAGAACACCTTGGCCCTCAATCATCTTGGAGGAAGTGAGGGCCAGGGTGTGTCAGACAAAATAAATTTACCACAAGGGACTCTAAACTGGTAGAACTCAAGGAAAATGAGAAAATGCATGGGCTATGTGGGAAGGTAATGAGCTCTCTGTCACTGGAAGTATCCTAGCAGAAGTTGGGCAGCCACTCTACAGGGATGCTAAGAAGAGCATTCAAATTCTAGCATCTGGGAGCATGAGGACATTCAGGCTGGGTCTGTCACCCCAAAGACAGTTTTATTATGCAACAGGCCCCAGCACGCAGACTGTGAGAGGGCCAGGGAATGGGAGTGATCATTTCTGGCTCACTTCCCCCTTTCTCCTCTCCCCTCCAGGTCGGTCCTGTCAGCCTTCTGGCCATCGGGGTCCTCACCGTGCACTGCATGGTCATCCTGTTGAACTGTGCTCAACACCTCAGCCAGAGGTCAGAGGCCTGCTTCTCTCTCATTCCAGCACTGGGGCCCCTCTGAGGGTGTGTTGCTCTTCTTTTGACCACTGACCCAATTAATTCGGCCACTGCTCCAGGCCACCTTCCTACCAATCTGGATTCTATGAAGGCAAGGAGAGCATGACAGAGAGTCCCAGTTAGAGACTCTAGGCACAGATCCAACGCTGCTGCTAACAAGCTGGATGACTGTCAAATTCCTGCATCCCCCTGAGCCCAGATCTCCTTAACTGAAAGCATCGAAAGTGATAAAAGATGCAAAAGCACTATATAAATTACTCTATTTATTTGAGACAGAGACTTTCTTCTCTTCCTTTTAGCCTCTCCATCCCCAACCTTCTCCCACTCCAATACCCACACCTTGTCAGGGTAATTTGGTCCATGCAATGTTAGTAAAAGTAAAAAGCATACTTACTGAAAAGAAGTCTTCACAATGATTTCAGTCATTATCAAAGCATACTTATAATAATCAATGTTTATGTATTTGAAACTTTAATGCAAAAACAATTTCAGAAAGAAAAGACAAATGCAGTAAAAACAAAGAATGCAGAGATCCACAGCGCTCAGCTACTCCCAAGGCATGCAAAACCAAATAGGTCCTCGTAAATGTGAAGAAAGGTCTCAAAAGTCAAAGTAGGGACGGTAAACAAAACTCTCCATAAAGCCTAATTATCATAACCCAAATAGGTGTACCTGGAGTACATATCAGTCACACCTAACTCTCAGAGCACTTTCCTGCTCACAAAACGCTTTTAAGAGCATTTACTCATTCCGTAGTTAAATGTATTGTGCAATTACACTGCGGTTATCGTGCCAAGAGCCTTGCAAGCCTTGTTTACTCCTCACAGTAAGTCTATGATAGGCACTATTTTTATTCCCATTTTACAGATGAGTAAACTGAGGTTTAAATGCCTTGCCCAGGGTCATATAGCTGGGAAGTGGCAGAGCCAGTATTCAAAGACCTACTGTGACTCCACTGTTAACCATTTTGCAAATCTTCTCTTCCCTCAAGCCTTCTGGGATCATTATATCACCAGATAAGCTTCTGACATCAGGCCATTTCTGAAAGCCTTTCTCTGATTTTTTTTTTTTCTCTGATGACTTGTCTTTTATTTTTTCTAATATAGAGGTTGCAGAGTGATGGCCTGAGAGTTGGCTATGGCCTTCAGTTATGTTTTGGGGGACTTCACAGTTTTATTTTTTAGTCAATGTTTAAACCCTGGAGATTTCGGCCGGGTGCAGTGGCTCACACCTATAATCCCAGCAATTCAGGAGGCCGAGGCAGGCAGACCACCTGAGGTCAGGAGTTCGAGACCAGCCTGACCAACATACAGAAACCCCATCTCTACTAAAAATACAAAATTAGCCAGGCGTGGTGGTGCATGCCTGTAATCCCAGCTACTCGGGAGGCTGAGGCAGGAGAATCGCTTGAACCCGGGAGGCGGAGGTTTTGGTGAGCCGAGATCGCACCCTTGCACTCCAGCCTGGGCAACTAGAGTGAAAACTCTGTCTCAAAAAAAAAAAAAATTCACATTCACAAAATGTGAATTGGAGATTTCACATTCACATTCACAAAACAAAAAAATCTCTGCCTTCTTAATCAGTTAGACAACCGACTGCTTCTGAGCCTTCATTTTTTAGATGTGCTTCTAGAGGCAACTCCTGAGCAATCCCTTTTACAATGGGATGTGTTATTCTGGTTTGCCACAGTCTCCAATGTTCCCTACTGTCTCTTATACTCAGCCCCTGTCACCCACCAGATCACCAGTACCTGTCTGATCCCATAGCTTCTGAATTTGCAACCCTCAGATTCATATCCTTGCCAGTTCTATGCAAGGTGACTTCATTTGTATTGAAAATGCCTATCACGGTGAGCAGTAACAAAAATGTCATGTTCCAGCACATCTCTATATCCGTCTCTCACTGTCTCTTCCCCCAAAATCCAGACTGCATGTGAAGAAAACTGGGGCCCAGAGATCTCAAGAGACTGGCTCTACATGTCTGGCTACCTGAGGGTCATGTTGGGATTTAAACTCTGGTATCTGAAGAAGGCTGGAGCCCTTCCTCTCTCCCACCTGTTCCCCTCAGTCCTGCAATTTATGCCGTGCTTCCAGGATCTGGGCAACCTGCTGCTGTTTCCACTTGCTCCAGCCAAAGGTGTTTCTGCAGCAGGGCCTGCTCCACCCTTAAAAGGGTTGAGAAAGAGGGACATGGCAAGAGGAATAGGCTGGAACTTGGGCATCACATCCTACAGGGGGCTGGGCAGGATCCCGAGTATCACCTTTGTGAGGGGTCTGGCCCAGGCCAGGATCTCGAGTGTTCTGACACCATCAGCAATGGGAAGGAGGGAATCACTGGCCTGGCCACACCCACACCACCTCTTCCCCTCCCTCCTCCTCTCCCCCTCCATATCCCCTTTCCTGCTTTGCAGATCTACGTCAATGCACAGCTACCGCTTACTCAAGAAGAATAAATCCAATGATAGTCAGTTAAATATTTGTGCTTAAAGGGATAATTGCAAAAAAAGAAAAAAAGGCAAACTCCTGAAAGTTGTTAAAGTATAAAGTAGATCACTGGGAGAAAATTGACAGAAGGCTTCATGCTCACACACAAATACATAAAAATCACTCACTTTGGGAGAAAACTGTACCTTTAACAAAAATGTTTTAAATTATGCATTGTTTGTTCTTTCCCCCTAGACTGCAGAAGACTTTTGTGAACTATGGAGAGGCCACGATGTACGGCCTTGAAACCTGCCCGAACACCTGGCTGAGGGCCCATGCAGTGTGGGGAAGGTAGTAGTCACAGATGTTGTAGTAGTAACAACAAAAATCATCATATCACTTTTCTTTATTTCTACTTACACAGGTTTTAAATGAATATGCTCTTATTGTAAACTATCAAACAATAGAGAGAATCACCTCGATAACCCCATCCCCCATCTCACTCTGTACCCATAAGGTAATCATTGAAACCTAGTTAGTAAATATTCCTTTAGACTTTTTTTCTCTACATGTACATCAATATATGTGTGTGAATGGAAGTACATAATTTGCTTTCTATTTTCTTATACATTACTTAGGATAATTTCTGAAAATTTGATTTTTCATCTAACAATATATCCCTATTTTTTCATGTTGGAACATATAAATGAACCTCATTTTTGGGGGGGGAGGGACAGAGTTTCACTCTTGTTGCTCAGGCTGGAGTGCAATGGCGTGACCTCAGCTCACTGCAACCTCCGCCTCCTGGGTTCAAGCAGCTCTCCTTCCTCAGCCTCCTGAGTAGCTGGGATTACAGGCGCCCACCACCACGCCTGGTTAATTTTTGTGTTTTTAGTAGAGACAGGGTTTCACCATGTTGGCCAGGCTGGCCCTGAACTCCTGACCTCAGATGACCCGCCTGCCTCGGCCTCCCAAAGTGCTGGGATTATAGGTGTGAACCACCTCGCCCAGCCTACCTCATTATTTTTTAAGGCTCACAGTGTTCCCTAGTGTGGATGTATATCCGTTTCATTTGCTTATTCCCCTAAGGTGAACATTCAGGTTGTTCCCTGCCTTGATAAAAAGTTAACGGTGTACAAAATGGTTTTCTCTGTCTTAGTTCCTCTGTTCCTCTCAACAGCCTTGTGAGGTAGGCAGGGTGGGTTTTTATTGCCCTGGAAATATGAGGCTTATAAAGATAAAATAACATATCCAAAGGCATGGACATTGATATGGGTGGAGCAGAGATTTGACCAAGAACCTAACATTGGAGCCTTCCCCAGCAAAGTCCCTCAGGAGGTAGTGAGTCAAATTGTGGCTGCTAAGATTCCTTTGCAGCTCCTCTCTTGGGATTCTCAGTAGGTCATTGATCTCCTGATCAGGAGCCACTCTAATGATTAGATGAGGTCATGAGAAAGAGTTAGAAACATTTAAAAAATATTTAAAGTAATAATTTGTCATCTTTAATTTACTGAGAGATACCTGAGGAGCTTGATTAAAAACTGCCCATTCCTTGGCCATGTGTGGTGGCTCACGCCTGTAATCCCAGCACTTTGGGAGGCTGAGGTGGGTGGATCACCTGAGGTCAGGAGTTTGAGACCAGCCTGACCAACATGGCGTAACCCTGTCTCTACTAAAAATATGAAAATTAGCCAGGCTTGGTGGTGGGTGCCTGTAATCCCAGCTACTCAGGAGACTGAGGCAGGAGAATCGCTTGAACTCAGGAGGCAGAGGTTGCAGTGAGCCGAGATCGCACCATTGCACTCCAGCCTGGGTGACAGAGTGAGACTCCATCTCAAAACAAACAAACAAACAAACAAAAGCTGCCCATTCCATGGAGGCAATGGTCATTAATGGATGCTCAAGCTGTTAGAGGAATGGTCACTGGGAAGCTTTATAAAGGGAGAATGCACTGATGCTACCTGACCCCATGTACTCATCTTAGCATCTCATATTTATATACATGACAGCTAGCTATGTGTGTCTCATAATAGCCCACAGTAGGGAGTACAGAGTAGTACCACCTCTGATATTTCAAAAATAAATTTGAAACCTCCATTTATTCAAGCCACTAGATCTAATATCCATTTATAGGAAGCACGGGGGATAGAGGAACAAGATAAATAGCATCATGAGGAAGTCACCAACCAAATAGAAAAAATAGGATATACTACAGGACAAATGATCTGGTATCTTCAGCAGCAAACAAAAAATTAAAAGTTGCAAGGAAAAAATAAACAGGGCAAGGGGAATGTAGCAGTTTAAAAAACTTAAGAGACTTAACAAAATACAATGTGTAGACTTGTTTGGAAACCAACTGTAAGACAGATATTTTTGAGAGAATTGGAGAAATCTGAATATGGACTGAATATTAGATGGTATAAAGAAATTATTGGCCAAGCACAATGGCTCATGCCTGTAATCCCAACACCTTGAGAGGTCAAGGTGGGAGGATCTCTTGAGACCAGGTGTCAAGACAGCCTAGGCAAAATGGTGGGACCCCATCTCCACAAAAATTTTTTTTAAATAGCCAGGCCTGGTAGCACACACCTGTGGATCCAGCTACTCAGGAGGCTGAGGTGGGAGGATCACTTGAGCCCAGGAGGTTGAGGCTGCAGTGAGCCATGACTGCACCACTACACTCTAGCCTGGGAAACAGAGCGAGAATCTGTCTCAAAAAAAAAAAAAGAAATTATTGTTAATTTTGTAAGACATGATGATGGTATGATGATTATACTTTTTAAAGTTATTATCTATTACAGCTACATACTGAATTATTATTATTATTATTATTATTTTGAGACAGAGTCTGGAGTGCAGTGGCGCGATCTCGGCTCACTGCAAGCTCCACCTCCCGGGTTCATGCCATTCTCCTGCCTCAGCCTCCTGAGTAGCTGGGACTACAGGCGCCCGCCACCATGCCCGGCTAATTTTTTGTATTTTTAGTAGAGATGGGGTTTCACCGTGTTAGCCAGGATGGTCTCGATCTCCTGACCTCGTGATCCGCCCGCCTCGGCCTTGCAAAGTGGTGGGATTACAGGCGTGAGCCACTGCACCCGGCCCATACTGAATTATTTACAGGTGAAATAACTTGGGGTCTCTGGTTTGCTACAAATACACCGACAAATTCAGTATGTGTGTGATGGGGCTGAAGAGATAGAGAACAAGTGGCAAAAAGTTCATTGTTGAAGCTGGGATGAGCACATGTGAATTCATGAAATTATTCTCGTTAAATTCTCGTTATATTCATTAAATTATTCATTGCTTTTGTATATGTTTGAAAATCTTCCTAAGATAGACAGAAAAAGATATTATTCTGAAGTCACATGTGACACTGCCAAGATTCTGACTCAATAGGATGATATGAGAACCAGGAGCCTGTATTTTTAACATAGGCCTCAACCAACAAATTGGTTGATACTACAAGCCAATTTTGAAAAGCCCTTATCTAAACATTATAATCTAAGTAAAGGAACATATTTTTGTTCTTTTAGAAAAATGCATCTCCAAATTTGGAATAATTTAAGAACCCAAAAGAATAATGGCAATAACAGAGTATAAGATATTAAATTTAGAAATAATTAACATGTGTCTGTTGTGATGCCAAAAAAAAGAGGAGAAAACAATATATCTCTCTTAAAAACCAGCTAATAAATTTAGAAGAAATGATACATAGACTTAGAAAACCACCACCTTGCAACCACCAATGATTCAAGCAAGGAACATCAGTGAGTGGTAAAACCATTGGTTTGAGGAACAGGATAATCATGCCATCTCAAAGTTTTACCCCACAGATTACAAAGGGAAAATGTACATTTCCAATAGGAGATCTGGCAGTCACCAACAAAGCAAAACAACAGGATATCATGTGCCTCCCAATATGATGAAATAGAGGTACAAAACTATCACCTCTGTAGTATTCTTGCTAAAAGTGCTCCCCTGAATTTAATCACGAGGAAGCAATCATACAAGCCCGCAATGTGGGGCGTTCTATAAGACAATTGGCCTATACTCTTCAAACAAAGCCAGTGTGATGAAAACACACTGAGACTCTGTCTCAAAAAATAAAATAAAATAAAATAATTCAGTGTGTAGCTCTAACAGATAATAACTTTAAAAAGTATAATCATCATACCATCATCATCTCTTACAAAATTAATAATAATTTCTTTTTTTTTTTGAGGCAGATTCTCACTCTGTTTCTCAGGCTAGAGTGTAGTGGTGTGATCATGGCTCACTGCAGCCTCAACCTCCTGGGCTCAAGTGATCCTCCCACTTGGCTAGAGATGTAGCCAAATGCAATATACAAACCTTCATTAGATCCTGAATTAAAAAATAAAATAACTACAAAAGGTACTTTAGAGAGAATTGGGATAATACTAACTCATTTTTATGTAAGAGACTTGAGCATCTGCAGATTTTGAATTTGTAAGGGGTCTTGGATACCAATGAATGAGTGTATTTAAAATAGAAACTGTATATATGTATAAAATAGAAACTGTATATATGTATATATATGAAGATATTGAAGTTGATTTTCTGGCTATTGCAGTCTTAAGAATTTAGGGTTTAAGTATTAGGATACCTACAATTGACTTTTTCTTTTTTTTTTTTTTGAGATGGAATTTGGCTCTGTCACCCAGGCTGGAGTGCAGTGGCAAGATCTCAGCTCACTGCAACCCCCACCTTCAGGGTTCAAGCAATTCTCCTGCCCAAGCCTCCCGAGTAGCTGGGATTTACAGGTGCCTGCCACCACACCTGGCTAATTTTTGTATTTTTAGTAGAGACGGGGTTTCACCATGTTAGTCAGGTTGGTCTTGAACTCCTGACCTCAACGATCCACCTGCCTTGGCCTTCCAAAGTGACCTGCAATTGACTTTCAAATGATTCTGAAAAAAATTGCGTGTGTATGTGTGTGTGTGTATAGACGAATATTCATTCGTCTATATATACATATATATTATATATATATGTAATGCAATTTGGGGCCAAAAATTAACAACTGGTATATTTAGTTAAAGGGTACATGGATGTTAATTATACTATTCTTTCAACTTTTTGGCTTAAAAATTTTTCAAAATAAAAGAAAGTAGGGAAATTTTTAAAAATAATAACAAAAATAATTGTTTCAAATAGTAAACATTCTTAAGAAATAATTTTAGCTTTTGTTTCCTCCCTCTGTCTGCCTCTTCCTTTCCTTCCCAGGTACACTGTCAGCTTCTTATTAGTCATCACCCAGCTGGGCTTCTGCAGTGTTTATTTTATGTTTATGGCAGACAATTTACAACAGGTAAAGAGCCCTCTTCTGGGCAGAGTGGGGGAAAAGCAGACCTCCTGCTGCTGAGGCTACATTAGCAAAAGTATTGTGTTAGGCTCATGGGAGGAGAGAACTTCATTTCTACTCCTAGATCAGACCACGCTTGGGAGCTCTCTCAGTCCTGGGAATCACATTTTGAAAGGATAGACGAGCTAAAGTAACTTCTGAAGAGTTTAGCCAGGGTAGAAAGAGAGGCCTGCAATCATGTCCAGTCAGAAATCAATGATAATTGTTAGCCTGAAAAACACTGGTGACATTTACTTTGAGTATCTCAAGGTTGTCATGTAGAAGATGTCTAACTATACAAGGACAACAAGCTGCCACCTTCCCCTCATTGCATTCCTATCAGACATTACAAATCAACCACAGCCTTCTTTCTTGGCTTTGTGGATTAGAGGGAGCATCCTTGTTTTTGCGCACCCAAACAGCCAGAAAGAACTGTGACAAGTATTGTAGACGGAATATTCAAGCAGATGGATACTGACCAATATTTAGAGCTTCCCAGATTTTAGGGCTATCTAAATTTGAAGAGGATATTCTTGTGTGATGAATTCCCTTTCTCTGGATGTATGAAAGAAACTCATTTTGTGGAGAAGAAAAGGTTTGAGTAGATAACAACCTCAAAGCCTTGAGATTTTATGATTCTAAGGGTTTCTGGTTGTCACAATCATGGGCCCGACAGGGTTGCCCAATTTGGCAAATAATAATATATGATACCCAGTTATGATAGAATTTCAGATAAGTAGTGATTTTGTTTTACTATGAGCGTGTCTTATGCAATATTTGGGGCATATTTATACTAAAAAGTTACATTAATTACCTGAAATTCAAATGTAATTGGTGTCCTGTGTTTTACGTAGCAACCACACTGCCTGTCATTGTGCTTTATGTCAGATGGTGGAAAAAGCCCACGTGACCTCCAACATCTGCCAGCCCAGGGAGATTCTGACGCTGACCCCCATCCTGGACATTCGTTTCTACATGCTGATAATCCTGCCCTTCCTGATCCTGTTGGTGTTTATCCAGAACCTCAAGGTGCTGTCCGTCTTCTCGACATTGGCCAACATCACCACCCTTGGGAGCATGGCTCTGATCTTTGAGTATATCATGGAGGTCTGTGCCATAGGGAAGAAAGGATCAGGGTCCTGGGTCTCTGAAACACCTGGGGAGGAGGGTTTGTTATCATGATGGGCAGGTGAAGCTGAGGAAGGTGATCCTCTGCTCTGAGCAGCCCCTGCCAACATGACATCTAGGAACACTTCTGTCCCACAAGTTGTAAAAGCTAATTATTATCATCATCATTGTCATCAACATCCTCATCATCATCATCATCGTCACATTGGATAATAATGGGTCATTCAACAAATAATTACTGAATACCTTCTGCAATCCAGGCATTGTGCAAGGGGCCAGGGACTCAGTGGTCAGCAAAAATAAATAGGGTGCCTGCTCTCATGGAAGCTGCATTTACTTGGAGAGATAAACATCAATCAAATCACCAAAAAAATTGTAAAAGTGGTAGATGGACAAAAGAAATACAGATGATAAAGGAATTTTATTTACTTGGTGCCAAATTATTTACATACATTAACTTATTGAACCTTCGCAATACTATTTTGGAAGTAAAGCTGGCACTCTGTATCCATGATTTCCACATCCATGGATCTGAACAATCACAAATGGAAACTATTGGGAGAAAAAAACACTAAAAATATACAACAATAAAAAATCATACAAGTTAAGAAACAACTAGGTCTAACAACTATTGGCCAGGCACAGTGGCTCACACCTGTAATCCCAGCACTTGAGGAGGCTGAGGTGGGAGGGTTGCTTAAGCCCAGGAGTTCAAGACCAGCTGGACAACATAGCAAAATCCTGCCTCTACAAAAAATTTAAAAATTAGTGGGGCATGATGGCTTGCACCTGTAGTCCTAGCTACCTGGGAAGCTGAGGTGGATGGATCACCTGAGCCCATGAGGTCAAGGCTACAGTAAGCTATGATCACACCACTGCATTCCAGCCTGGGTGACAGAGCAAGACCGTCTCAAAAAAACATAAGCATGGGTTATATGCAAATACTATACCATTTTATATCAAGGACTTGAGCATTTGCAGATTTGGTATCCACGGGAGGTCCTGGAACATTAGTTCTCCCATGGAGACCAAGGAACAACTATAGTATCTTTATCTGCAATTTACAGACAAGGAAATTGATAAAGTAATTCTTTCATGAATTTCAGACTGCCTCCCATGTCCATGCTCCATTATCACAGACCACGAAATCCCACCATTATACTTTCATTTTCTTGAGTGAAAGTCTCTGGGGTTGTATTCATTTCATATTGCTGCTGTGATAAATTACCACAAATCTAGTGGCTTGAAAAAACACAAATTTATTTTCCAGTGCTTGAGTCTCGCTAGGTTGAACTTAATGTGCGGCAGAGCAGCATTCCTTTCTGGATTCCAGGGGAGAATCTGTTCTCTTGTCTTCTCCAGCTTTGTAGAGGCTGTCTGTGTGCCTTGGCTCAGGCCGCCTTCCATCTTCAAAGCTAGCAGCCTCAAGCCAAGTCTTTCTCATGTTGCCTTCCCTCTGATCTTCCCCTTCTGACTCCCTCTTCCACTTTTAAGGATGCTTGTCCCACCCGAATAATCCAGGATCATCTCCTTGTTTTAGGGTCAGCTGATTGGAAACCTTAATCCCATCTAAAAACTTAATTCTCCCTCGCCATGTAACATAACATACTCTCATCTTTTGGGGATTAGGATGTGAACATCTTTGGGGAACCATTATTCTACCCACCATAGAAATCTATTAACATAATCATTCCCCCTAGATTCATGAGAGCTGCTATACTAACTAGTGGACTGCACAGCCCTGAAAGAAGTGTGGGAGAGACATGTTAGAGGGCTGGGAAACAGGAGACCTGAATTCTTATCTGGGCTGTGCCACTAACTTGCATAGTGACCTTGGGCAATTCCCCTCTCCTCTGTGTTCCACTTTCTCCACATGTAGAGATGAGCGGGCTCCCAGTAGCCAAAGGGTGGGATAATCCAAGAGTCCAAGTAAGTGATGAAAGGATGAACACGATTTGGTGTCTATATATAGAGTGGAATATTATTCAGCCTTAAAAAGTGAGGAGACAGTGACACATACCACAATGTGGATGAAACTTGAGGACGCTAAAGCTAAATGAAATAAGCCAGGCACAGAAACAATACATATGATAGGATTCCACTTACATGAGGTACCTAGAATAGTCCAATTCATAGAGACAGATAGTAGAGCAGGGGGTGCCAGGAGGCTGGGTAGTGGGGCGTTATTATTTGATAGATAAAGAGTTTCCATTTGGGGTGATGAAAATGTTCTGGAGATGGATAGGGGTGATGGATACACAACAACGTGAATGTTCTTCATATTACTGAACTGTGCACTTAAAATAGTTAAAATGGTAAAATGTTATGTGTATTTTAGCACAATATAAATGAATAAATCATCATATTTAAAAGATTAGAAGGCTGACTGAGGTCTAGGTATCTTCTGATTTTCTCTGTTGAGATCAGGTGTGACCCAGCTTTCTACCAGGCAAAGATTTGGGATGACTTCGACACCATAACAACACCAATGTGCTTCTCCCACTTTCTTTTAGGGGATTCCATATCCCAGCAACCTACCCTTGATGGCAAACTGGAAGACCTTCTTGCTGTTCTTTGGTACAGCCATCTTCACATTTGAAGGCGTCGGTATGGTAAGATTGATGGGGTTCACGCGAATGGTCCCTAGCGCCCTCTACAGTGGCCAACTGTAGTTGCAGATGTCTGAATAAATAGTATTTATGAAAAGGTGCAGACTCTGATCTTCTCCTGGTGAAGGGAAAGTCTGTACCCACATACAGGGTCCCTACTGCTCTAATATACCACGCTAAGCATTGAAGACTGAGAATTTACTAATCAACCAAGACTAAGTAGGGCATTCCTGACAATAGAAAGCATGAGAGAAAATGAAAGGAGTGTGGCCATGTGGAGAGTCCCCTTTCTGATACTGGGCCCACCTGGGGAAGGACATTTGTGCTTGTACGGGAACCCTCTCCTTCACAATGGGCCACATCTCTTTCTACCTTTTCTTTCCCAACTTTTTTTTTTCCCTCCAGGTTCTGCCTCTCAAAAACCAGATGAAGCATCCACAGCAGTTTTCTTTTGTTCTGTACTTGGGGATGTCCATTGTCATCATCCTCTATATCTTACTGGGGACACTGGGCTACATGAAGTTTGGGTCAGACACCCAGGCCAGCATCACCCTCAACTTGCCCAATTGCTGGTATGTCCTGCCCACCTCAGGTGAGATAGGGAGAGACACTGGAACTGTTCTGGTTGTCATAGCAGAGAGCACAGCAAAGCTGAGCCATGAAGCTGGTAATCCATCACTGGAAGTGACATATGTCTCTCCTGCTCACACTGCATCAGTCAAAGCAAGCCACATGGCCGCACCTCACTCCAAGGGGGCAGGGAAGTGCAATTCTGCCATGTGCCTGGAAGTATTTGGTGAACAGCACAAATAACTGCTGTGCTACCTGATGCAGTGACCGTGGGGATTAATTGGATTAATACATAGATAATGCTTAGAAAAGTGCTTAGCACGTGGTAAGCATTCATGAGCGTTAGCTATTATCATTGTTATGCATCCCCACAGCCTTCATTTTTCCAAGGTGAGTAGGATGATGGTGCATTTATTTCCCACAAATCCAGAGCTGTAGAATGAGAAAAATGTAACCATCCCCACCCACCTTGCTGTGTTATGATAATGACTAGATGAGACAATAAATGTGGAGTTTCTTTGAAGTTGTGCCTTATTTTACTCAAGATATCATCCTAATATGCTGTTCTTGTTCTGGGCAATTTGGGCTGTCACTAGCTGCCTTGGACAGGGCACTTTCCTTCCTGGGACCTCAGCTAGAAAACATGGGTGTTGAGCTCCATCAGGACTTCACACCTGCTGGTGTGAACCTCACTAGTCATCAGGTTCTCCAGGAAAGCCTTAAACAAATATCCCTTCCCAATAAGAAAAAGACCAACCACCCAATGAGAAATGGGCAAAGGGCAGAACAGGTATTTCACAGGCAAATAAAAAAAAATGGCCAGATGGCCAGATAAAGAGATGCTCAGAAAGATAGTAGAAGGCCAGGGGCAGTGGCTCATGCCTGTAATCCCAGCTCTTTGGGAGGCTGAGGCGGGTGGATCACCTGAGGTCAGGAGTTCGAGACCAGCCTGGCCAACATGGCAAAACCCCATCTCTGCTAAAAAATATCAAAATTAGCTGGGCGTGGTGGTGTGAGCCTGTAATCCCAGCTACTCAGGAGGCTGAGGCAGAAGAATTGCTTGAGCCTGTGAGGCAGAGGTTGCAGTGAGCCGAGATCACGCCATTGCATTCCAGCCTAGGTGACAAAAGCGAGACTCAGTCTCAAAAAAAAAAAAAAAGAAAGAAAGAAAGAAAGATAATAGAAATGTGAGTTAAAAAATAAATACAAGGGCAAAGATGCATGCATCGACACACTGTTTAGGCAAGGACATGGGAAAGCAGGTCTTTTTATACACTAGGACAGCAAATGGGCAATATGTCAACAGCTATTAAAATTTTAAATCATGTAGACTTTTACCCAGCATTTTAACTTCTAAGTTTTTATATTATATGTGCATTAATATATGTACAAGGATAGTCTGTGCAGTATTGTTTACTTGGGAAAAGTCTAAGCCCAATCTAAATATTCATTAATTGGTGACTGATTTTTAAAATGATTGCATATCCATGCAATTGACATATCAACCAGCTATTAAATAGAAGAGCCAGATCTATGTGTACTGGCAGGGAACAATCTTTAAGACATACTGGGTGAGACAGCCAGGCGTGGTGGCTCATGCCTATAATCCCGGCACTTTGGGAGGCCGAGGAGGGCGTATCACCTGAGGTTGGGAGTTCGCGACCAGCCAGACCAACATAGAGAAACCCCGTCTCTACTAAAAATATAAAATTAGCTGGACATGGTGGTGCATGCCTGTAATCCCAGCTACTCGGGAGGCTGAGGCAAGAGAATTGCTTGAATCCAGGAGGCGGAAGTTGTGGTGAGCTGAGATCGTACCGTTGCATCGCTTCTCAGCCTTTTGGCTAAGATCAAGTGAGATCATACCATTGCACTCCAGCCTGGGCAATAAAAGCGAAACTCCGTCTCAAAAAAAAAAAAAAAAAAAAAAAAAACAAAGAAAAAGAAAAGAAATATTGGGTAAATAAAAGAGGAGTCTACATGTGTATGTGCATATGTGTATGCATGTGTGTGTGTGGATATGCATGTATGTTCCTACATTCTGTATGAGCATGTACAAACACCAATCATTTCTAGAAGGGCCACAAGAAAACTCTGAATGGTTGCCTATGGAAAGGGAAACTAGAAGCTAGGAATCAAGGGTGGGAAGAATGCTTTTCACTGTATGACTTTTGTACCATGAATTTTACTCTATGCATATATTGTCTTTTTTGTTTGTTTGTTTGAGATGGAGTCTCACTCTGTTGCCCAGGCTGGAGTGAGTGCAGTGGTGCAATTTCGGCTCACTGCAACCTCCACCTCCTGGGTTCAAGCAATTCTCCTGTCTCAGCCTCCCGAGTAGCTGGGACTACAGGTGCATGCCACCACGCCCAGCTAATTTTTGTATTTTTATTAGAGACGAGCTTTCACCATATTGGTCAGGCTGGTGTCGAACTCCTGACCTCAGGTGATCCACTCGCCTCGGCCTCTCAAACTGCTGCGATTACAAGCGTGAGCCACCACGCCCGGCTATTGTCTTTTAAAAAATTAAAAAAGAAGAGGCATACATTCCTGAGCTGCAGGCCTACTGACTCAGAATCTTCAGCAATAAGCACTTTTAATAAGCTTCCCGGATGGCCCTGATGTCCAATCTGGCCTGAATCATCTAACATTAGCCAGTTCTATAATTCAGTGAAAAGTACAGATTGAGTAACCCTTATCCAAAATGCTTGGGACCAGAAGTGTTTTGGATTTTGAAGCATTTCAGATTTTGTTTTGGATTAGGGATACTCAACCCATACCAGCTTCTGAGCAGTAAGTGAGTCCTCAATGGCCCTTCCGGGGAGCCACATCACCTTTCACATCCAATTCATGTGTCTGCAGGTTGTACCAGTCAGTCAAGCTGATGTACTCTATCGGCATCTTCTTCACCTATGCCCTCCAGTTCCACGTCCCAGCTGAGATCATCATCCCGTTTGCCATCTCCCAAGTGTCAGAGAGCTGGGCACTGTTTGTAGACCTGTCTGTCCGCTCAGCCTTGGTCTGTCTAACCTGTGAGTAGCATAAAAGGGCACTCTTTACCCAAAGCTATGACAGGGAGCCACGCTGGCGCCCACCCCACCATCATTGGATCTGCCACTTGCCTTCTTTGTGACCTAGGGTGGGATATTTCACCTCCCTGGACCTCAATTTTTCCACGTGAAAAAAAAGGGCTTAACAGAATTACCACACAGTAAATGTTATAGTCGTCTCTACTGCCTACACATAGAAAATAGATGCTGGCTGGTTTGTAGAAGAAGTATCATTCATTCAATCCTATATGTCAGGCACCGTACTGACATTATCCAATACTGATGATAGCCTAACAATGTATTACCATTAGAGGGAACTGTGGCCCAGATAAATTAAGTAACACACCTGAGTCATACACACTAAGTGACAAAGCTGGGATTTGAACACAGATTGTGTAACAACTGTTTTTCATGGTGCCATATTTCTTCTTATCATAAATTATGAACAAGTCCTGTATCATAAAGTGAGATTTAACTGTAGGGAAAAATCCCAGTGGGACTGATTTGTCAGTCTTGGAGATTATTTATTTATTTATTTATTTGAGACAGAGTCTCGCTCTGTTGCCCAGACTGGAGTGCAGTGGTGCTATCTCGGCTCACTGCAACCTCTGCCTCCCAGGTTCAAGAGATTCTCCTGCCTCAGCCTCCTGAGTAGCTGGGATTACAGGCACCTGCCACCATGCCCGGCTAATTTTTGTATTTTTAGTAGAGACGGGGTTTCATCACGTTTGCCAGCTGGTCTCAAAATCCTGATCTCAAGTGATCTGCCTGCCTCAGCCTCCCAAAGTGCTGGGATTACAGATGTGAACCATGCACCCAGCCAGAGATCATTTTTTGGCTGTACTCTTCTCTCTTCCCTCCCTTCCTTTCTTCCTGTTCCTTTCAATTCATTCATTCACTCACTCATGAGCACTGTTGTAGTGTTTGGGAAACCTCATGAACAGGGCTGGGGAATTCTTTCTTTGGAACATGTCTAGACGGAGGATCACAAACGATGACCCATGAGGAATGAGCAAAACAACAAGGGATGTTTTGCCTGGAGAAGCAAAGTCTCAGGAAATTTCCACATTTATCCTTAAACACCTGTGGGATTATTGTAAAAGTGAAGGGAGAAATTTAGTCTTCAAGGCTCCAGGAGTCAGAATTTAAAGTCATTGAAGGAATCAAGTTTCCGTACGGGGTCAGGAGAAACTATGCAATGCTTGGAGCTGTGCAGCAGAACATACTATCAGATAATAAGCTTTAAATGGCAGGCGTTCTATGAGCAGAAACAGCAAAATCCTACTTGGTTTGAGGTGTTAGAGTTCCCAGTCTGTGCTGAGACATCAGGAAGCTGTAAATAGTATTGTTTGTGATCATTCCTACTAGGAAGGGTGTAAGTTGACAAGAAAGACTGAGGAGCCTCTGAGTATCAGGGAATGCATGACTAGAGACAGTTGACCTTATAATGACATGTCCTGCTTTTGATATATGCTGAAAGTCCCATTCTTCATCCATTATTCATCCATCAATTCTATTACCCTTTACCCTTTATTCATTCAACAATCATTTGTTGAGCACCTACTACATACCTGGCATTGTGCTAGACACAAGGGATACAATGATGAATAATGAAGAAGATGTAGCTTCTGCCTTCACAGGACCTACAGTTGAGTGGCAAATATATGCAAGGAAATAATTACAGTGCATTGCAATGATTGTTAAGATGGGACATGATAATGCACCATATGATGGTTAAGATCGTAAGTAGAAGACACACTCTACACATAAGGGGGTCCTATAACTCAGCCTGGCCGAGCCAGGGAGTCCTCTCCAGTGGAGTGACACTTCAGTGAAGACCTAAATAAGTAGCAAATAGACGGAGGAGTGAAGAATGTACCACGGGAAGGGAACAGACTGTGCACAGACCTGAGGCAAGTATTGCCTATGGCCCCTTTGGAGAAGTGGAGAGTGCTGAGAGATGAGGTCAGAGCTTTGTCAGGGCCAAGTCCTAAGGGTCATTGTGCTGAGGAGTTTGGGCCATGCAGAGCCATGGAAAGGCACTGAGCAGAGGACTGGCATGACCAGAATGGAGCGTAAGGCCTTTCTCCATTCCACCTTGAATTATAGCTTTTCTTGCATGTATCTTCTCTGCCTCCTCGTTGTGAGCTTTCCTGGAAGACTGATGCTGAGTTTTCTCTATAAGCGGCTTATTAAACATTGGATGAAGGAAAGCTGTGGACAGGGACCTCCCATCGAAGGAGAATGCACTCCTAGCCATGAGAGTCTATGAGTCTCTCTTATGCTTGGACTGGATGTGTCAGAGCAATTTCAGAAAGAGGTGATTTTTTTAAAGATCCAGCAAGCTTGTATGGATGCTTTCCAGAACAGGCTTTCTCTATTTTGTTCATAGGAAAATCATATGATTGGAATATTTTAAGTAATGGATATCCCAAGTACACTGATTTGATCTTTACTAATTATATAAACATATTGAATTATCACATGTACCCCCAAACTACATACACATAGTATACATCAATGTAATAATTGTTTTAAAATAATAAATTTGCATAAAATTAAATCATATAAATTATATATTTACTCATTCAAACATTATTGAAATTGGACTCCCTTGGAAAATCTGTGATACTATATGCTCATCATGTGTATAAGAGATGGAATTTTAGGAGTGTGAAGAGAAGAGAAGGATGGGGGTTGGATAGCTTAATGCTGTCTTTGTGTTTTATGGCCTGCTTCATTACTAAGATCCTATTAAGAATAGAAAAATAAGTGGCTGATATTCGGACAGCAGCAGAAGCATCTCCCATTTTTTTATCCATCCTTGCTTCTAGACAAAGGCTATATTATATAGATACTACAAATGTTGGTTCTGAGCCTGGGCAAGAGTCAAGCACTTATTGAGCATCTACTGTGTATCAAGTTCTTTCTTACACATGAGAGGCAGCATAGTAGAGTGAAAAGGACCTTAGATGGGGCATCCCAGTGAATTCTCATCTCAGCTCTGTGTGACCTTGAACAAGTCCTGTTCCTTCTAGAGCTCTAGATTTCCCCATCTCTACAGTGGGGAGGTTATTAACAGGTAAGTGGTAGAAGAGCCCTTCCAATAAAGATTATATGTAAAAAAAAATCCAGTAGATAAAATATAAAAGGAGAGCATCTATATTACTAGTTAAGACAGGGGTGGGAGTTGCCTGACCTCCCCAAGCCTGCAGTAGGCTCCCTCCCACCTCTCCAAAGTGGTCTCTCAGGTGTCTGTGAAATTCTAGGGCTCCAAAGCAATGGCTTGTTTCTGAGCACATTCAGTGATTCTAAATATCTCCTTTCATTGCAGGTGTCTCAGCCATCCTCATCCCCCGCCTGGACTTGGTCATCTCCCTGGTAGGCTCCGTGAGCAGCAGCGCCCTGGCTCTCATCATCCCAGCCCTCCTGGAGATCGTCATCTTTTACTCTGAGGACATGAGCTGTGTCACCATTGCCAAGGACATCATGATTAGCATCGTGGGCCTTTTAGGGTGTATATTTGGGACATACCAAGCCCTCTATGAGTTGCCCCAACCCATCAGCCATTCCATGGCCAACTCCACAGGTGTCCATGCATAATTATCTGTTTTTATTCTAATAGCTCTCCCTTCCTCCCATCCCCAGTTTGACTTCCATGTGGATGTTATATACCTTCATCAAATCCCAACATCTCTATATTAATTAGTGGCGTCTTTATCTTTCCAAGAGAAATGCAGATGAGAAAAGTTAGCACTGATGTCTCTCAGGCTACACCTCTTTTGGTTTTATATTTTTTGGATGGCCTTTTGTACCTCTGAACCAAAATTAGATTCAACTATTCATATTATCAGCCTCATTTTATGGAAAAGGGATGCCACTTACCCCAATAGCCCTTGAAACAGAGACCAAGCATAAATACAAAAGTAACTGTTTTCTCTACACTGCAGTAGCTGCCCTTAAAGCATCAGATTTAGAAAAGTGTATGTTGGGCGAAGGGAGTTTTCTATTTAGATATTCTAAGTAGAAGAGTCATAGACAGAACAAAAACAGAACTCAGCAGTAATTTTGTCCAACCACTGGCTCCGCCACTGATTTCCTACTGGCCCTCAGGCAAGTTCCTCCCCATCTCTCAGTCTATGAAGTGAACAGTTGGACTAACTGATTATTAAGGACTCTGTCAACTCTGATATTCTGAAAGTGAATAAAAGAAATTAACTTATCCACCAACCACAAAAACTGGCCATGCTAGTGTTGGTGAGGAGGTGGAGTAACTGAAACTCCATACCCTGCTATGTGGATAGAAAGTAGTACAATCAGTTTGATAAACATCTTGTAGTTTCTTTAAAACTTAAACATATACCTACCATATGATCCAACTATTCCACTCCAGAAAAAAGAAATATATATCCATAAAAAGACTTGTACAAAAATATTCATGGTAACTTTACTTATAAAAGCAAAGAAGTTGGAAATACTCTAAATGTCTATAAACAAGAGAATGGATAAATAAATTGTGATGTAGCCATACAATGGAATATTCCTCAGCAAGGAACAGAAACAAACTGTTGAAATACACAATAAAATGTATGAATCTTAAAATAAATATGCTGAATGACAAAATCCAGACCAAAAAAAGAATACAAACTGGATGATTCTATTTATATAAAAGCCTGGAAAATGAAAACTAATCTGTAGTGACAGAGAACAGCTCAGTGGTTGGTGCAAGATGAGATGGGTGAGAGGGAGGTGTTACAAAGGAGCATGAGGAAATTTTTGGAAGGGATGGATAACATGTTCACTGTCTTGATTGTGAAGATGGTTTCACAAGAGGGTACATATGTCAAAACTTATCAATTGGATACTTCAAATATGTGGCATTTATTATATGTCAATTATACCTCAATAAAGCTGTTAAAAATAGAATATGAAACATGATTCCATTTTTATTTTTTAAATCAGTTACACACATACAGTCAAATAATTTTGAATACTCAGCACATTGTCATAGGAATTTTTCACCAAGTGGGTTGAATTATGAGTAAAATCTTACACTTTTTATTTTATGTATTTATATATTTTTAAAAATAGAGACAGGGTCTCACTATGCTGCCCAGGCTGATCTCAAGCCCCTGGGCTCAAGCGATCCACCTGCCTCGGATTCCCAAAGTGCTGGGATTACAGGTGTGAGCCACTGTGCCCAGCCAAAATTTTATACTTTTTCTTTTGCTTGCCTATGTTGTTGCATTTTTAAAAAAAATAATGCACTGATTTCATAACTAAAGAAAATTCATTTTAAGGGGGAAAGTATTAATGATGATTTGTTTCACTCTAGAAGAAATGCCACCTTTAAAAAGCTTTTTATTTAAACACCAATGAAAGTATAACTCTACAGTATAATTAATATTTGTAGAGAGTATCAATTTTCAACTTCACCTTCTATTAGATGATTGATATTATGGCCTGAATAACAGGCATTTCAGCTGGAGTTAGCAGCATTCCCCCTCTGTAATGTATCGTCCATTTACCAATGGTCAGATGCCAAACAACAGCCTCTCAGAGGAGATGTGAAGTAGCTGTGTTATCATGAAGGAGAGGTAGGGAAGAATATCCTACCGCTAGATAGAAAGCTATCAGCCCATAAAAAGTTTCTGCTCTTTTGGGATCCAGACCATGAACTTGGAGAAGGAAAGGCTTTGAGGAACATATGGAAACCTTACTATAGAATATGGAGCAATTAAACGGAGGTAAGGCAGCTGTTTATGATTTTTGGGGACTTATGCAGCTCACTGACATTCTAATAGAAGCTGTGGCTCCTCCTTCTATAAAATTCACATATATGCATAAGTTTTGCATGCAGTTTCTGAAACTATCACAAACCTCATGAAGTGAATAGACCCTGGGTTGCAAAAGAACCTCTGGAAAAAAAAAAAAGGAATGTAAGGATTTCTGCTTCTCATACATGAAATGATCTGCAGATGATAGATAGCCAACCCTGGAACAAAGGTCTGGATGCAGAATAGAGCAATATACAAAAATCAGATGAGGGAGGTAAGCTATCAGATAAGAGATCACCATGTAACTGGTATAGAAAACACTTTCTGATGGCAGTCAGCACTGATAGGACCCAAACTGGTCATTCCAGTTGTGCAACACAGGCTGAATTCTCTGCTGCCACATGCTTCTTTGGCAAAAACTGGGACTTATGAGTTGAAACAGAGAGATCTAGAAGGATACAAAGAATGTGGGAAGGTCCCCCAGGACCTTCAGAATCATTTGCCACTGTACTTCTCTACTGGACAAATATGATTTATCTTGACATGACTGAGCTGGACAATGGTTGGGGCATAAAGGGAAATGATATATAAAATCAATCAGTTTAAGAAGAAGCTGAATTCAGATCTTCAACAAGGCCATTGGAGGCCAGGCACAGTGGCTCACGCCTGTAATCCCAGTGCTTTGGGAGGCTGAGGTGGGTGGATCACCTGAGGTCAGGAGTTTGAGACCAGCCTGGCCAACATGGTGAAACACCATCTCTACTAAAAATACAAAAATTAGCCAGGTGTGGTGGCAGGCACCTGTAGTCCCAGATACTCGGGAGGCTGAAGCAGGAGAATTGTTTGAACACAGGAGGCAGAGGGTGCAGTGAGCCAAGATCATGCCATTGTACTCCAGCCTAGGCAACAAGAGTGAGACTCCATCTCAAAAAAAAACAGAAAACAAGGCCATTGGAAAAAAAAAAGAAATGGGAGAGTTGAGATTGCTAAGGAACACAAACTGAGATTGCTAAGCACGTAAGCCCTACAAGTGTGGGGCTAGAGAAGTCACCCACGTGAAGGTGAAGCCTTAAGAGATAGCTACAAAGTGATATAAGTCAGTGCACAAGTGCAGTGGTTTATAAGCCACAGTGCCCTGGGAATGGAACTGACAGGCAGCAATCTAAGGATCTATAAGACTTGTTATCCGCCAAGTCCAGGTTGTGCCTGTCTCAAACCCACAAAGGAGCTCCTTAAGCAATTCCCAGATCTGAGTTCAAAAGGGAAGAAAAAGGGGGTGGGGAGCAGAACACCTCCCTGGCATGCCAACCCCAATTGCAAGTGAAATTTATTTGGCAAGATAGACTCTCTCAAGGGAAAATTCTCAGGTGGATTCAAACTTAGGAAGTTGGCTTCCTGGTCAGGGAGACATGGGTGAACCAAAAGACTTCTCCCGGGAGGCCGAGGCGGGCGGATCATGAGGTCAGGAGGTCGAGACCACGGTGAAACCCCGTCTCTACTAAAAACACAAAAAGTTAGCCAGGCATGGTGGTGGGCACCTGTAGTCCCAGCTACTCGGGAGGCTGAGAGGAGAATGGTGTGAACCCGGGAGGCAGAGCTTGCAGTGAGCCGAGATCACTCCAGTGCTCTCCAGCCTGGGTGACAGAGTGAGACTCCATCGCAAAAAAAAAAAAAAAAAAGAAAAAAGAAAGGCTTCTCCCCACCTCTCCAGCTTCTTCTTGCCCCAATTACACCTTTTCCTTCCAGCCACACCAACCAGCCTTTGTCCAGTTCCGCAAATGCACCATGCTTCCCATTGCTGCTGGGCCTCCATCTACGCTCTTCTCCCATCTCTTCACCTGCTTAATTCCTCCTCATTTTCCAGATCTCAGCTATCACTTCCTCAGGAAAACCCTTTCTGACCTCAGCCACTAACCCAGATTCTGCATAAATGTTCACTCCCTTCTCCTGTACTGCAGTTACATGATGGCAGGTTTGTGTTGGTTAATACTGAGTGTCAACTTGATTGGATACAAAGTATTGATCCTGGGTGTGTCTGTGAGGATGTTGCCAAAGGAGATTAACATTTGAGTCAGTGGGCTGGGAAAGGCAGACCCACTATTAACCTGGATGGGCACAATCTAATCAGCTGCCAGCACGGCTAGAATATAAGCAAGCAGAAAAATGTGAAAAGAGAGACTGGCCTAGCCTCCCAGCCTACATCTTTCTCCCGTGCTGAATGCTTCCTACCCTCGAACATTGGACTCCAAGGTCTTCAGTTTTAGAACTTGGGCTGGCTCTCCTTGCTCTTCAGCCTGCAGATGGCCTATTGTGGGACCTTGTGATCAAGTGAGTTAATACTTAATAAACTCCCCTTTGTATATATTTCTATTAGTTCCATTAGTTCTGTCCCTGTACAGAACCCTAATACAAGGTTCATATCTTTTTTTCTCAAAATGAAAACTTCTGCAAACTATTTTTAAAACTTTTTATTTTGAAAAAAGTTAGACTTTCAAAGGGTGGCAAAAATAATAGTTTCCATGTACCCTTCACCCAGCTCTTACTAATGTTAACATCTTACATAACCACAGTACAATTATCAAAACCAAATAATTGACATTGATGAAATCTTATTTCTGGTCCTTTTTCTAATCCAACATCTAAATCGGTATCTCACAATGCAGTTAGTTATCATATTTCTTTACTCTCTTCCAGTCCATGACTGTTCCTCAGTCTTTCCTTATTGTTCACGGCCTTGGCACTTTCAAAACGTACTGGCCAGTTATTTTGTAGAGTGTCTCTCAGTTTGGGCTTGTCTGATCTTTTCTCCTGATTGCACTGAGATTGCACATTTCTGACAACACCACAGAAGTGACAATTGTGCCCTTCTCAGTGCATCATATTGGAAGGTACATGGTATCAGTATGTCTTATTAGTGGTGATGTTAACTTGATCACTGGGTTAAGGTGGTTTCTGTCAGGCTTATTCACTATAATGACTGTTTTTCCCTTTGTAATTAGTATCTTGTGAAGGGATCTTAAAACCATGCAAAATCGTGTTTCCCATCATACTTCTGTTCACTAATTCGGCATTCATAGGTGTTTCTTGTCTGCAACAACTATTCCTATGGTGTTTGCCTAATGGTGTTTTTTTGTTTGTGGGTTTGAGATGGAGTCTCACTCTGTCACCCAGGCTAGAGGGCAGTGGCACAGTCCCAGATCACTGCAACCTCCACCTCCCAGTTCAAGCGATTCTCCTGCCTCAGCCTCCGGAGTAGCTGGGATTACAGGCACGTGCCACCACGCCTGGCTAACTTTGTGTATTTTTAGTAGAGACAGGGTTTCATCATGTTGGCCAGGCTGGTCTTGAACTCCTGACCCCAGATGATCCACCCGCCTTGGCCTCCCAAAGTGCTGGGACTACAGGCGTGAGCCACTGCACCCAGCCATTTTTTCTATTTCTATCGTTCCTTCTACATTTGTGATTCCATTGTGTATGGGATTCTATAGTGTATTTTTAGTCAGTGGACTATAACCCATTATTGTCATTATTTTATTGCTCAAATTGCCCAAGATTTGGCCACTGAGGGACATTCAATTTGGTTCCTGTGTCCTTTCAATATGTCCCCCATGTTCTCATTACCTACCATATATTTGTTTTCCCCATCCTAATACACACATAAAATACTTCCTGAATTACTAACTTCTGCTTCTGTGAAAAATTTGCTAACTAGACTCTGGTATTTGTGTACAGTTCCTTTTCTCTTTCTAGTATCCCATCAAAATGCTATAACTTCTTATTTTTCTTGCCCACCTCCTTCAATGTGGTTGTATTATGCATCTGAAATACAGTTAAGTTCATTTGTTACTGTTTGTATTTCATTTTGAACTCTCCTCATATCCTGGTTGACTTTAATTATTTTGGGGGGCATGAGAAACATTACTATGGCTCCAAGACTCACAGTTATACAAAATATACTCAGATACACTCGGCAGTGTTCCATCCCTTCCTCCTTTACACCGTTATGATTTCTCCCTTCTTTCTACTCTAAACCCACCTACCATCCATAGACAGCTCATTACTTTCTGGCCAATCTTTCCTTATTTACTTTGCATAAACAAATAGATACATGTGCTTTCTTACATCTCCTTCTTTCTTACATACAAAGTACCACTTTCTACTTTTTGTACTTTGCTTTTTGCATTTAATATATCTTGAAAATAACTATACCGATTCATAGAGATCTTCCTCATTTTTTTTATAGCTCAATAATATTCCATCATGTGGGTATGCCATTGGTGCCATGGTTTACTCAGGCTTTCTCGTGTATATGAACATGACTTTGCTTCCAATATTTGCAGTCTCAGTGCTGCAATGAGTAATCTTGTGCATCTGTATGTTTGTACTGTTGGAGGTGCATCTTCAAGGGAAATTCCCACAGTGGAAATGGTTGTGTCAAAGGGTAAATGCTTCTGCAATTTGTTAAGTACTGACAAATTCCCCTCCAGAAGTCATACCAGTTTGCATTCCTACCAACAGTGATGACAGTGTGTTTCCCTATAGCCTTGCCTAACAGAAATGTGTTGTTCTTTCTTTCACCAGTCTTAGAGATGATAAATGGTATCTCAGTATTATCTCAATTTACATTTCTCTAATGAGTTAGTTTGAATATTTCATTTTAAAGAGCCATTTTTATATCTTTACGTGAGTATGTTCATGTCTTTTCCCAGTTTTTCTATCAAGTTTTTGGTCCTTTGTCCCTTAATTTTTAATTCCTTATATAGTAAGAACACTAACTGTTTGTCTATTATATAGGCTGGATAAATTTTTCTCCCAGTCATTTGATTTTATTGTGTTTTTACTAAGCATTTTTATTATCTTCATGTAGTCAAATGTGTCAATATTTTGTTGCCACTGGATATTTCCACCACGTTTCCTTCTGTATTTATATGGCTTCATTTTCTTACATTTGGATCCTGGATCCAGATGGAGTTCATTCTTGCATATGGTGTGAAGTACAGGTCTAACTTCAACTTTCTCCAAGGGGCTTTCCAGTTGGCTCAGCACCATTTATTAAAGTCTGCTTTGACCTGCGATTGAAGATGCCACCTTTAACTCCTCATCCCCCACCCCTAAGAAACCTCACGGAACATATGACCCAAGAGCAGAGCAGACATAAAAAGATTAACTGAGCTACTGAGATTCGGTCAAGAATGTGAACTAAAAATGAACTGTTGAGAATAAGGCTGGAAGATCCAACAGAGGGAAACGGCTGTGGAGGTCATTGCCAGGTGAGGTGTCAGATCCCCGGCATTGGGAAGTGGTCAACTCGTGGGTTGGTAAAAAGAATTCACCAACAACAGTATAGGTTTGAAAAAGGAAAGGTATTAGAAGAATGCTGCAGAAGACTGCCATGGGGCACCTCGGTGAGAGGACTGAATGTACCACGGTGGATTTTTCCTTAGGGATATTTATGGACCTTAAAGCGGGACCGTGGGGTTGCAGTGAGTTTCAGCATGGCATTCCGGAGATGTACAGAAATTTTAGTTACTTCTAAGGTTTTTTTCGGGGAAAAGAAATCTGGAACCAGATGCCTGCTTTAGATAATAGGAAAGTCTAATTACTTTTAATTTTCCCCAAATAAGGCGTTTTGCCTCTGCATGGCCTGATAGTCACCAGGTGGTCTTTGCTCCCTTTTAAATTCCTCAGATAAAAAGATTTTGTCTCTGGGACCTGTTCAATGGTCACTAGGTGATTTTTGCTCTCCGCAGTCATGATGTGATGGAAAGCAAAATAGCAAACAAGGGAGCTGGATGGCGATGAAGCAGAGACAACAAGCAAGCTCAAGCTCCTGCAGAAGGGTCCGTCCCTGGAATCACCTCGGCTCACCTGTACCGTTCCAACAAACCCTTCCAACCAAAAGAGCCCCACCCCAAAAATGCTTTTGAAATCCTGAGATGTGATCAGTGAAATATGCAGCCAAGGCAAGGGGAAACTGTCCGCAAGTTAAAAAGATTTATTGCTATTCCAGGCTTCAAATGAGCCCAGAACTCAGGGCTGGTGTGTGTTTCAGAAGTTGTTATGATGTAACAGGGTGGTAGAAAAATCCAGGCAGTTTGATGTCGAGGCCACCCTCTCTTCCTTGGACCCCTGCTCCAAAAGCAGCTGCTGGTGAGGCTCTTTCCCATCTGCCTCATTCACCCAACAGGACTCCAAGACTGAGGCAGGCAGCCTTGTGATCCCCACAGCTCACAGGTGAGAGGCTGCTCATACCTCTCCTAGCACTGGAAGAGCCTTGTCCTTGGGACCGGACACTATGGCTTTGGCCCTGTGGAGGGAGAAACGGTGCCACAGGAGTTGTCTTAAGAGGACAAGGCATGCACGGTCTGAGATCAGAGGTTGTGACGTGGCCACCCATGAGCCAGTCCGTTTGGGACACATCACACTGCACAGCTTTTTAAAAAAATAATTAGCTGCCAATCTTTTAAAATGGTAAGATTTCATATACAAATCTGGATTTTTGGCTTCTCTAGGAGTAAACATTGAAACTTTTTTTTTGAGACAGAGTCTCACTCTGTCACCAGGCTGGAGTATTGCCAGTATCTGGCAGTTGTCTTCACAGACTGGCTATGCACTCTCCAACTGACTCCAGTCCTTGCCACCCTTAATTATATTTCCAACTGGAGACCAGGCCTCAGCAGCCTTGTATCAATGGGCACATGTGCTGTGACTTTCTGTGTAAGAAATATTTACATTGTAATAGCATCTTTAATCAAAAAGGAAAAATCGGCTGGGTGTAGTGGCTCATGCCTGTAATCCAGCGCTTTGCAAGGCCAAGGTGGACAGATCACGAGGTCAAGAGATCGAGACCATCCTGGCCAACATGGTGAAACCCCATCTCTACTAAAAATACACAAATTAGCCGGGCGTGGTGGCAGGGCCTGTAGTCCAAGCTACTTGGGAGGCTGAGGCAGGAGAATTGCTTGAACCCAGGAGGCGGAGGTTGCAGTGAGGTGAGATTGCACCACTGCACTCCAGCCTGGTGACAAAGTGAGATTCTGTCTCAAAAAAAAAAAAAGCGAAAAATCGAAATCAAGCCTGGAAGCAACATGTTTCTCACGGTTCTTATCAGTCATTTAAGTCTCTTGCTAGGCCCTGCGGGTACCTGAGTTTGTAAACAACAGAGCACTCCTAATATCTCCCCCAAGGGATTCCTCCCCCACACACCCTACCTCTCCAGGATACACTGCACCCTAGTATTAATTGGGCAAATCTAGAAAGGAAATAAAAATTAGTCACAGAAGTTAAGGGAGGAATAGACTAAGAGCAAATACTTTTGCCCCTTCATTGTAACAGGGGGCCGGAGGAGAACAAAAACGTTAATACTCTCACTTCGCTTTTAACTTAGTGACAAAAAAAAAAAAGAGTGAAAGAGAGAGAGTCATAAAGATTCTTCAGGTCCTAAAACACTCTGGTTCCCATTCCTTAACTGCTTTGGAAATGAACGAGGCTCTTTAGAGAGAATGTTAACGGGGATGAGTAACGTGGTCAGCCCAGCAGATGCCCTGGGCTATCAAGAACTGTCCAACTCATTCTCCCTTAGGTCAGGGCTGCTTGCCCCAGCCTAAAATGTAAGTGGTACAAAATGATTTTCAGTGAGGGTAGTGGACTCACTGTAGAAAGGGGATTAAAGGGGGGCAGAGAGTGGGAGTTTGGCCTTGGCAAACACAAAACAGAGGAAAAGGGACCTTCCTCACACCGCTCCATTCTGCTGTGGCAGATGCCATGTTATATGCCCTTTAGAGAGGCAGCGATCTTGATGCAGCCCAGACGCTTCCCACTGCTGCTCAGGACGCTCTCTATGCGGTAGTTCCCGGTGGTGAGCCAACTGGGCAGCTCCAGGTCAGGCACAACGAATTCGCTCTTGGGCAGTGAGTAGGTTCCCTGCGGGAAAGCCAGTGGACCGCCAGTCAGTGGGAGCCTACTGATGGGGTCTTTCTCCTAGAGCCACTGCTAGGATTGCAGCCATGAACTACCACCCCTCTTCCCATTCTCAAAACAGCCGCACAAGATGAGAGACGGCCATAGCACTGTAGAGCATGGATTATTATGGATAAAGGGCCCTGAAGATCACATCTAAGTTCAAGTCTCCCATTTCGTAGATGGATAACTGAGGCTCCCGGAAGATAAGTGATTCCTGATAGGTCACACTGGCTTACAAATCCAGAGACATGCAGATCTGCAGAAGGAGAATGCAAAGACCCTTCTCTCCAAACCCCATCTCTTTAGCCACAGGGGTAACGCTCTCTCCTCCCTAAGTACTTACTTCTTTGAAGGGACAGTGGCAAGGAAGCCCATAGGTACGCAGGGGCTCTGGGCAGGGCTCCCCAGTAGGAATTAACATGTCAAGCACATCACAGAAGTGTTCAAAGGTACAGCTGCCAATGTAGTCTGTGCATGGGATCTTGATCCAGAGGCCAGCCACCTCCTTCTCCAAAACTAAATCCACCTGGTAAAAAAAAATAAAACAAAGGTTTGAAAAAGGTTATAAGTGTAAATTCCAGGGCAAACATACCAGCTCTTCTGTCTTCAAAAAAGCAGCAATATATTTTAATCATAGAATTTTTAACTGGATGAGATCTTAGAGATAGTCTGTTCTAGGAATGGCAACATTGTGGCCCATGTGTGAGTATAGTGTATTATTGTGCCCATGGCAGACATTAATAATCAAATGTGAATTTTCCCCCTACACTGAACTATACATAGACTTAGAATTCTTTTTTTTTTTTTTTGTATCATGGCTCACTGCACTCACTGCAGCCTCAAACTCCTGGGCTCAGACGATCCTCCTGCCTCAGCCTCCCATGTAGGTGGGAAACACAGACAGGCACATGCCACCACACCCAGCTAATTTTGTATTTTTTGTAGAGATGGGGTCTCACTTTGTTGCCCAGGCTGGTCTGGAACTCCTGGCCTCAAGCAATCCTTCCACCTCCACCTCCCAAAGTGCTGGGATTACAGGCGTGAGCCATCATGCTCAGTCCATAGTCTTAGAATTCTTTAGGTAGTCACTACCCATTGATTGGCTCTAACACTTGCATTGAAATGCACTTGTCATCTAACTGCTAATTGGTTAACTGTGGCATTGTTTCCTGGGCTTTCCTTCTGAGCCCAGTCGTGGCCCCAAAATCCTTTTCTGCATAGGACTTCAGGTAGTTACTACCAACTGATGAGCTGGTTACCAAAATGAACCCAACTGGCTGCTCTTGGGTCACATTTTCTCCGTACAGCCACAGAAGACAGAATTAAGAACAATAGGAATGTATAGAAAGATCACCTTGAGACTGGTATAAAATCATAGCTAGGTTACAACAGATGGAGCTGCCTCAAGGAGTACGGGCTCCCTGACTCAGCCGGGAAAGCTACAAAAGACTCTTGTGCCTGGAGTAGGGCTGGGTGAGAAGCTCTAGAACACACTTCACACCTCCATACTGTCATGACTTTGCTCCCGTTTTGGAGGCTGAAGCTGACCAGGAGGAAGTGGCCCAAATTTCATGGTGGACATCCCAGTTGTGCCGGGCACGCGCTGAACAGTCACCATGTGTTAGTTGCCTCTAGTGCCAAATGAGTTGGCTTTAGAACCATGTCCATCACCCACCAAAGGTATCAAGGGAAAACTCTCAGGAAAGAGCACCAGGAAATTAGCTTTCTCAAATATCTGATTCCTTGTGCGTGTTATGGCAGGAAATCACATTTTTAGGATCCCTTTCAGCTCTGACATTCTAGCATTCTAGGAATCCCAGCCTCTAGGCTCACTTTATTTGGGGCTCTGTTTCTAAGAGATTAAATCCTGGATGGGCACTTATGTCCTAAGAGGCTGCTGGGCTCAGGCTGGTTCCCAGGCCACGGACTCAAGTCTTCCAGATGCCCCAGATGTCGAGATATTAGCTGCCTTCCTCCAGGCCCAGAAAGAACAAAGAAGTTAGCACATCCTGTGGTCTGAGTGGACAAATTCTAATTGCTCCTCTCACTGGCCTCATCTGCTCCTAAGACATACCCATTATCTCCACCACTGGCCACACAGCACCCTCTCAGCCCTCCTCTCTCTCATCAAACCTGCTTCTACCCCGCTGCCTAGGAAAAGTCAGAGGGCCTAGGTTGGAATGCTAGTTCTGCCACTTCCTAGTTTTATTGTGCCCTTGGGTGAGTTACTTAATCTCTCTCAGTGGCCATTCCCTCACCTTCTTTTTTTTTTTTTGAGACAGAGTCTCACTCTGTCACCTAGGCTGGAGTATAGTGGTGTGATTTTGGCTCACTACAAACTCTGCTTCCTGCGTTCAAGCGATTCTCCTGTCTTAGCCTCCTGAGTAGCTGAGATTACAGGCATGAGCTACCACGCCTGGCTAATGTTTTTGTATTTTTAGTAGAGATGGGGTTTCACCATGTTGGTCAGGCTGGTCTCAAACTCCTGACTTCAAATGATCCACCCGCCTCGGCCTCCCAAGGTCCTGGGATTACAGGCATGAAGCACTGTATCCAGCCTCGCCTCATCTTCAAAAGTGGGATATTTTAGAGTGCCTACCTCTCTCACAGGTCCCATTGAGAGGGAAATACCAGCACTTTGCACAGTGCCTGAAATCAAAAGCTTCCTCCTCCATGACTTCTGCCCTGCCTTTTTCCTTAGCCAATACTCTCTCCTTGTGTCGCCAATACCCTAATGAAAATGTTTGAGCCAGTTATGCCCTGAGTGAGAACACACAGTGGAGGAGGCCAGTAGGGGGACAAGTCCTGCCAGGGCTCCTCCCACCAGGCTGGAACCTGTAGGGCTGCATCTACCAGAAGAGGTAGTGGCTCCCTCATCTCTACTCCTGCCCCCAGCACAGGACCAGCACGACACAAGAAGTGTACTGAACTGAAGTCAACAGAGGGTTCTAAGGCAGCAGCCACACCTACCATTTGGAAATTACAAATGATGGCTCATTTCTTATTCTCAATCTATTTGCTACTATGACTCAGAAAAGGAAGCAGGGTGGAGTAATGAGCCCAGGCATGTATATGACTTTGGGTGCTGGGGGAGCCAAGTTACCAGGCCTGAAAGGCTGGAATAAGTACATATGACAAATACAGTGACAATTTACAGTTCTTGAGGATGGGAAAACCAGGGTCCCACAGGCTGGAACTTGAGGGAGGGCTGGGCATTGGGAGTTATTAACTATGCCAGATCCCATGGAGCAAGTCAAAAGAGAAAAGGGAGCTCCTGAGCAGGCCCCAGTCTTACCCACGGCCATGGAATCCGGGACATTTAACTTTTAAAAATTGCAGCTGGAGTCAAATCCAGCCAGGTCCCAGATTTGACTTTTGATTAAAGAAATTTCACTACAGCAAGATCAGAGAAAGAGAGGATGGCAGTTGCTTTCTTGGGTTTGGGCAGTCACTCTCCTCTGGGCCTCAGTGTAACAAGGGGTTGAAGCCCCATGGACCCCAAGAGTGCTCCAGGCTCATCCAGAGCTTAGTTCTGGGCAGCTCTCATAAGCAGGTCTGCTGGGCAAGGGGAGAGTTCTGGAACTGAATCTGCAGCACTCCTCTCCCCTCCCCTGCAAATACACCAAGCACCAAGTCTACCTCCCTGCCAGTAAAAGCTCAGGAACCAAACCCCAAGATAAACATACCAGCCTTGTCCATGCTAACAACTAGCTTTGTGACCTGGGTCAAGTTGCAACCTTTCCTGAGACCCTTTGTCCCTCATCGGCTCTTCTCCCTAGCAAGTGGTCAGAAGAGCTTTCATCTAATAGTTGATATGCACATATCCTGAAAAAAGAACTGAACCAAATAAATAAATAAATATATATATATATACGAGAAATATTGGGAGCCGGGCCTGGTGGCTCACGCCTGTAATCCCAGCACTTTGGGAGGCCAAGGTGGGCAGATCACCTGAGGTCAGGAGTTTGAGACCAGCCTGGCCAATGTGACAAAACCCCATCTCTACTAAAAAAGTGCACGCCTATAATCCCAGCTACTCTGGAGGCTGACGCAGGAGAATCCCTTGAAACCGGGAGGCAGAGGTTGCAATGAGCCATGATCGCGCGACTACACTCCAGTCTAGGCAACAGAGTGAAACTCCATCTCAAAAAAAAAAAAAAAAAAAAAGAAATTGGGGAAAAAGAAGGAGCAGAGGGGATCTGAGGCTAATTTTTCCTAAGCACAAGTGACAGTAAAGACAGAGGAGATTATGTAGGCCCAAATTTATGAAAGGTAATAAAGCAATGGAAAAGGAGAATAGGGAGTAAAACCCATCTTAATGGTTTGTGAAGAAGCCAGGAAAAGCAGGCTGAGGGCAGAAGAGCGGGTTTGCCAGCTTCTTGTTTCCAAGTCAGCTGCATAGCCCCCTCCCTGGAAACACCAGTGGCTGCATGGTGATGGCAGCAGAGGGAGCATGGCGGACGGCCTACCAGGAGAGCCCACACTCCAGATCAGCAGAGGGAGCACACAAATAAATGTGTGTGACCCTGGCAGAGAAACAGTCCAGTGTCCATACATAGGGAATGATTCCATCCCTTGGCCCAGATCCAAGGGTACAGGGCTTGACCCCCTATCACTTGAGGAACAGTAATGGAAACACAATGACTCTGCTAGGAAAAGGCTTGGTAGGAGGTGCAGGGGAGCTGAAAGCTGCCACATATCCAGGACTTGTGTCTGGGTCAAGAGACTGCAGGATAAGACAGATACTAATCGAAATGTTCACAAGATATAAAATGTACTGAGCATGTCCTGGGTGCCAGGCCCTGTGCAAAGCACTTTCCACATGATTTTCTAACTCAGGTATTGCTCAAGGAAAGCCCATAACGTAGGAGCTGTGATTAAGACAGGTCTAAGGATAATGATAGAAACACAGAATCCAAATCAGGAATCTTCTAAATAATTAACACAAAACTGGTACTAGAATAGATCTGGATCAGGAACAGACTGAAGGGCATAGAGGAGCATCATATAAAGGTAGCAATTTTAGCTAGAGAGGAAAGGACCATATTAAATGGTGTTGCAATGGATATATGAAAAGTCTTCATTGTTTTCTAAGAAAATATAAAAACATACACCCCTAAAATAGTCAATGGATGGAAACAAACAGGTTATTCCCAAAGTAAATACAAAAGGCAAATAAACTTATGAATAGACATCTACGCTCACTAGGAATGATGCAGGTTTATTCAAACATTGGGAGGCACTTTGGCAAAATGTATCAAAAGACCTAAAAAGTGTGTATCTAGAGAATCAGAAAATTATAAAAAGATGTACTATAAGAATAATTTCTACAAAGGTGGTTACTACAGCAAAACAAAAAACAAACAAACAAAAAAAACCCTCTGGCCAGGTACAGTGGCTCAAGCCTATAATCCCAGCACTTTGGGAGGCTGAGGCAGGTGGATTGCCTGAGGTCAGGAGTTCAAGACCAGCCTGGATAACATGGTGAAACCCCATCTCTACTAAAAATACAAAAAGTAGCTGGGCATGGTGGCAGGTGTCTGTAATCCCAGCACTTTGGGAGGCCGAGGCAGGCACATTGCCTGAGGTCAGGAGTTCAAGACCAGCCTGGCCAACATGGTGAAACCCCATCTCTACTAAAAATACAAAAATTAGTGGGGCGCAATGGCAGGTGCCTGTAATCCCAGCACTTTGGGAGGCTGAGACAGGAGAATCGCTTGAACCCGGGAAGTGGAGGTTGCAGGGAGCTGAGATTGCGCTACTGCACTCCAGCCTAGGCAACAGAGTAAGAACCTGTCTCAAAACAAACAAATAAACAAACAAACAAATAAAAACTACCCTGGAAACAAACTAAATGTTCAACAATAGACTTGTTATATAAATTATGAAAGATCCACATCAGAATATTTCTGCCATTAAAAATGATTGGGTGGGCTGAGCAAGGTGGCTCACGCCTATAATCCCAACATTTTGAGAGTCTGAGGCAGGAGGATTGCTTGAACTCAGGAGTTTGAGACCAGCCTGGGCAACACAGGGAGGCTCCGTCTCCATAAAAAATAAAAAAATTAGGTAAGCATGGTGACATGAACCTGTGGTCCCAGCTACTCAGGAGGCTGAGGTGGGAGGATCCCTTAAGCCCAGGAGGTCAAGGCTGCAGTAAGCCATGATCACACTACTGCACTCCAGCCTGAGCAACAGAGTGACACACTGTCTCTAAAATTACAATACATTAAAATAATAAAATAATGATTGGATAAAAAAAAATTGAATAAGTAGAGCCACCTAATCCTTGGAAAGATATGGACATATAGTATGAGGCAAAAAAAATAGCAAGTATAATAGCACATATCATATAATCCCATGAGTATAAGTGTGTATATATTTACAAACACATAAAAATTCTGATGGGATATATAAAGAGCAAACACTGACTATCTCTAGGATTTAGATTACTGGAGGACATTTACAATGAGCACTGCCTATTATCATACATATCCATTAAAAATAAATATGTGTGTTATGTATGTAATTGTATGGGGGAAAGTTGCAAAGAATATCCTATAAGATGTTAAAAGTGCTTATCCCTTATCACTAGGTAGTGAGATTTCAAGTGATTTATTTTATTTATTTATTTATTTTGGGACAGAGTTTCACTCTGTCACCCAGGCTGGAGTGCAGTGGTGCGATCCTGGCTTTCTGCAACCTCTGCCTCTTGGGTTCCAGCAATTCTCCTACCTCAGCCTCCTGAGTAGCTAGGATTACAGGCACATGCCACCACGCCCAGCTAATTTTTGTACTTTTAGTAGAGATGGGGTTTCACTATGTTGGCCAGGCTGGTCTCAAACTCCTGACCTCAAAAGATCCACCCACCTCAGCCTCCCAAAGTGTTGGGATTACAGGCATGAGCCACCACACCTGGCCTATTTTATTTATTTTTTGACCACTTGTGTTTTCTAAAGTGACTATATATTACTGGCTAATTGGTATATCAATTTTATAATTAACAACAAAACCAAATTGGCCAACCAGAGCTGTCAGACAATAATGAGCAGTTGGCCACCAGGCCCAGAGAAGGCCAGGACGCTTCTGCCAGGTGCAAGGTATCCGTCACTCCTGCCCTCACCAGGAAGTTGCTGGCGCTGACATCAGAGATTCCTTTCAATCTTATGATCCTGAGATTCCATGAACCTGTGAAAGAGTGTCTGAATCTACATGTCCTGTACTATTCTCTGGGAATCCAGGATTCTGAAATTCTTCACAGTTCCCCAAGCATACATGCCCCAGTACCCCTGCTGGCCAGACCCTCGCACCTCCCCTTCTCCACCCACCCCCAGGCTCACCTTCAGAGGAGAACTCAGGGGGACACTGGTGCTGCCCATGACACTGAGGGTCACATTTCCAGGAACGATGATGGGGTCAGGCTCCAGAGTCAGGCTTCTGATCACCGCAGGGTCCTTCCCTTCATCACAGTTATCCCAGGAAAAGCTACTGAGCTGGGATGGCTGGGGACAATCAGGCAGCAAGGAAGGAGAAGAAGAAAAAGGTTGACAAAAGAAACTATCACAGATCACAGGAAAAATGAGCTCCTGGCAGAGTGACCTTGGGTGAGGCACCCCCGTCCCTGAGCCTCATCTATGAGACTCCATACCTATGAAGCTGGGATAACACTTATCCTACTCATTTTATAGGCAGGACTAAACTAAAAGACTCAAAAGACATAATCTCCCAAAAGTGTATTGTAAACTATAAGGCAGGATATGATAGACCTGGAACTTCCAAACAGGAGACTGACCTAATTGGCCTTTGGTGGGCACCTTCTCTGACTTCCCACCTCCCTGCTGCCCACTCCTCTCCAGCCAGCCTTGGAATCCCAGCAGAGGGCAAGCTCCTGGAGGATTCACCTCTGCAGCCCACACCCAGGACCTTGTTCATGTCACACCCCGTGCCCAACCCAGAGCCAGGAACAATGGGAAACACAAAACACAATGGGAAATCTAACAGCATCTGAAATCCCACTCTCAAGGGGCAGGTGATTAACTCAGAAAGGAATAGGACACTCATGAAAAGATCCCCAGTGGATCACTTGCTGATGAATAATCCCCAGTGGACTTCCCCAGTCCTAACCAGTGTCTTCTTCCCATCCCTCTTCTCATGCCACATGCCCACTTGGATCACTCACCACCCCTGTGCTGAGCTGCTCCTGTTCCTCCTCCACATCCCCCAGGTCTCCTGATTCCACCACCACTACATCTGCATGTGACTGCATGTGACCACCACTCCGCACTCCAACAGACCCTGTCTGATGATCTTGAACACCTCCCACACTGTGAAGACTCTCTGCCCACCCACTCTCACCTCTCCCAGCCCCCTGGAGGCCACCTATGAGAGACTGTTGGCATGCCCTCCATCCACACCCTGTCTCAGAGAGAAAACCTGCCAGTCCCACACCCCCAAGCTGATGCCCACCTTCAACACTCCCATCACTGACTCTTTCAAGAGGGATCACCTAACCCCAGCTAGGCTGACAGATTCTCTCTGCCCAATTTTGGAATTAAGGTATAAAAGGCTGGGGATATGGGGGTTTTGTGCTGTCACTGGATCCTAAGTTTTGGGTTGAGGCCAGACCATCTAGATCTGTGATCCATGACCAAGCAGAAGTTAGGGCTAAGGGCTAAGGGCTCTGTTGGTCTGTGGAAAAGGGAACAGATCAAGTCCCACTTCCCTATCTATAAAAGCAGTATGGAGTAGCAGTGAAGGGCATGGCTTTGGAGAGACATGGGTGAATGACAGCTTTAGCCAAACAGCCCTGGGTGGAAATCATAGCTCTGCCACACTTACCATGTGATTTTATAGGCCAGTTTCCCCTTTGGAGTCTAAATTTCCACATCTTTTAACTGGAGGCATTTCTACCTTCCTCTCCAGGATGTTGCAAGGGCGAGAGCGTGTATGTAAAGCTCATAACCCAATGCCAGGCACAACACGGGAGCCGGCTCACTAAAGGAGCCATTAGCGTCCTAGCCTCCGCTTCCTGCCGGCAGCTCCATGGGATGTCTTGCAGCTCTGTAATAAACTTCCCCTTTACCTGAGCTTTTAGGAATGGGTTCCTACCCCTTGGAATGAAAGGTCATGTCATGACTAAGAAAGGCAGGACAGGATAGTTGCCACTAAATGTTTCCTTCAACATTCATTCCACAAATATTTATGGAGCAATGATGATAGGCCCTGGGCTAAGTGCTGTGGCAAGAGTGGTAAACAATCAGACCTGGCTCCTGCCCTGCCTTGAGGAGCTTACCGTCTAATGCAAATAAATATCACCCACTATGATTTGTGAGTGCCACAAAGGAAAAGAGCAGAAGGTAATGCTGACAGCAACAAAGGACTCACTTACATAGGGTGGTGGGGAAGTGATACTTAAGCCGGGCTCTTGCAGGATGCGGAGTCAGACATGTAAGTGCAGGCCGAGGGAACTCAGGCAAAGGCCCCGAGGCACAAAGAAGCTTGGCTGCTCCAGGCACTGGGAGAAGGCCATGGGCTAAATGTAGTAGATGAGGGACCCAGATGAGGTTGGAGGGGTAGCAGGGTCATTTAATGCAGGACCCCACAAGCTATAATCGGGAGGTTGCATTTACTATAGGGGCAGTGGAACCCCACTGAAGGACAGTACTACACTGTGATTTGTGGTTGTGAACAGACTGAAAGTGGTCAAGGGAAAGATTGCCTGGAATTAAGAGTCAGGCTGGAGGGCAACATAGGAGCAGGACTAGTTTTCTGGGTGGGGCTGTTTTCATAGATTCTAAGGCAGCCTGATCCACACAGAGAATTGATTCTGGGCTGGGGGTGGGGGTAGGGTATCCAGAGTACCTACCGGAGAAGAATCCCTTCCCCTCTCCTAAGCTCTTCTTTCCCCAGGCCCTGGGGGAGACGTAACAAGATGGCTTCCTGAGGGTAATGCCCGGCTAGCTGTCTCTGTAGTGACAAATTCTGCTGCTGAGTCCAGGCTCATCAGGGAAGGGAGGTGTAATGGATTAGCAGTGCCCACCAAGGCCAGGCTGGTCACCAGATATCTGCCATTCCAGCCTAGGCCAACTAGTGGGAAGGGGTGGTACAAGACGGAGGGGAAAGGCACAGCTCTGGAGGCAGAGATATGGGTACTACAGGTATGAGTTAAAACCCAGCTCAGCCAGTCTTACTAGCTAAGACCATGGGTAAGTTAACCCCCTAGGGGTTCAAAATTTCCTCATTTATTATGTGGACATAATGATATCTTCTCACAGGGCTATTGTGAGGGTAAGATGTTTGTATACAGAAAGCACAGGGCACAACTCCTCAAGACTGCCAAGCTCATGAATAAACAAGGAAAGACTAAGAAGCTGTCATAGGCTGGAGGAGAGGGGGGACTACAATTATATGTGTCATGACAACAATGGCAGTGCAGTACCCTGGATTGGATCCTGGCTCAGAAAGAGGGCATTAATGGGAAAACTGGTGAAATCCAAATAAAGTCTAGAATTCAGTTAACAGTAATGTACTAATGTTGGTTTCTTAGTGTTGGAGATATGTACATATAAGATGCTAACAGGGAAAACTGAGTCAGGAGTATATAGAAACTCTATATTATCTCTGTAACTTTTCTTTTTTTTTTTTTTTTCTTGAGACAGAGTCTCACTCTGTCATCCAGGCTGGAGTGCAGCAGCGTGATCTCAGCTCACTGCAACCTCTGCCTCCTAGGTTCAAGTGATTTCTCCTGCCTCAGCCTCCCAAGTAGCTGGGACTACAGGTGTACGCCACCATGCCTGGCTAATTTTTGTATTTTTAGTATGGACAGGGTTTCACCATGTTGGCCAGGTTCAGGTTGGTCTCAAACTCCTGGCCTCAAGTGATTTGCCTGCCTTGGTCTCCCACAGTGCTGGATTATAGGGGTGAACCACCACGCCCTGCTGCAACTATTCTATAAACCTAAAATTATTCCAAATTTTTTTTTAGGAAAAAAGCACATAGCCCAGTACATAGCACATAGTATGGGTACAACAAATGACAGCCACTATACAGCACTATAGAGTCTATTAAGCACCTACTATATGACTAGCATGGGGCTAGATATCCTCCCCTGTTATCTAACACCCATCACAGCCTGTAGTCACAAGATCAGTTATGCTAGAAGAGGAACTGAAATTCAGGTTTCCTGATGTTCATTCACTGTCACCCCCCACCCCCATCTTTATCTGGCCCAGGGACTCAAGGTCAGGGCTCTGAATCACATGAGCCCCAAGAAGATGTAGGTGCTGTGTGATTTTGAGTGACCTTTATAATGTCTCAGGGCCTCTTCAAAACTGCCAATCTAAGACCTAGTCTGAGATGGCATCCATACCCACAGCATATACAACAAGTTTGTAGGGTGAGCTAGCAGCCTCTAGCCAGACTCCACCTCATAGCGGCCAGCCCTGGAGCCAAGAGAAGCATTCTCAGCCAACATTCAGGAACAAGGTATAAATTCTCCAGGCAAATGAAGTCAAAAGGTCCACGTTCCTTCATTCAACAAGCAAAACAGACTTTCTGCCTCGGGGGCAGAGTGAGGCCAAGCCCACAGATTTATATGGCTTTATTTGTTTCTGATTTTAGAAATTTTCCATCAATGAATGCATTTCCCTTCACCGACAACTCCCCGAGATGCACGTTGGCACCATCACACCCAT